>NC_000011.10:7938787-8241818 GCF_000001405.40 Homo sapiens | reverse complement strand
CAATCAGACTTTTTTTTGTTTTTTTTTTTTTTGAAACTCACAGAAAAGTAAAACAATTACAAATTGTGATGAAAAACTCAGAAGGAAATTACTGAAGTGTGGGGAGCTCATTTAAATAATGAAATAAGGAGGTCAAGAAAGGCTTCTCTGAGGAGATGACATTTAAGCTGAAGCTTGAAGATGAGAAGGAGCCAAGTATATGCAGAGGCAGAGGCAGGGAAGGGTGTTCTGGGAAGGTAATAGCATGTGCAAAGGCCCTGAGGCAGGAAGGAGTTTGGAGTATGGCTGGAGCACAGTGTGGGAGGGGAAGGCAGACACCAGACCACATGAAGATGTTACAGGCTGGATGAAGAGTCTGGGTGTTATTCTCAGGCCATTGGATGTTATGGAAGGGTTTCAAGTTGAGCAGTGACCTGCCCTGGTTCATCTGGAAGATCTCTCCAGCTGCCGTGTGAAGAATTGGCTGTGGGTACCAGACATCATGCCATGCTGGCAGTGCATCGAGAGACGGTGATGGCTGTGGAAATGCAAGATGCAGGTGGGATGAGGAGCAAGAGTTGGCAGGGAAAGGGGTGAGGGGGATGGAAGTCTGAAGACGACACTTAGTTTCTGGCCAGAGTGCTGGGTGGATGATAGTGTGGGAGGGAGGAAGTCTGGGGTGAGGGTACAGGGGCCAGGTTTGGGGAAGAAATCAGGAATCCTGCTTTGGACCTGTTGTTTTTGAGCTATGTCTGAGACTTTCTAGAGACAACCAAAGAATGGAAAGAAAATGCCAATACCCATCCTGGAGAAGGAGAACACATTACAGATAACTATGCAATTAACGTAAGCCTCATTCCAAGTGACAAACTCCAGTGAGCACATGCAGCTTCTGATGTTTCTAAATTCCCCCCACTAAAGAACCACAGAAAATTATGTGAGGCTGTGAGAGCAGACTGCATCTACACCTGCTCCAGAATCACTATGCTCCAGAATTACATCCAGGCCTTCCTGCAAGCTCTCTATGATCTGAGTGTTTGTGTCTTCCCAAAATTCTTATATTGAAATCCCAACACCCAATGTGATAGTGTTAGGAGATGGGGCCGTTTGGGGGTGATTAGGTCATGAGGGCAGAACCCTCATGAATGGGATTGGTGCCTTCTTAAAAGGGACCACAGAGAACTCCCTTGCCCCTTCTGCCACGTGAGGATGCAGCAAGAAGATGGCCATCTAATGATCCAAGAAGCAACTCTCACCAGACACAGAATCTGTTGGTGCCTTGCTCTCGGATTTCCCAGCCTCCAGAACTGTGAGAAATAAATTTCAATTGTTTATATGCCACCCAGTCTGTGGTATTCTGTTATGGCAGCCTGAACCGACTAAGACAGTCCCCTTAGGCTGTTGCTGTTGCCCCAAACCAGAGTCAGCTTCCCTCAACAAGGAAGATCTGTGGGGGATGTGTGGAAACTCCTCAGTCCCTTTATGTCATGGTGAGTTCAGGCTTTAGATGCAGTATTCCTAAGGATAGGTTATTCTTCACCAAAACGCACTGCAAAAATGCAGCATATGAAGCTTCCCGCTTTGTACTCCTCCACAGGAAATGGCCCCTCTGGGGAGCTCTGGGGATCAGCAGCCCAACCTTTCCCTGACAAGGGGTCTTTTATATTCCTGCAAGGAGTGTTTCAGAGCCGTCTTCTTTTGGTAGGGTCCAGATTGGGTCCAAGTTCACTTTCCCCATTGCTTGGAGAAAAGATGACGTGATGCTGCCTCTGGCCCTGGGACACAGCAGGCAGGGTGTGGATGCCTCCTGGCCAGCAGCCTGGATCTGCAGCCTCGCTTTGGCCACTGGTGGCTTTACCCTTGGGCAAGTTGGTGAGTTCTCTGCACTCAGGGTCATGACAAGCATATGTTCCTGGTACAGAGCAGGCACTCAGTAAGGGGTAACATGGTTTACTGTCATCTGGTTGAACATGACTATGGTGGCTGCAGGTGCTGGGGGTGAGACTGGACAGTGCTTCCCTTAGGCCTTCCCTCCTGTGGTGGGCTCTAGCGTGCAGGAGAAGCTTGGCACTTAGAGCAGACAAGCATTGCTGGACTTCACCCTGAACCAGGCCCCTCTCCAGGACTTCTTCAGCTCCAAATGTCTCACCCTGAGCTGGGCCTGTCTCCAGGACCTCTCTGCTCCCCGCCCTACCCATCCCCTCATTCACACACAAGGCCCTGGCTGTTGGTTGAGGCTCCTGCCATCATTATAGCCCTGGGTCTGGAGTCCCCAGCCCAGCCTCCTCCTGAGGACGTGTGCCATCTCAAGGCTTCTTTGTCCTTCTCAAAGCTGCGATGCAGACATCTTGGCTCTGCTTCTACATGGCCCTCTGCTCCCTTCCCAGCCCTGTGCCCTCTTTTTACTTAGTTTCTGGTCCATGCCCCCTTGCTGGCTCTGCCCAGAAGCCCTTTCAAGATCCCACAGCAGTCATAGCATTTGAAGAACCAATAGATGAGTGGGAAAGTCCTGTGGTCCACCCAGAGACAGTGCCCTGCATGGACAGTCATTCCTCTTGGTTTTAGCCCGGGCCCTGATCTAAGTATGTCCCCAGCCCCCACCCCAGCACCATCTGGCATCCAGGCTGCACCGGAGAATCCAGGCTGTGCAGGGAAGCCCTGGGCGTGTGCTGGATGGGAACTTGAACTCTGGATTCTGACAGGCCAGGATTCCAATCTCTGCCCTGCAGCCTCCTAGCTGCATGACTTTGCATGACCTGAAACTTCCCAGGCCACCGTCTTCTCATCTGTGAAATGGGGGTAATCATTTAGTGCATCAGAGTTAATATGAAGATTCATTGAGATAACACTGTAAGATGGTTAGCCCAGCACCTGGCACAGTGACTGCTGAGTAAATGGTGGGGTTTATGAAAGGCATACAGAGCTCTGATGAGGGCATCTCCATCTCAGCTCCGTTTTTAAATTGGGTATCACATATATGCAGTTAAATGCTCAAGGCTCAAATGTTCAGCTCAGTGAATTTTTGTACAGGTATGCACCCATATCAACACTCAGATCAAGACATAGGACATTTTCAGTACACTGGGCTCCTTGTCCTCCTCTCAGTTGATAATATGTCCCCCACCTCACCCCAAGTAACCAGTATTCTTTTTTTTTTTTTTTTTTTTTTGAGATGGAGTCTCACTCTGTCGCCCAGGCTGGAGTGCAGTGGCGCGATCTTGGCTCACTGCAACCTCTGCCTCCCAGGTTCACGCCATTCTCCTGCCTCAGCCTCCCGAGTAGCTGGGATTACAGGCACCCGCCACCACGGCTGGCTAATTTTTTGTATTTTTAGTAGAGACGGGGTTTCACCGTGTTAGCCAGGATGGGCTCGATCTCTTGACCTCATGATCCGCCTACCTCAGCCTCCCAAAGTGCTGGGATTACAGGCGTGAGCCACCGCGCCCATCCTCCAAGCAACCATTATTCTGACATCAGATCGGTTTTGCCTGTTTGGGAGCTACATATAAATGAAATTATACAGTATGTACCTTTTTGTGTCTAGCTTCTTTCATTCAATATTATATTGTCTGATTCATCCAGGTAGTATATATTAGTAATTCATTCTTTTTAATTGCTACATACTATTCCATTGTACGAATATACCATAATTTATTTCGTTTTACTGTTGATGGACATTTATGTTGTTTTCAGTGTGGGGCTACTAAGAAGAAAACGTCTATGAACATTTTTGTGCATCTGTTTTGATGGACATAAGCTCTCATTTCTGTTGGGCATATACCTAGGAATATAATTGTTGGGTCATAAGATACAACTAAATTTTCTCAGCTAATTGCTTTATGCTACTATGCCAAACATTGTTATAAGTACTTCATGTTGATTATCCAATTTAATCCTCAATCCTTTAAAGTAGGCTGTCCTCATTTAGCAGGTTAGTAAATTGAGGCAGAGCTGGGAAGCACCAAAGCCAGAATTCAAGCCGAGGCTGTGTGTCTGCAGGGCCCACAGTCTCAGGGCCTACACTACCCCACCTCTTCTCACAAGCTCCCTTGAGGGGTGAGCAGCACCAGAGTCAAAGCTGCCAGTCCCTCTACTGAGCTGACTGCCACCCCATGGGCGGAGCCTAGCCTCTCAGCCTTCCTCTCCCTGCCCTCGTGGGGAGCTGGAGGCCATAGGAGCCCCTGCCTCTCTCCCTCATCCTCACAGTGAACACGCTGCCTGCAAGAGGGTGTGCAGAGGGGCGGTAATGAGCGTGCTCTGGGTGGCTGTAGCCGCGCGTTTCAACAGTTGTTCTCGTTGGCTTTTGATTCCAAATGAGTAGGAAATGCTATTAGTTCAGGCCTCGCCTGCTGCATGGCAAGGCCCTGGAATAGGAGTGCAGTGAGACGAGAAATTGTGGAGATAAAACTGGTGTGAAATGGAGGCCTTCTCACAAGGCTGGATGTGTCCGTGCGAAATGAAGTTACTTCTGAGAAAACGAGATTTAAAGAGATTCTGCAGAGTTAGATTACACTTTCAAATTTCCTTATTAAAGAGGATTGATGCCTAGGAGGGGCTGCTGGTAGGCTTGGTTTGGGATCCTACCCTGCAGTTCCCGGGCCTGGGTGTGGGCCCAGGCAGGCAAAGCACCTTACAAGGTGACAGGGACCCAGACCCCCGAGACCCAGAGAGTGAGTCTCCCCACCTCCAGCAGCTGAAGTAGGCATAAGGATTGTGGGATCAACTTCTGGGTAATGTCTGACGTTGCACGTGGGTCCATGAGGGTAACACTAGAGGGTTCATGCTCTTCCATTTCCTTCCATCTTCAGGCCTCTTACTTGCGGGTTTTGTTGAAATCAGAGCTTGATTCTAAGCTCTGATCCACTTTTTGACACTGTAGTCTTTTAAGAGACTAAACGTGCGTGCGGCTGCTTGTGCATATGTGTGCATCTGTGCATAAGTGTATATTTATATAAGCACACCAAAACGCATGCTCATACACACACATGCGTGTGCTTAGATGCATGGGTATGTATTTTCATGCAACTTACTGAGCACCTACTGTATGCCAGCGCTGTGCTGGGTACTGAAATAAAACTGTTGTGGGGAGAATAAAACAGACACAGTCCCTCCTCACATGGACCTAGTGTACGTGTGTGATCATGTGGACGTGGGGAAGTATCTGTGTGCTGCTGTGCATGTGTCCTGCAGCTGTGTGGCGAGTGTCTGCATGCTCTCCGTGTGTCTTCTAAGCTCTGTGAAGTCTCCTGCTTGGGTCTCAGCCCCCCTCAGCATGCAGCCCTGCAGCACAGCACATGAGTCCAGTACTTTGGCCCTAGAGATAGACTGCCAGGGTTCACAGGCCAGCTCTTTCTCCTACTAACCCCAGCACTTTGGGAAGTTGAGGTGGGAGGATTGCTTGAGCCCAGGAGTTCGAGACCAGCCTGGGCAACATAGTTGAGACCTTGTCTCTGAAAAAAAAAAAAATTCCTCCCCCCAAAAATTAGCCTGGCTTGGTGGTATGTGCCTGTGGTCCCACCGATGCAGGAGGCTGAGGTAGGAGGATCGCTTAAGCCGGGAGGTTGAGGCTGCAGTGAGCTGTGACCACATCACTACACTCCAGCATGGGAGACAGAGGAAGACCCTGTCTTTAAAAAAAAAAAAAAATACCAAGGCTACACTTGCCTCCAGGGCTCTTTCCAGAGCAGCCAGAGGGTCCTGGAGCTGTCACCCTCTGAGTTGCCACAGCAACTGCTTCCCATGTGGCTGGTCACTGGAACAGCCTGTTGGACAGATAGGGTGGCTTCCTTCTACACATACTTGCACTGACCACTAGACTGGCCTTTGGGTGGAGCTGGACTATGGCCAGTGCCAGGGTGACTTTAACCACAGTAGAACAATCAAATCAGTTCGTTGCTCCTCAAAATAAGTGTCTCTCACTATCCTGTCTCATGTGTTGAGGAGAGTGACACTAATCAGAGTGAACGTTTTGCTGTGGCCCTTAGTCCTTAGCACATCACATAAATTAACTCCGTTCTTTCTCATGGTGACTCGGAAATGAGTACTGTTTTCATACCCATTACACAAAAAAAGAAAACTGAGAAAATGTTAATCGAAGTCACACAGTCAAAAGTGTCAGACAAACCCACATTGAGAGATATTCCATGAAATGACTGGCCTGTACTCTTCAAAAATGCCATTGTCTTGAAACACAAAAGAAACGTTTAGGAATTCTTCCAGATGTAAGTAGACTAAACTTGACAACTGAATGCGATGCAGGGCCCAGGATTTTTCCATAAAAGATATTTTTGAAGAAATTGGTAAAATCTGAATGAGGTCTATAGATTAGATAATAATGTTATGTCAATGATAATTTTCTGATTTCAATTATTATACTGTGGTTATGTAAGAGAATGTCCTTGTTTTCAGCAAAGCATTTGCAAACCGAAAGTATTAGGGGGTATAGAGGCTTCCTGTTTGAAACCAACTCTCAAATGATTTAGGGAAAAAATTATAGGTAAGTAGGTAGAAGTAGGTAGAAAGATGGAGGTTAAATCAAATGTGGTAAAATGTTATATGTAGGGAATCTGGGTGAAGGGCTTACAGGAATTTTTTCTACTATTCTTGCAAGTGTTCTGAAAGTTTGAAATTATGTCAAGAGACAAAAAGTTAAAAGAAAAAGAAAGCAAGTGCCCGAGCAGGGATGGTATCCTGGGGTGACTGTTAATACTATCAGTTCCTGTTCACTGTGCCCTGGGCACCAGACTCTGTGCTATGGCCTCATGTGCAGAAGAACCTCATTCTATCCTCACCACATTCTGAGCGGAAAGACCACTGTGGCTCCCAGTACACACATGCCAGTCAGAAAGGTGGGGGGATTTAATCCAGGCCCCCCAGCTCCTTGGAGCAGTTCCGACTTGAAACTAGGCTCCCTGATTTCAAGGTCTGAACTCTTAGCCTCAGTCTCACTCTTGACTCTGACCTTTTTGGGAGAGTGGGGATGGGCAGGACAAAGGCGTTTCTTCCTGGAGTAGTAGCAGAGTGAAGGCCCCGGGACACAAGCTAACAAGATCCATTTGCGGGAGGGAGAGGAGCTGTGTTCCAGGATCCTGCAGGGGGCAGAGCCAGCAGTGCCAAGCAGGAGACACTGGCTTGTGGGAGGGGCTGCAGATGCCCAGTGGAGTTGCCAGGAGGTGGCCACAGTGGCTTCCAGCAGGGGAGCCACGGGGAAGAGCCTGGAGTGACCTGGAGCTGGGTGAGGTAGACGTTCTGGGCTGGAAGAGTGGCCTTGGAGGAGCTCACTGGGGTAAGCATCCCCCAGGCTGCCATCCAAACCAGGGGCACTGGTAGTACTGGAGCCTGTGGGCTTGGCAGTTTGGGAAAGTCCACGTGCTGGAGCTGAGGGGCAGCTGGGCTGGGACAGGTGGGCAGGAGTTGCTGGGGACTTGGGTCTGGCCTAGTGGACTGCTCTGGGGTCCATGTGAAGATGAGGGCATTTCTCCTCCGGGCTGGAGGGAGAGAGTGGGAGGGGCGGGATGACCTCTGGCAGTGCGTCCCCGTCACCTGGACTGTCTGGCTTTCCCCCAGATTAAAGAGTGGAGGGTGAGTGTCTGGCAGCCAGATGAGTCAGACTGGGAGGCTTCTCTCCCAGCCTGGCTGCCTCCTTCCACCAGCAGCCCTGCCTCCACCCCCTGCTAGAGGTAGGGGTTGGAGTTCAGCCTGTTTCCCCTCCAATGTTGTTCCCCCCACATCCTGAGACTTAGGGGTGACCCTGGGTTGAGTGGACTGGTTTATTCTGCTGGGCCCAGCGCATGCATCTGAGTGTGTGCCCAGGCGTGCGTGTCGGCGCAAACATCATCCATTGTGAAATATCAGTGTTTTCATGGGTGAGTAGTAATTACTGGGTAATGCTTTAAAACCTTTCCTGAAGGAGCGCAAAGCCATTTTTTTCTAAAGTCAGGAGTACATTAAAAGGATTACCATGTAGATTTGATTTTTAGATAACACTAAAATGGATCCCAAATGGACTTCAGCAAAGGGATGCTATCTCCTTAATGGAAAGTGCATGGCCCGAGGCTCAGGTCCCAGAGCCAGGCTGGGGAAGGAGGGAGGGAAGAGGTGTCTGCAGGGGGGCAGGCTGGCAGATTGGGTGGGGGGCTAGGTGGGAATGGGGAAGGCAGAGCAGGAGGGAGGGCCTGGACCCTGTGGGGAGCTTATCCCTCCATCTGGGGAGCAGGAGACTACAGAGCCCCTCCTGAAAGCCCCTCCACCTTTCCAGGAGTGTTTTCAAGTCTCCTGGACCAGCCCGGTGAGAGCAGACACAGCATGGATGCCCTATGAGGAAGGAAGGCTGGCTCCACTGTTTTGTTTGTTTGACCCCCAGAGCTCTTCCACTCTCCTGTGAGAAGCAAGGGATTGCTTCCGTTTTTCTTATGGGCAGATGAAGGAAGTTAGGCCCAGAGAGACCAGGGGGATATGCTCTGGACCCCATAGCCACAGGACTGCAGACCTGGAGTCTGGTCCCAGGCCCCTCCCATGGGGCTGCCCTGGCTCAGGCTTCCCCCAGGATGCCAGCCTTTCTCGTGGGAGGTCTCTAGACCCAAGGGTCTCTAGATGCTCTGGGGCCTTCTCAGCCAGGCTGACCCTGGTGTTCCATGTCTTGGTGGACATGGGACACTTTGGCAGAAGCTGTGTGGCTTCTATAAGAGTTCTCCAGAGCCAGGAATCAGTTCAGCACCCCAGAAGAGGGAGGGGTGTCCAGGTCTTAAGGTAACCTGCCTGTGCAGAGGCCAGCCTGGGCACGGGCAGTGGGGAGGGGGACCTGCGGCGGCTGGCAGCTTCACCCCTCATGGCTTCCACAGGGTCCTCTAGGTGCCAGATGCCTCCAGTGAAGAGATTGTCGACCAGTGCTGGAGTTTACAACCCTGCGGGAGCCAGGACAAACATGCTGGGGTCTGAGCTCGGAAGACCAGCCTGTCCAAGAGCCAGGGTAGATGGAAGAGAGAGTGGGACAGCTGCTTCACGTGCTGGGGCCTCTCACTGTCTCCCTTCATTTTGGGCTATAATTTAGTGGGCTAGGGTCTCCCCTGAGTACGGAGGTTCCAGCCATTCACCCATGTTCTGGTAATAGCCCAAATATAGAGCCCTGGGAGGGGCTCAGGACCACTGGGAAGGGAGCCAGGCCTGCTGCAAGCCTGGCTGAGCAAAAGGAACGTGAGCCTTGTAGGGGCTGTAGCGGGGGCCTGGCCCAAGATTTTCCCAGTCGGTGTTTGAGTGCGTACCTCTGCTGGCTGCATGCTCCCTGCACAGGGCCTAAGGACAAGGTCATGCCCTTGGAGCCCTACCCTGGTCCAGGTCCCACTCTGGGAGGCCCCTCATTTCCCCATCCAGCTATTTTAACTCCTCTCCCATTTCCCCACACCTCCCTGTAGGCCAGGACTTGGAAGGAGCCTCACAAGACCCCTTCAGTTCTCAGGGGTATCTGCTCCCCAGCTGCCCTCCTTGGGCTCTTTCAGAGCTCTGTGCCAGGCTGGGCCCTGCTAGAAGAGACACAGGCAGGCCCGAGGACAGAGTCATCCTGTGCCCCATCCCTCTCTCAGACCAATTAACCTTTAGAGCTGCATTAAGGAAATTAGGCAGCACACTCACCAGCTAACAGACAGGCCCTGCCGGGACTGCAGGGAGGAGAAGGAGGAGGGAGCCACTGGCCCTGCACACTGTAGCCTGTGGGTGGGCGCCAGCTCCCCAGACTCACCTGTCCAGGAGAAGTCTGAGGAGCCAGCTGGGCTGAGAGCGAGCACAGGAGAGGAGAAGGAGCCCTGGGGCCAGCTTGACGGTGGCTGACTCAAGCCCCTGTAACTGTCTGAGCCTCAATTTCCCCATCTGTAGTATGAGAACATTTAACTGGGAGAACTCTGAGGGCTCTTCTGACCTTACATCTGTGGATTCTGAGACCAAGGCCTCTTGTGGCTTGTTCTCCCCTAACGCCCAAGGAGGAGAGAAGCAAAAGGAAGGGAAGCAGCCCAACCATTCAGACTCTGGGCTGGGGGCAGTGAGGAGGGCTGGGAATGGGAGGGACACCAGGGGATGGGAGGAAGGCCAGAGCCCTGGAGAGAGCAGGGGTCCTTTGGAGAGGACGGGGCCAGTAGAAGGACAGACTCCAGGGGAGTGTTGGAAAGCCGGGGAGGTGGGGAGGGGTGGGCCCCTATCCAGCTGCGCCTTGGTCAGGAACGGAGCATGCACACGCTCCCTGTCTTCACAAGGGTTCTCAGGCAACTGCCACAGGCTCCCGCCCTGTCAAGTCACAGAGCAGGGCTTCTGAGGTCCTCTGCACTTCCCTCCCAGCCTCACGGGTCCACATGGATGTCCAGGCTACTGGACGACATATGTCCCCATCTCCTCCTCAACGGTCCCTGTGGTTCCAGGAGAAGGGACTAGGAACCCGTGCCTCTGTCACTTCATGCCCACACCTGCACGTCGTGCCTGTGTGTGAGGGGTGTGTGTGAGCGCACATGCTCGCCTGCCGCGACGGGAGGCTCTGCCCTGTGGTGAACATCACATTGGGCCCTTTGTACTTGGTGCCTGTGTGTATGTTGGGAAGCTGGTATGGGCCCTGGGAGGGACTGATGGCTGAGAGATCCTAATCCTGGTAGAATGAGGAAGGATCCAGAGGCTCAGAGCCTGCCCTCCCCCAGGCCAGGGCAGGTGAGGTGTGACACCGCCTGAAGCATTCCCAAGGGGAGCCCCAGCCAGGCCCTGCCAGCTGCCTCCGCTTACCTGCCAGGAGCCCCAGAGCCTCTGCTCCCTCCTGGGAGTGTCCCAGGGGCGTCTCACTTCCTTCTTGATGCCATCACAGCTCTACATGGATAGACCAAGAGGCTGTAGCACTTCAGCTGGAGAAAGACGAGTTGGCACAAAGATCTGGGGGTTCTAGAGGACCTCGTGGGCCTGAGGAGACTACATTTCTTAGGCTTATTGCTGAAAGAGCCAATGTGATGGTGGCTTCACAAGACGAGCTTCAGGCTTACTCCGGATGAGACCGCACAGGGGATAGAGGCCATGGTAGGGAGGAACAACTCAGGGAGGCCAGGCCTGGGGTCTGTGTGTGCCTTGGAGCAGAGCAGCCTCTGGAGGGACCTTCACAGGGCCAGGGAAACAGGCTGTGCCATGTAGCCCAAAGGGCAGGACCCGGAGCCAGGGGAGGAGGTTATTGGGGAGAAAGCGAGGGCTCCTGGGAGCCCCAAACCTAGAGGGGGCAGCAGAGAGAAGCAGTGAGCTCCCCATTCTTGGGGGATATTCCTTGAGGCCCAGAGCTACGGGGCCCATCCTGCGTTGCTGTCTGTCTGTCCGTCTGCAGGCGTGCCGATGCTCTCCGTCCAGCCCAAAGGGAAGCAGAAGGGCTGTGCGGGCTGTAACCGCAAGATCAAGGACCGCTATCTGCTGAAGGCATTGGACAAGTACTGGCACGAAGACTGCCTCAAGTGTGCCTGCTGTGACTGCCGCCTGGGCGAGGTGGGCTCCACCCTCTACACCAAGGCCAACCTCATCCTGTGCCGACGCGACTACCTGAGGTGGGCTGCCAAACCCTGGCCTCCCAAGCCCTTGTCCTGCTCAGAAAGCTCCCCATCCTCAGCCCCAGCGTGACTGTGCCCCCGGCCCTAGACCCAGTACCCTGTGTGTCCTCTCATTCTTGACTGTCCTGCCCCTGCCCTGCTTGCCCCAGATACCTGAGAAGTCACCTGAGGGGAAGGCCCAGGTCGTTATGCCCTTGGACTCGGTACCCAGCACAAGTCCAGGGCAGGCATTTGTAACCTGGGGCCCCTAAGTTAAGCTTTCCGAGGGCCCCAGTCTGGCTCCGCCCCCCTGCCTTGGCCAGGTGCTTCTGACCCACCTGATCTGGAATCTGGGAGGGGATACCTCAGAGGGGCTTTGAGAACAGGTGTGGAAGCTTTGACTTCCCCAGGACCCTCCTCCCTAATGCAGTCTCTTTCCATCTCCCAGTGTCCAACTTTCCTTTCTAGATGGTCCTTGGGAGCAGGCATCCATTTGCCCAGGGAAACTGGCAGGCAGCCATATCCTAGGAGCAGGGCCACTGATGCTGGAGCTTCAAGACCTGGGTTGGAACTAGCTGTGAGCCTTTGGCTCCTAATCTTCTCCCAGCCTCAGTTTACTTCCCCGTGAAGGGTGAAAGAATGATGCTTCCCTGCCTTGCATTCCTCTGAGCTCTAACTCACCCTCCCTACAATTTGGATCCTATTCCCTGGGGCCACCTCCCCCAATTAACCCTCCCTGAGGCCATTTATGACATCAGCAAGGCTGGAAGGAGGCCACAAAGCAGGGCCTTGGCTGAGACCCAGCACCTGCATTTGGCTCTGTCGCAGGCTGCTGGATGGTTGCCGGGCTTGTGGGGAAGGAGGGCTCATCGCATTAATTAACAGGTCGGGGCAAGGGCTTCATGGGGCTCCCTCTGCCCAGGTCTGGGCATGTTGCAAGGGGGAGGTTATCAGTGGAAGCTCCCTCAATTCCCCAAAGATCCTTTGACTGACCTGCCTGCCCCTTTTAACACCTGCATTTAAAAGTGATGCAGTAAAACAGAAGCTGTGACTTAGTGCTCCTTGCCAGGGCTGGAGGGGAGAGGCTGAGACCAGAAGCAGGGGTTAAGGAAGAATGTTCAGGCTAGGCGCGGTGGCTTATGCCTGTAACTCCAGCACTTTGGGAGGCCGAGGCAGGCACGTCACTCCAGCTCAGGAGTTCGAGACCAACCCTGGGCAACATGGTGAAACCCCGTTTCTAAAAAAAAAAAAAATTAGCCAGGTGTAGTGGCTGCATGCCTGTAGTCCCAACTACTCAGGAGGCTGAAGTGGAAGGATTGCTTGAGCCCAGATGTTTGAGGCTGCAGTGAGCTGTGATTGCGCCACTGTACTCCAGCTTGGGTGCCAGAGCAAGACCCTGTCTCAAAAAAGAAAAGAATGTTCCTGGGGATTCACCCCTTGAGGACCTAGAAGGGGCCTCCATGTCTGGAGGTTTAGGGCATCACCTGGGGGCTGACTCTACCAGGTTAGGACGATGTGGCAGACCATCTGATGGGTTCACAGGACTTGGAGAGAGAGGCCCACAGTGTAGGATGGGCTTATCAGGAAAAAGCACCCTCAAGCATATAGGGCCCTGCCAGCTACTAGGGATGGAAGGTAATTTTTTTTTTTTTTTTTGCTCTGGCAGAGGCAAGGAGTGACTGTAGGACCAGCTAGACCAGTGGGCTGGGATGCGAGCGTGGCTTCCTTGAGCTGCTCAGGCCTGGAGAATGGCTGTCCAGAGCCTGCGCCCTCTGCAGCAACTGTTCCTGGGCCGATGGCAAGAAAAGCCCCTCTTGGCAGGCAGATGCTGTGGCCTAGCCTTTGTCTGCCTTAATCTGAGCCACCAGGCAGCTCAAGCTGATGAATAATGGAGCCAAGCTCATCTGCAGGCGCCTGAGTTTGAGCTGGACAAATCGGGGATTAAAGGGGCCCCCCACCCTCTTCTCAGCCTCCTTGCCTCACTTGGGGCTTGCTCTGTCTGTGTGCAGGAAAGAAGCAAGGAGGAGCCGGGATGGCTCAGACCATTGGGACATCCAGCCAAGGGCTGGCCTGCATGGGGAGGGAGTAAACTCCCTGTCCCTAGAGCTTTACAGCCAGCAGCTAAGAGGAGGGGTGCCTGCCTCAAAGAGGCATTTGTGCCAGATGTCCTTGGCGCTTCCTTTGGGCATCAGTTCTGTTTTACAGCATCTTTGAATAGGATCATCCATCCCTATTTTACAGAAGGATAAACTGAGGTTCAGAGAAAGAAAAAAAGGGACTTAGGCAAGTAACACAGTGAGTTTGTCATGGAAAAAAGATTTAATAAAACACTTTAATTTTGGCAAGGCACAGTGGCTCACACCTGTAGTCCCAGCACTTTGGGAGGCCAAGGCAGGAGGATCAGTTGAGGCCAGGAGTTCGAGAGCAGCCTGGCCAATATAGTGAGACCCCATCTCTATTTTTAAAAATCAAATAATAAACACTGTAATGTTAAAGGTGGGAAAAGCATGTCATGCAGTGGTTTAGAGCACGCCTTCTGGACCAAGGCCCTGTGACTGTCCAAGTTGTTTCTCTGTGACTCATATTTTAAATCTTTAAAATGGGGAATAATAATAGTACCACCTCCTAGGTTTGTTGTGAGGATTAAGCGTTTATCTTTGTAAAGCTCTTAGATTAGTGGCTGACACATAGTGAACACTACCTAGGTGGTTGCTTAGTGAGTTGTGACTGAGAATTTACAACAGGTTTCACAACTACCCCATAAAGGGTGTGTTTCAGGCTTTGTTTTACAGATGAGGTAAATGAGGCTCAGAGAGACTCACTGACTTGCCTGAGGGCACACAACCCAAGATTCAGTCTGCCCCTGAAATTCAGGCTTGCTCAGGGCCCAGCCTAGGATTCTCTTGGTGGCTCCAGGGCTTGAGGACCCTTGTGGGAGCCTGGGAGGGGGCCTTGGGATGGGCAGTGGCAGCCAACTCCTGACCCCCTACACACCCTCCCTGGAAGGGGATGTGCTGATTTATTGGCAGCCTGATCTCTGGGCAGAATCTAGATGCTGCCCTCAGTGCTCTTATCCTATTGCCTGAGCCCACCTGCTGAGCCCACAAGTTGGAGTATGGGAAGGACCCTGGATGGAGGCAACTCCTTTCCCCCTGCCCACCCAGCTTCCCAGAATGCTGCTGAGTCCTCTGCGCCCTTCCCTCGGCAGGCTCTTTGGCACCACAGGGAACTGTGCTGCTTGCAGCAAGCTGATCCCAGCCTTCGAGATGGTGATGCGGGCCCGGGACAACGTGTATCACCTCGACTGCTTCGCCTGCCAGCTCTGCAACCAGAGGTCAGTGCTGGACTGGCCGACCCAACACACTCCCCAGACGCCAGCCTGAGGCCTGCTGGGATGGGCCAGGAGCACGGCGGAGGCGTGCACGCAAATGCGGGTTGCGTGTGTGTATGTGGTGGTGCGTGCAGGTTATGAGCGTGCATGTGCTTTATGTGTTTTATGTGTGTGTAAGCTCGGTAGCCAAATGTGTGCACTTTAATATTGGGTGTGCACATCTGTGTGGCACATTTCTGTGTGAATATAATGAAGGCGTGCATGAGTTTACTGTGTATGCATAGTTGAGTGTGCATGTGCATGCATGTGTATTTGGAAATGTACAAGTGGGCACATGTGCATGATGGAATTAATATGCATTTGTACATGTGTTTTTAAATGTCTGGGGGTGTATGTGTATGTGCAACGTGCATGCATGATGAGGTGAGTATGCATGTGTGTATACATATTTTATTTTTTGAGATAGTCTCACTCTGTTGCCCAGGCTGGGGTGCAGTGGTGTGATCTCACAATCTTGGCTCACGGCAACCTCTGCCTCCCGGGTTCAAGTGATTCTCCTGCCTCAACCTCCCAAGTAGCTGGGACTACAGGCGTGTGCCACCACGCCTGGCTAATTTTTATTTTTATTTTTATTTTTATATTTTTAGTAGAGACGGGGTTTCACCATGTTGGCCAGGCTGGTCTTGAACTCCTGATCTCAGGTTATCTGCCCACCTCAGCCTCCCAGATTGCTGGGATTACAGGTGTGAGCCACCGCGCCCAGCCTGTATACGTGTTTGAAACGTGCATGTGCATGGGATAACGTATCCTCCCACCCCCGTACCCAGTGTATAGTATGTGCATGTGTGTGCATGTATGTTCCAGTGAGAAGGGGTTCCCAAATCTGGAGGGCAAAGTCCCCTCAGGGAGTGGCCACTCTCTCCTCACCCAGCCCTTGTGATTCTGGTTCCAGCCCAGCCTATTTTCTGGTCTCTTGGCCCCAACTCTGTGCCCTAGCCCTGTGGGAGTCCCTGGGGACCTAAGGAGCCAGAGCCCTTCAGCCCTGGCTGGGGCCTAGCACCAGAAGGCAGGCGCTCTTCTCAGGAGCCCCCAGGTCAGGTAGGAACGCATACAAGTGCTCCCTGAAGTGAGGTTCAGAGGGACCTACAGGGAACGCTGGTCTGGCTGGGGGCTCTGGCCGGACCTGCTGTTAGGAGGGCTCAGTGAACTTACAGCGCCACCTGGTGGTTGAACTGGGATCTGCTGGAACTAGGCCAGCGATCTTGGGGTCTCACTAAAGGCTTCACCCACCCTGGGGACATCTTTAGGGAAAGGACCGGAATCTTCCCTTACTTGGGGAGGACTAGGAGACCAATGAAGGGCCTTCCTTCGGTAGGAGAGGAGATAGTGGAACGGGGTTACCTCCTAGAAGGATGCTCTAGGTAACTTATCAATTTTGTTTAGAGGAAGAATGCCCTGTACTGAGCCATCCTCTTAAATTGGGGAGAGGGATAGACGGATGGAAAAAACAACCATTTTATCCCTCCTTCCTTACCCATCTCTGCCTTTTTTTTTTTTTTTTTTTTTTTTTTTTGAGATGGAGTCTTACTCTGTCGCCCAGGTTGGAGTGTGGTGGCGTGATCTCGGCTCACTGCAACTTCCGCCTCCTGGGTTCAAGCAATCCTCTGCCTCAGCCTCCCGAGTAGATGGGATTACAGATGCCCACCAGCTAAATTTTTTTGTATTTTTAGTAGAGATGGGGTTTCACCACCTTGGCCAGGCTGGTCTTAAACTCCTGACTTCGTGATCCACCCACCTCAGCCTCCCAAAGTGTTGGGATTACAGGTGTGAGCCACCACACCCGGCCCCATCTCTGCCTTTCTCCATCTGTCTCCCCACTTGGTCTTTTTCTGTTTGTGCTTTCCCTTTCTCCCTCTCTGGGACTGGGGTAGGCTGTTCCTGCACCTCTCCACCAACCCCCCTAACCCTACACTCACCAACACAGGAGACCTGACTATGGAAGCCTGTGGCCCAACTGTCTGTCTGTCCTACCACCTCAGGCTACAGGGCCTGGCCAAGGTTGGGGCTGGCCTGGGGGAATTGCCCAGGTGTGCTGTGGGGACTTTTGGCAGTTCCCTCTGGAAGGTTCAAGGAACAAACTCCCCCCACCACCTCCCACATAGCTCACCTCATAGGCCAGGCCGGCTTCTGTCTGCAGCCCCCCCCTTACCCACTGGGACCTTCCCATGGCTTCTCTCTCTCGCTTGGATTTTCTAGATTTTGTGTGGGAGACAAATTCTTCCTGAAGAACAACATGATCTTGTGTCAGATGGACTATGAGGAAGGGCAGCTCAATGGCACCTTTGAATCCCAAGTTCAGTAACGCCCGGCGCCTGGCCTCCAGGCCCGTCTGTCCATCTGCCCGCCTGCCCACCTGCCTGGCCGGCCAGCCAGCCACTCTACCAGTGCAGGCTGGCCAGCCGCTCTCCTGCCACATTAGAACTTCTCCGTCCTCGATGGGAGGGATGGCCCTTCCTCCTCCACCACCGCCCGTCTGTGTGTGACCCCTCCTGGGGCCAGGCCGGGCCTGTACAGTCTGTCTTCTGTATATAAATGGGAACATTTATTTTATGAGAAATGTAATGCGATTTTATTACTGGCGTGGATTAAACTTATGAATGTTTCCGGGAGGTTACTCTGCGTTGTTCACATGACTGACACAGACCTGGGGCCCCTCCCCTCTGCCTCTCAAGGGCAGGGCACAGAGCAGGGTAGGGGCCTCCAGCATGTGCTGTTGCTGGGCAGGGGAGCAAAAGGCTGGCTTTAGGGGAAGAAGCTGGGAGGAAGGAGACAACTCAGAGCCTCCAGCCCCAGCCAGAGGTGAGACCTGGGGTATCTTCCCTCTGGGAGAGCACACACTCTGGCCCTGAGTAGGTCCCTAAGAAGAGGGGCAAGATGAAGCCTTCCCTACCCTGTGTTCCATCCCCTCTGTTGAGACCCCAGACTGACTGCACAGATGGGGACCCAGCTCTGACCTTTTCCCCAGTAGGACCACAAATCTTGTGTCCTCTGCCATGGGAGCACCATGCTGAAACCTCTCTTCCCTTTTAGGGTGACAGACAGCACTTGTTGTCTCTGCCCAGCAGCTGGGGCCCAGCTTTCTGCTCTTCTGAGTGAGCAAGAAAAATCCTGTTTCCTTTCGACTCAGCCCATGCAGTCTGGAGGCATCCATTTATTCAGTCAGCAAACCTCAATAGACTCTGTGTCTCAATCCCATGCTGCAACCGGGGGTGTCCTGGAGCAAATCAGATGTGAGGATGAATCATAGATCAGACACCGTCCCTGCCCTTGGGGAGCTTGCTGTGGGGATGGAAAGCAGAAGCCATGTTGCGGGGAAAGCCAGGAAAACAAAGCACATCATTGTGAGGACGGAATGCTATGCGGAGACCTGGGACAGGCCAGTTCCCTCTGGGGGACACAAGGCCATTTGTGATGACTTAAGAAAGTCATAGATGGACAAGTCAATGGACATACGGTCAGACAGACATGTGCTGCAGGCAGGAAGGATGGACACACAAGTAGACAAGTGTGTAGGCAGAGACAGGCAGGAGAGGTGGAGGTGGTCAAGCCCCATCACTCAGCTCCAGCCAGAACTGCAGCAGACAGGCAGACACCAGGGCGTTTTCCACCTCCCCCGCCGAGCTAGATTTACTCAAGGCAGCAGGGATGCTGTCTTGGTCTTGGCTGCAGCCACAGTGCCAAGCACAAAGCCTGGAACTGTAAAGATACCTTCTCGCTGGGCAATATTAAAAACAGAGGCTTCTTGAATCCCCAACCTAGACAGAAAAAGTTGCATGGACAGGCTCCTTCACTATCAGGCCACTCCCTCCTCCTTCCCAGGGGCTATTTTCACCCTAGCCACAGCCCACAGCCCACAGCCCACAGCCCACAGCCCACAGCCCACAGCCCAGGGCAGAGGGAGTCAGACTATTGCCTCAAGCCCTGCCTGCTCCTGGGCAGGGAATGGGCTGGGCTGGGCTGGGCTAGGCTGGATTCGCACCTCACCCTCCCCAGGCCTACTCCTCTACTTGAAAGTGAAAGGATGGCTGGGCACTCCTGGGGGCTTGCAGGAGGCTACCTCTCCAAGTTGTGGTTTTGTGGTCATTGGCCCAGTTTCTGAAAAGGGATTGCTAGGGCCGAGGATCTTGGGGCAGAAGTTCTCAACTTTGGGGGCATCCAGTTTCTGTGAAGGAGCTGCACCCTGTATGTGCGAGAAGAGAGGCAAAGGCCAGTGGAGCTGGCTGCAGTGGGTGTTTGTGTGAGCCATGGGTCCAAGGGGACGGTGAAACTGGGAGCTGTCTGTATGTGAGCACATGGGATTGTGAAGGGGTTTGCGTGAGGAGAGACACAGAGGGCTGGAGTTTATAATGAGGAATTTTCTTTCTCAACCTGAAAAAGCAAATGATTTTCCTGCATTGTAGCAGAGTCCCCAGTGCCAGACTCTCCCTGGACCCTTAGGTCTAGGATGGCTGTGCCCAACCCAAGGGCCCCAACTCTTACTTCAGAGTTTGCTGGAGATAAAGTTATAATACAAGTTAATTACATGGTTATCAAGAGATAACGGAGCCACTCGAATGCAGTTTCTGGGCAATTACAATTGTTTCCAACAGAGTTACCATATTGCAGCCATGAAATAACATGTGATTTTGCAGTAATTATGTAATTAACTTGTCTCACCACTCTAGGTTGCACAACAATGAATTCACTCACAATGAGATAGAGTGAAACTCAGGCAGGCGGGGTTTGCAAGCCCCCAAGAACAGAGCTGGCCTTCTAAGACGACCCCAGCCCCACCTTGCCTACCCCAGACCTTGTCAACGGGCTTCCCCAGCTCAACATGGCACGGAATTTGCCAAGTCTGGCATCATGGACCCAGTTATTGCTCTCTCACCATCCTCATCTGGGAAATGGGGATGATCTGATTCCCAGGTCAGCCACGGGCCCCAGATCTGCACTATGAAGTGCTGTGGTTACATGAGCTACAGTCAGCATCACGGACATCATGAGATACTGAGTAGGAGACCCTCACCCAGAAAGTCCAGTGTCAGCCCACAGATACCCCCAAGAAGAGGCCACAGGGGCCTCATCTTAGCAAGCGTGAAACTGATAAGAGGGTAGGGGGGAAGCAGAGAGAGACCAAGCTCACTCTGTAACAGAGCAACTAGGGTGGGGCAGGAATGGCTACCAAGGTCTGGTGATTATGCACCTGGAGAGAATTCACAACACCCAGGAACACCCAGGGGTGACACGGGAGAAGCCTGAATTCCTCCCCGGTCACTGCAAAGGAGAAACTTGGTTAAGTGTAGGGCATGAATGGTCTGGGCTTGGCTCTCCTTGGGGGCTGCACCCACCACAGATGACTGGTGCGGGGAGGGAGAGCTGAGCATGAACTGTTACATGCTGCCGCAGCTCGCACCTCAGCCTGGGGCATGTGGGCAGTGGGGAATGTGGGCCGGCATTGAACCATAGCTGTGCACAAATCTCCCCTTCCTCCAACCAGATCATGGGACGTCATCCCCTCTCCCTGCCTTCCTTGGTGGCCTGGGGAAGAGATACTCTAACAGGGGGCCTGATCCCATGAAATATGGCACCTGCTTATGCTCCCACTCCTTGGCCTGAAGCTGGACTGCACAGCCCATGTTTGGAAAGAAGTTTGATTCCAATCTTAACACTGCTGCAGAGCCCATCATGAAATCTCCTATGAATCCTGTCTCCTCCTGGGCCTGCTCCCAGAAACCTTCCCCCACAACATGAGACATGTGGAGGCCACAGGCAGAATCCACATGACATTCCTGCCTGGGAGATCTCATCTCTACAAGGAGACAATTGCTCTTTCCCTTAAAGCTGTCAGAGACCATTCATGGCCAGGGTTTTTATTCTAGGGCAGCGTCCTTCTCCTTCATGCGAGTTGATGGAAAGTCTCTTGTGTGCCAGGGTTCCCCCAAACACCAGTTTCTCCCTCTCTTCAGATGCCCAAGCTGCACAACACTCAAGACTTCCAGTGGGTGCTGCCTAGACCCCAGCTGTCTGAGCTCATGTGCTCTGAGCCCAGGACAAACAGCCAGGTCCTCGGACTGTCCCCCGGCACTGGGTTTTGCAGAGCTTATTGCCTTTGCCAAGAAAGTCTGGGCCCGTCAGAGGTTCCAGAGCCCACTGGCTGCCTGTGGCACCTGGGCTGGGGTCTGCGCTTCCATGGTCCCCATGCCCTCTCCAGGACACCACATTCCAGAGAGGAGCTGGTTCAGGAGCTCCTGCCTGGGGCTTTCTTTGCAGACTCTTGCCTCCTGGATCTGCTCTGGAAGCACAGTGAAGCCCGTTGGGGTGGGGGTGGGGGAGAGCTCTGGGGTTTCCTGAAGTTCTGGCAAGTCCAGTTTTGTCTTCCAGAGCTGGAAGGTGCTAGGGAACTGAGGCGGTTCCTGGGCCACGTTTGTTGTTCTAACGGGTCTGCCTGCTGCACTGGGGGAACTGAAGGGCTCTCCTGACAAGGGGCCAGAGGGCTCCTCATGATTACTCAGGCTCCCTTTCTCTAGCTGCCACCCTGATCCCTGAGCCCCCGGCCCATCTGCCAGGTACTGGGTGGGATCAGGGATCAGAGACAGAGCACTGAGACACAGAGGGACAGAGGAAGAAATGAGAGTGAATAGGAGGTGGTGCGGTGGAGGGAGAGAAAGATGGAAACAGAGAGGTGGAGATGGAAAGAAATGAGGCAGAGGGCAGGAGAGGAGAGAGAGGGAGGGAATGGGAAAAGCATCCCAGAAGAAGTTTCTAACTTAGGGAAGGCGTGAGGTGAGGGCAGCGTGGTGGAAAGGGCAGCGTGGCATGATGGTTTCGTGTACAGGCCCAGGAGCCAGATTATGTGAGTTCAGATCCTAGCTCTCCACTTGGCAGCTACACAGCCCAGGGCAGCTTACTTAGTTTTCATCTTAGAGATGAGGACTTTCCTCATCTGTAGAGGGGACTGATGATAGTGCCTGCACCTCAGGCTGCTCCCAGCAGTCGATGAGCCATCACATGGGAGGTGCTCACAGCTGCAGCAGCTCCTGGCGAACACCAGAACACGCAACTGCTGCTGGGAACCTTCACTTCATACAACCTGCGCTAGGTCTGCTGGTTTGAGGCCTGTGCTCAATTCCAGGGCAGGAGGCCTGGCTCACCGCAGCAGAGTCCTGCGTCACCACCACAGGCGGTTCCTGGGCATCTGAGAGCTCTCAGGAGAGGGGCGCTGCGTGCTGGCACCAACGGGGGAAATCCAGCCCAGACAAACAAGGCAAGCTTTCATAAAAACATGCCCAACCCGCTTAAGCCTCTACGCAATTCTATCTCCATTTTACAGTTGAATCATCCCCATTTTACAGTTGAAGAAACTGAGGCTCAAAGAACCGTTCTAGTTAAGTAATATTCAATAGCATCTGGACTTGAATTCGGCCTGGTCTGACTGGAGTCCATGCAGGTAACTCCCATGTGAAACTGCCACCTAGAGGCTGCTCTGGGCAGTGGAAGGATCTGGGAGTGCTTCCAGAGCAGATCCAGGAGGTGAGTCTGCAAAGAGAGCCCCAGGCAGGAGCCCCTGAACCAGCTCCTCTCTGGAATGTGGTGTCCTGGAGAGGGCATGGGGACCATGGAAGCGCAGACCCCAGCCCAGGTGCCACAGGCAGCCAACGGGCTCTGGAACCTCTGAGGGGCCCAGACTCTCTTGGCAAAGGCAAGATTTTATCCTCACTAAACCCCCAGATCCTCTCCCAGTCTGCACCCCTTTTTCTCTCTACAACTCATGCCCTAGCGAGGGCTTGATCCACAGAGGGGAAGGGTCCTCGGACACTTAACGTTCCTCACTGCACATCCTGCATGACCATGTCACCGGGCCTGGCCTGTGCTGGCTGCTGGGTGGGACGAGCAATTCCAGGTGCTGACCAGAGGCGGTGCAGGCAGCCTGTCCCATGCCTGAACTGGAGGTTTATCAGTGGGGCAGGCCCCAGTGCATCCTTACTCTGTCAGTCCGTCCCAGACATGACCACGCTATACGCCAGGCACGGTGCTGGAAGCAGGCTACGGGATGGAAACACCAGTGAACAAGGTCATTCTCTGTGTGGTTTACAGTCTAGTGAGGGAGACAGACAATAAACAAATAAAAAGATCAATAACAGGCTAAAGACAGTGCCGGGTGGCAGGGAGAAGCTGGAGGGAAGTCTACTCAGAGAGAGTGGGCAGGGATGAGAGTTTCTTGCCCACCACCCTTAGAGACCATCTTATCCGATGGGCTCACTATGGGGAAACTGGGGCCCGGAGAGGAAGTGATGGCCAGGGGCACACTGGAACCAGCCTGGGTTGGGAGTCTGGGTTCCTGGCCCTCAGCCTGGCCCAGGGCTCTGTGTCCTACATCCTGTGACTTGCGTTCCAGCCAAGGATCCTCCTGGGGCACACAGTGGGTGGAGGAAAGGAAACTCCACTCAGCCCTGACACCTGCTCAGTGCTTCTCTTCCTTTGTTTGCCACTTAATAAGAAACATTACTCCTTAAAATGCCAAGAAACTGGGTTTGGGTTCTTGGCTTCCACCACCAGTCTGCCTGCCC
Organism: Homo sapiens; assembly: GCF_000001405.40. NCBI lineage: Eukaryota > Metazoa > Chordata > Mammalia > Primates > Hominidae > Homo > Homo sapiens. The sequence continues at coordinate 8,218,368 of NC_000011.10, read as the reverse complement.
CATAATGCCACCAACTTGGGACACATTGACTAGATCCATGGCTTCTGGGGATTCCAGTGGGATTGTTCCAGACACTTGGAGTGACTGCCCTGTATAGCGTATGCATTAAGAAGGCAGGATTCTCTGCAGACTCAGCACGAGTAGTGTTCTGGGGAAAAAACAATTCACTGTAAAAGCAGGAATGTGCAATGCCCAAAGGGCCGCAGGACGCCAGGAACTGGCAGGACCAGCTCTCCTGTTCCTTTTCTCCGGCCGTTGCCTCTTTCAGCCCGGCTGGTTAGTTCTGATGGGGGAGGAGCTCTGAGCTGAGGCTCACCTCTGGGGCCTCTGTTGGACCTTCCTGGCTCCTGGGGTCCAGAGGTGGGCCGAGGCAGGGAGAGGTGTGCCGAGGCAGGGAGAGGTGTGCCGAGGCAGGGAGAGCTGGGCCGAGGCAGGGAGAGGTGGGCCGAGGCAGGGAGAGGTGTGCCGAGGCAGGGAGAGCTGGGCCGAGGCAGGGAGAGGTGGGCCAAGGCAGGGAGAGCTGGGCCGAGGCAGGTGGGTTTCTCTTAGCTGTGCATCACAGGCCGAGGTGTGGTGGCTCCTGTCTGCTGCCAATGACATGCCCATTAGGCACCCCCTGAGGGAAAGGTTGTTTTGTCTGGGTCCTGTAGACTCCCCTCCCTGCTTCACCTGGGCTTTCAGGTCTATGGGTTCCTGAAATCAGTCAAGGTGATGGTAGGGCCCCTTGCTCCTGGTCCAGGCACATCAGGCCACCATCCATTCCTAGCCTCTCTCACAGTGAAGGAGTGAGGGTGACTTTGCACAAAGTACGGTTGGGGTGGGCACCCCCTTCTCTGAGTTCCCGTGGGCTGCTGCCCCTCAGCCGGGAGCTCTGCTGGCCCAAACCTCTCCTTCACCCTCCCCTGCACCTGCCTTCTTATTTAGGGCCTATCTGGAAGCTAATCCCCGTGCTTATTAGATGACCCCTCATCCTGTCCCTCTGCTTTCATTAGAGACAAGAGAGCTAATTACCAGCCCCTCTGAGGCCCCACTACGGCCATTTTAGAGCTGAGGCAGCCCTTAAAATGATTTAAAAATCCCATTTCCCTGCAATGAAATAGACTACCCTTCCCTCCTCATTAAGGCTAATTACAAAACATTTCCCACCTGAGAGGGGCCTGCTCTTGTCCTCCCACCCACCCCCACCTCCAGCAGTGGCTCCCCAAAGAAGCCTCCCCAGGCTGGGAAGGGAGGCAAGGGAAGCATCAGAGGCTCTTCTCCCTCCAGGAAGACATCCCGGTAAGTTCTGGAAGGCTGAGCCTAAAGCAGCCGGAGGCAGGATGCGTGCAGGTTGTGGGGGTTGGATGGAGAAATGTTGAGAAGGGGAAAGACAAAACCAGGTTTGAATGGTGGGCACCACCCCTTCTAGGGCCGTCATGCTGCAAAACTGCAAAACTTCCCCCACCAAGTCCAAAACGTGAGCATGTCCTACAGGAAGGAGAACCAGGTCAGGCTCTCAGGACTCATTGGAGCTCTTTGTGGTCCTGGAGTTTCCAAGATGGAGCCCCTTGGGCTCATCAGCAGATACACAGAGTGGAAGAGGTGGTGGAAAGCACGCCCAACAAATACGGCGTGGCCTTTCCCTGGAAAACCAGCACTCATTACCTCCAGAAGCAGCTCAGCTCTTCAAAGGGGGCCTCCGCCCAGGTGCCTCAGACTCCAGAAAATGATGCTGACATTATCCTTAATTGTCTTCTTCCCCTCTGCCCCCTGCCTGGGACAAGCAAAGTGGAAAAACCAAATTAAAAACTCAGGCTATCAAAAAAGGAGCACTTTAAAAATTTCAGCATATATATATGTTTGTCATATATATGTTATATATAAAGGTTTGTTTCATTTCAAAAACATAACTTTATTTTGCAGTTTAGATATTTTTATTTTAAATCCCATAGGGGGTTGGATGCTCTCATCTTTTTTCTTTAGCATAGGGCCTCTAACCTAGGCTCTGGACTCCATTTAGCTCTGCTCTCTCTCTATGCAGCATGGGGCTGTGCAACGTAATCTTTGAGGTTCATCCCTCTCCCACATTCTTGGAAACTGTGAGTCCCATTCCATGGGACATTTGGTGTGGACTGTTTCTGCATGCTTTCTTCCCAACCCCGCCTTTGGTAGGGGGCTGTAGATTGGTGGTGTGCAGTAGATGGACCCCAATGTTTAGCTCACAGCCAAGCTTTGTCAAAGGGGTAATATAGAGCAAAAAAGTGGCATGATCTATTTTGTTGGGGACCCCAAGGCCTTCCCAATGTGATCCCTGGGCCAAGCAGGAATAGACTCTGCCTTCCATCACTGAGTTTGTCTCTGGTGACCCTCAACACCAGCAGTGCTTTGAAGAATGGGACACCATATTCTTCACTCCCCTTCAGACACTCTCCTAGTCTTGTACACCTTCAAGCTTTGCTTTCTGATCTTTGCAGAGAAACATTTAGGCCAGGATAAAGACTTCATATAAAGGAAGGGGCACAGGTTCCAGAGTCCCAAGATAGATGCAGATTCTGGGCTCCTGATCCCATCTGGGTAGGGACCAGATCCCCATTATACTTCTGGTTGTCTTTATTCCCTGTTAGAATGCACACTTCCACCTTTCCCCACCACTGACCAGTAGACCTTTGTCCAGCAAAATAATGCCCTTGGGCCTGAAGAGACCTTAGAGGCAGAATATCAAGGGCCCCTTGCTTTTAGTGGGCAATCTACGTTTTTATATTAGCGGTTACAGGTTTCTACCCTCTAGGAACTTACCCACCCAGTGGGGCCAAAGACAACAACCCATTATAGAAATGTTTCTGCTTATTAAAGCCCTATAACTCCCATTGCTATATTTTGTCTCCCAGTCTCCCTGGGAGTACACAGGTTAAGAGTCCCAGTTTACAGGGAAGGACATAAAATATATTGTAATGTAGTTAGATCATGCAGAGGACAGAAGAGGAATCAGCTCTCCTTCCTCTTGGGACAGGGTGCCTGCTCTGTACCTTAGTGTAGACCACTAATAGAAGCAATACATGGTGAGAGTGGATGCATGGATATTGTGTTGTGAGAATTCTGAAGAGGAGATGGCCCACGTGGCAGAAAATATCTGAGAAGAGGCAAGTACTGAGCTGCTTCTTACAGAAAGACTAGCTAGAAATATGAGGGACGGCCTTACAGGTACAGAGGGAAGCCTGTAATCTTGACTTGTCAAAACAGAAGAAGGGACACTGGGAAGTGGAGTGTGCCTAGAATGGAAGTGGGGGACAGGGAATTGGAAGCTGAGCAGAAGAGTTTAAGCCTTTATGTAGTAGGCAATAGAGAGCTCGCGTTATGAGCCGGGCATAGCACACATGTCCACTGCTGTTTTCTAAGTTGTGAATCTTATGGACACTTGGAAAATGTATTTTCCTGTGGGTACCATAGGTAACCTTACTGGCTCTCACTTAGCAAAGCCCTACCTCTGTAAGGGCACAGTGACCTGCTGTGAAGCAGGAGTATCAAGGAAGAATGCTTTTGGTGGCTCAGGCTGGGGCCCAGGGAGCAAAACGGGCTTATTGGAGCTGGGGCTAGGATTTATCTGCATGGAGATACAGAGAAAGGACACTTCAGGCTGAGACAAAAGCAAATGTAAGACCTAGCAGTGCTAGGGGGGCTCAGGGAGGAGCAGGCAGCCAGATGTGCTGGGAGGTGAGGGGGCTTATTGGAAGTAGTGAAGTGGTCTATGGGTAAAGGGAGTAAAGTTGATGGAGATATTGGATGGTCTGTGTCCTGGGGCACAGGGAATAGAACTAGGGTTAAAGAGCACTGTTTATTGGGGAGGACTTTGAGGCCCGATAGACCAGAAAGGTTCAGCAGGTGGCAGAGTCTAGCAAAATGGTGTGATGTTTTGAAACACACCTCTGCCAAGGGGTAATAATGCTCATTGCAAGTGGAGGTGACCACTCTCTTGGCTAAAAATTGAGCATGATATGGCCTGGGGCAAAACCCTGTGGCTGGCCATGCAGTACTTCCTATCATACTACCATTATTTGGTGTTCTTTTGGGAGTGATTCTTCAAACAGCTGAGTAATATCACGTCAGATGCAGTTTTCCATCACAAGCGTGGATGAGGTTATGAAGGAACTTACCAAGAATCCAGACACTGAAAAGCATCCCTGAGAGCAGTCTAGTGACCTAGGCAGAAAAAAAAGTGATGTTGATTTAATTCATCCATCAACGCATCCGTCCATCCATCCTTCTTGCCATTCTTCCTTCCATCCAGATTTCTGTCTATCCAAGGTATGTCGAGTGTGTAATGTAGTATAAGGCAAGAAAGGTGAAAAGACAAATGAACCAAAGCCCCTGCCCTCAAGAAATCTCACAGAAAGGAGGGGAGTCAGGAGCCAGCCTGTTAAAAAGTCATAACTCAGTGTGATTGGCGTCATGTCAGAGCTCTGAACAGAGGTTTCAGAAAGAAGGAAGAGAAGGTGACTAACTTTGCCTGGGAGAAGGGAAGGTTTCAGAGGGAAGGACACTTGAACTATCAAACGTGGAAGGATGAGTATGCCCGGCAGCAGGTAAAGGCACAGAAGTGGGAGACAGTGGGGCTTAGTTGGAGGGTGACCAAGCACTCAATGCACCTGCAACCCAGAACGCAGAGGCCTTGGAGGAAAGCAGCAAGCCTGCTGGAAGGGGCTCTCGTGCCAGGCCAGGGAGATAGACCTTTACCCTGGAGGCAACCAGGAAATGTCAAAACTTTGTAAGTGGAACAAAGGCACAATAAGGCCTGAACTTTTTGGGAAATCACTCTGCAGTGACATAAAGAGTGAATCATGGCAGGAAGTAGTGGCTTACGCCTGTAATCCCAACACTTTCAGAGTCTATGGTGGGAGGATTGCTTGAGTCCAGGAGTTCAAACCTGAGCAACATAGCAGGAGTCTGTCTCTACAAAAATAATTTTAAAAATTAGCCGGGCATGATGGTGTGCACCTAGCTAGTTGGGAGGCTAAGGTAGGAGGATCACTTGAGCCCAGGAGGTCAAGACTGCAGTGAGCCATGATTACACCACCGCACTCCAGTCTGGCAGTAGACACCAGGAATGGGGACAGGGCAGACAGCAGGGGTGAGGACACCTGCAGCTTCTTCTATTGTACAGATGAGGAATGAGTTTTTCATGACTTGCTCTTCATGAGCCTTTGCCAGACTTTTTTGTTTTTCTCTCCATTCAGTAAGTACTAGAACCCTCTTGGGGATAGAGAAGGCAAGTTCTTCCATCCAGTCATTGCGTCCTAGGCCTGCTTTGAGTTTTATCCACTCTCTGCTCCCAAGGCATCTTCAAGCACAGAGAATAAAATGGCCAAAGAAAAGGTGTTCACACTGGGCAAATAATTTCTGATGAAATGAAGTGAACTGTGGTTACCTCCTCAGCCCCCCACCACCAGGGTATTTGGGGCTCATTGAGAAAGGAATTGAGAATGATGCCAATATCCCAAATGGCTCATATGGGGCATTTTCTGTTAGTGGAAGGTCCCTCTACAATAAAAACAGGTTGAGAAATGAGGTAAACACTTACTTTGGCATAATAATTCCAGGTAATAATTATTGGAGAGAAATTAAAATCAGGTAACCAGGAGGAATATGTATTCCTCTGGTAATAATTAGCTTTGAATTTTGTGAATTTTGTGAATTTCTGTTAGGTAAATCTAGGAGGAAGCAATGCATCCACGTCTGGTTTAGAGGTTGAACTAGAGCCAAAGCATGAGCGCCTTCCTCACTCACAGGAACAAGACAGCATCTACCTGAGACACCCTCTGTAGTGGACATTTAGGGGACTTTGAAGCTCCAGTCCACAGATGATTAGTCCAAAACAAAGAAGTGTACCTGGACCCTATTAATGGTCTAGGGTGTGTAGGTATCCAAATTGTTCTTATCAGACTAAGGACTAATATCCCATGACAGGATGAGAGGTTTCCTATCTTTCTATATGTGAATAAGGAAAGAGGTGGTTCTTTTTGTCACTGCTAGCCATCATGACCATAAAGGAGACCAGTCTTAAGACGAAGATGGCACCAAGGAAGGCGGAATGGAGGAATGGAAAAATCTATGTCCTCAATGGCTTCATTAAACTGCTGGTGGTATACACTTGGGGCCCACCCTACCTCCAGATGACTGCATTGTTTAAGTCCCCTTGAATCTGGGGTTTCTGTTACTTGCAGCTCAGAGCTTCTTTATTAATACACCCTACAAAGGACTCTAAAGGTAAAGTTGTGTATGCCTTGTTGCGGTACGAGGAAACTTTGGCTGTATAAACTCACGCCCTGGTCTTTCCAACTTCCTGTATGGATTTTATGGGTGCCTAGTTGAAGCCTTCATTAGAAATGCTTATGCCTCCATCCACTGGAGTTGAGCATATATTAGACCTGGGGAAAATAGGTATGGTGGCACTCAGAGAAAGGGGCAGGACCTTTTCCTTCAACTTCTGATGGGGCCCTGGCCCTGCCTTTGAGAGTTTAATAGCCAATATTCTGGTTTTCCTCTCAAGAGAATATTAGCAGATCATGCACTTGTCTCACCTGAGGGCCAGAAGGGAGGGCCTTGCGCTGCAGATTAGTAGTGGCTGTCCTCTCCACACCCAGCACTGTATTCCTCCCCACCCACCTTGTATTCTCCTTCCCTCCTCACCCTATTGCTTGAGGAGAGGGGCTGTGAGTATGGGAAGTGGTAACTGGGACCAGAGCCTAGCTGAGGCCTCACGGCAGTGCTCCAACTGGCAGGCAGGCAAAAACTGGAAGCCCTCTTTCTCTAGGGCTGAAGCACCAGCTAGGAGAGGCTCTGAGAAGCAGGACCTGAAGGTAGCATGTGCAGTGCAGCCTGTTCTGGCTCCCAAGGCATGGCCTAGTTGGGACTGCAAGAACCATCAAAGCTGTCCTCCCCTCCCTCCCCTGCCTTGGATGACACATGAAAGGGACTCTGATGCCCTATGCTGGTGGCTTTGATGTCCAGCCTTGCCCATTGAAAAGCCCTCTCCCTGGCAATATTCTCTGTCTCTCCTCTGTGACTTTCCCTGTGTCCTCCTTGTCATTCTCTCTCTCCCTCCCCCTCCTTTTTTGCCCCTGTCTCCCTCTGACCATCCCCATCTCCATCCACCTTTCTCTGCTCCTCAAGCTCTGTGTAGCTAAGTCATTTTTCCTGAAGTAAAATCTGAGTCATCCTGTGTAAGACAGTTGGGTTCAATGAAGAATGAACCCAAAGGCCACGGGGCTTTGCTAGACCAAGCCTGAAGCTACTCACCCTACTCTCTTTTCTTAGAAAAGACATGAGTCCCCTGGTAGCTGGACGCTTGCAGCTGGTCCTGCCTCCAGAAAAAACAGAAGCCTCTCTGTGATCTGGCAGGGCTCCCCTAGACCCCAGAATATCCCCCAACCCATCTGCCTGGAGCCCAAAATTCTACTATTATTAGTTATCCCATCGGGACCCCCTGACATTGTGCACCAGCGATTTCATATGTGAGTCTCACAGTTTTTCTCTGAAGGGTCCCAATGATCAGAGGTATCAGAGAGTGTTGGAGTGTGGTCTGCCATATTACAAGATTATTTTTAAGATTCAGGTTTTGTCTTAAAAGTTCACATGCGTCTGTTCTCACTCATAAGTGGGAGTTGAACAATGAGAACACATGGACACAGAGAGGGGAACAATACACACTAAGGCCTGTTGGGGGTTGGGGGTTAAGGGGAGGGAAATTAGCGGACCCATCAGTAGGTGCAGCAAACCATCATGGCACATGTATGCCTGTGTGACAAACCTGCATGTTCTGCACATGTATCCCGTTTTTTTTTTTTTAGAAGAAATAAAGAAAATAAAGTTCATATGCATCAATGTATTCCAGTTTATAATATATCCCCCAAGTTCTTCTCAGTGCCCCCTTTCAGGTTACCAAATGTAACCTCTATCCTGCCAGTTCATAATATATCTTTTCAGGCTGGGTGTAGTGGCTCACACCTGTAATCCCAGCACTTTGGGAGGCTGAAGCAGGAGGATTGGTTGAGCTCAGGAGTTCGAGATCAGCCTGGGCAACATAGTGAGAATTTGCCTCTGCAAAAAAATCGTAAAAAGTAACCAAGTGTGTGGTTGTGTGCTCCTGTAGTCCCAGCTACTCTGGAGGCTGAGGCAGGAGGATCGCTTGAGCCTGGGAGTTTAAAGCTGCACTGAGTTATGATTGTATCACTGCACTCCAGCCTGGGCAACAGAGCGAGAGCTTCATATATATATGACATGTAACAAGATTTCTTTTAAGATTCAGGATTTGATCTCTCTCTCTATATAGACCTATATACAGAGAAATCTCTCTCTCTCTCTCTCTCTCTAGAGAGAGAGAGAGAGAGATAATTGATGGCTAAGGAATTGATGGTCATAAAGATGTGACTTGCCCAAGGTTGCTGAGCCTGTGAGTGGTGACCCATGGACTGGGGACTCCTGCCCAGGTCCCATAAGCCCTGTCAGTGGTGGCATTCCCAGATGGACAGAAATTTGCTTGCTGGAGCCTGGGTTGTCTTGTCTGATGAAAAGATTCCTGTTGAGAGTCTTGAGTATATTGAGTTAGGAAGATCCAAGAGGCAGGGGATGGGGTTTAAGCAATACTGACTCCCAGGACTTGGCCATGGAAGGATTGCAGGACTTCAGGCAGCCTGACTGGGGTGGCCAGTAGGCCAGTAGGTGTCTCTTCCAGAGAATCAGGCTCTGAGAGGGATACCATTAGTCCTCTGAGCCAAGTATGACTGTTGGCTTCCCGGATCCCTGATCAGACACTCACCTGGCTCTTCCCTGGGGACAGAGGAGAACAGGGCATGGTCTGGCCCCCTTAGTGTGACTGGGTGAACTTGAGCAGTTCTCTTCCTGTCTCTGAGCCCCAGTCCTCTTTGCAAAATAAGAAACTGGAAGGAATGTCTCCCAAATACCCAAGGGGTGGCTTGCAGCCCCCAGGGCGGCCAGCAGGAGGTGCTGGTGTCCTGATGGGTCACCTTCACAGAAGGGAAGAGCCAGGTCTGTGCAGCCTCGCCGGCCTCTGACTTGAGGCCTCCCTCTCTTGGTAACTCCCAGAGGAGGGCTCCAGCTGTCAGCTCACTGGGATCAAATGAGTCCCTGGCAGATTCTGGAGGTGTAGGAGAACCTGCTTGGGGAGGATCAGACCAAATTCTGCCAAAATTCTGAGGACTGGAGAAGGTGATTTGGGGGACTCCTTTTCAAAACAATAAGTCTGAACCTCGGAGGGTAAGGGGGGTGCTGTAGAGGGGTGCAACCCCTCACCAAGAACTTTATCACCAACCCAGGCTGCATTAACAGAGTATAGTGTCTAGAACATGGAAAGGAACAGGCTGTCTTCCAGCCAGATCGCCTATGGACTTTGGGCTTCAGGAGGAAGGTCCAAGGCAGCAAAGGGAAGGGAGACCCTGTCAGATGAGAAGCACCTACAGCCTCTTAGCTTGTCTTCCCCGCAGCAGAGCAGTCTTAGAGCCATGGCTTTCCAGACTGTGGAGCAGAGAGGTCACATGTGGGGGCACTGGTATCCAGCAACGTTGGGTTGGTGTCTGGCTCTGTTACTTTCATCAGTGACCTTGCATAGCTTACTTCACATCTCTCTGCCTCAGAATCCTACCTACCAGCCGAGCGCGGTGGCTCACGCCTGTAATCCCAGCACTTCGGGAGGTGGAGGTGGGCAGATCACAAGGTCAGGAGATCGAGACCATCCTGGCTAAGACAGTGAAACCCCATCTCTACTAAAAATACAAAAAAAAAAAAAAAGAAAAAAGAAAAGCCGGACATAGTGCCGGGCCCCTGTAGTCCCAGATACTCATGAGGCTGAGGCAGGAGAATGACATGAACCTGGGAGGCAGAGCTTGCTTGCAAGTGAGCTAAGATTGTGCCACTACACTCCAGCCTGGGTGACACAGCCAGACTACATCTCAAAAAAAAAAAAAAAAATCCCACAGAGACATGAGGAAGACTACATGGGATAATGCATTAAAGTACCTAGAACAGCGTCTGGCACGTAGTAGATCCTCACTTCACGTTAGGTGTTATTATGGTTGTTACTATTATTAGCTGAATGGGTGTCATGAGCAGAGGGAGACTGTATGGGTGGGGTATAGGGAAGAGCATACAGACTCTGTGTAAGGACGACCCTTCTCCATATGAAAGCTTTGATGGTAGTGAGCTTCCCACCCTGGAGGTGTTCAGAGGCTGAATGACTCCCCTCCCCAACTCTAAGGGCCACCTTCAGTTCTTAGACTTTTGGGGTCCCTTCTACAACTTTTCTTTAATTGACAGGAAAAAAAGTATGCATTTACCATGTACAGCATGACGTTTTGAAGAATATATACATTGTGGAGTGACTAAATCTGGCTAATTAACATACGGATTATCTCATATAGTTTCTTCGACAACTTTTGCACCTGGAGGAGATTCCCAGGACAGTCTGTCTGTCTGCTGGATTCTATTCCAGAGGAAAGGAAATGGGTGGTCCCAGCCAGTGCCTACAGAGGAAGACTCAAGAACTCCTTCCTGACTCATCTCCCTGCTCACAAACGCCCTCGGAATTCCTCTTTTTGAGCACAAACAGCAGGATAGGGACAGGGATGACGGCAGGAAGAGGCAGCTTAATAAAAAATCCCAATAAAGTTCTGCAGCCCCCGGCGGCCAGGTGCAGGTCCTGGGCATGAGCCTTCCTTAGACCCGCCCACAGGGGGGCCCTGACTAATATTCCTGGAGCCTCTGCCTGCCCCTGGCTTCATTAATGATGCTGAAGAAGGGTCTACGAGGTCCAACGGGGCTCCCCATTGCTGCCTGACGATATTGCTATGCCGCCCACGCCAGCCCCATCCCAGCACACATACCCTCCCTCTTCTAGACCCTCTGCAGAGGAATGGGTTTGATTCAATCAGCCATTTGCCTGTGGGACCGTCTGGTTCAACTTATTGTGGGCAGATGCCAGCGCCAGGGAGTCAAGCAACCCTGGTGCGGAATTTGGAGCAAAGACTTATTAAAGAGCAGCGGAGAGGCTCTGGGATGGGGGCTCTGTACCCCCAGAGCCACCAGACCCAGGGTGGGCTCCAGCTAGGAAAGGCAAGGGTGGGATAGATAGGGACAGGAACCCAGGCAGAGCCCACCAGGAGTGCTCCCCAGCTGGCTAGAGCTCCTCCCCTGGCAGTTCAGGGCTGGCCTCCCTCCACCGGGAGCTCGAGGTGGGACAAGCTCGGGTCTTGTTCCCTCTATGTATTCCCTAATAGAAAGCACAATGCTTTAAGAAGTTTGGGCTGAGAAAAGCTAAGTCTGAGTACTTTGAAGACGGCCAGACAAAGGGCTGGTGGGGACAGCACGGAGTGCCTCGGCCCTCAGCTGCCCACAAAAGGAAGGAAAAAGGAGTGCAGACGTTGCAGTTCGGCTTAAAAAACAAACCCGTGAAACAGAGACAGCCCCCCTACTTCCCCCTCGCTCCAGCATTAGCAGGAGGGGCTGAAAACATTTGTTCAGAGGGAGGGTGGGGGGAAAAACCCTAAGTGCTTCTGCTTCCTTTTTTTTGCCAAATCATGCAGAAGATGCTGGCAGCTGCAAAGATTCAATTATGAACAATGCGAAAAATCATTTACAAAAATAATGGCACTCGAAAAAAAATGGCCTCTCCAGAAATGGCGTGGAACAATAAATCCGTTAATTAGCTAATTAATATTCAATTGGGGTCAGTGGGCTTAATAGAACCTTTCTTGGAGACCCAAGAAATTCTAAACTGCCGCGAGGCGCCTGCCCACTGCCATTATCTCGGGCGAGCAGGCCCTTATCGGGCTGCCAGCTGTCCCCGAACAATGCGGGCCCTTATCAGCTGGGGCAGCAGCCCTGGCCGCTCGCTCCGGCTCCCTCCGCCCAGAGGAGCACGCAGCCTCTCGGTAATTGATACACGGCGCAGCTTTGTCTGAGGCTGTTTGCTCTGCTGGTATTTAAGGCAGCGCGGGCCCCCTGATTGATTGCCATTGGCCAAGTTTCTGCTGTCAGTGAAGGACCAGCCAATGGCAGCGGTTAACACTCTTGATGGCCCAGTCTTCTGGGCCAGGCCAGAGGCCCAACATGCAGGAACAAGGCCCGCTTCGGTTTGGCGTAAGTTTTGTTGTCCTCCTAAAGTGGGAACCTGAGCCCTCAAAGACTTGGGCGTTTGGGTGGGCCGCTGGTATCCCCTGCCCTGCTTTGCTCTCAGTGCGGTCTTTGTCTCAGGAAAATGGGAGGTTGCATCAGACCCTTGTTACTCTAAGTGTGGTCCATGGACTTGCAGCATCCAGCATCTGCGAGCTTGTTAGAAACACAAATGCTCAGGCCCACTTCAGACCTCCTGAATCTGAGTCTCTGGAAATGGGGTCTAGGAGTCTATGTTTTATTAATTGCCCTAGATGACTCTGATAAGGGCACGCTGAAGTTTGAGATGCAGTTATCGAGATCAGGGTTCCCACCCTTGGCTGTGTCTTAACACAGGCTCCCACCTGGGAGAGGGAGAATTAAATATACAAATTCCTGGGTCCTGCGGTGTAGGGTCATTTTCCCTCAGCCGCACCCTGAGCACAAGGTACTCTGGGAACACTAGAACTGGCCAGCAAAGAGACAGGGATACCGGCTGCCATGGTCGTGCCCATGGGGGTCCTGCCCAGGGTGGAACAAGGTTGCGCATGTCAAACAGTGTAGACAAGTTCTGGCTATACGGGACTTGGGCTCCAGAAATCCACAGGGAGTTAGAATGCATTTTCTATTTTTCTGAATCAGTGTCTTGCTCTGTCACCTAGGCTGGAGTGCAGTGGTGTGATCATAGCTCACTGCAGCCTTAAATTCCTGGGCTCAAGTGATCCTCCCCTTAGCCTCCCAAGTAGCTGGGACTACAGGTGCATGCCACTATGTCTGGCTAATTTAAAAAGAATTTTTTTGTAGAGATGGGGTCTCACTATGTTACCCAGGCTTATTTCAAACCCTGGCCTCAAGTGATCCTCTTGCCTTGGCTTCCCAAAGTGTTGGGATTACAGTTGTGAGCCTTCCAGATGCATGTTTGATAGAAACAACGTTCCACATGGGAGGTGGGCTCCCAGGCTAGCCCCTAGATACCGTGAGACCCATAGCAAAGCTGAGTCTCAGCACATCCCCTTAGCAAATGGAAGGAGAAGGGAGGAGAAGAAAGAAAAGGAAGTTAGGGAAAAAGAAGGTGGAGGGGACTTTATTGTCTTACTAGGGCTCAAATCATGGGGTCAGGTTTTCTGAGTGTTTCTTCGGTCCCCTACATTCTCGTCCTGCCCTGTCTTCTCTCACTTCACTGCACTCTTTATCACTGCACCCTTCCTGGCCTGCCCTCTCAGGTAGAGCTGAGAATCCCGTGGCTCTGCCTTCTCCCAACCCAGCCCCACATGTTCCAGCCGCAAGCCTTTGGGGACCAGCTTGGTCATGCCTCTGCATATGAATGAGCAGGACCGCTTCACTGAGGCAGGAGAGCTTTGGTGGGATCTGGACTTGGAGTTAGCTTAGATGAGGTGGGTAGGGAGAGTCCCCCATCCTGACTGCACCCCACCTTCTCTCAGGTGTTGAATAGGAGCCAGTCAAGCAATAGGAACAAGGAGGCCGTAAGGTAAGGGGCAAACACCAGGCATAATGCACCCAGCCTCAGCGCCCCTCATCCAACACAGTGGAGCTTGGTGAGAGGAATTCAAGAGCCATGCTCTTCCTGGAACAGGGCCAGGTACAGGGAACTCTGGGTATCAGCAGGTGACAGGACCTCAGCCACAGGGGCCATGGGGGGTTAGTGAGGCAAAGTTGGTCCAAGCAACGGATGGCTCTAAGCTTAGGATTATGTTGTCCTCGGCAGATGACTGGGCAGGGCCTTGAACCCCAGAGCAAGTTAGGATGAAGTTATCAGGTCTGGGGTTCCAGGCAAGGACCAGATGGATGTGATTCTGAGTGAGACCAGAGTGAAGGGCTAGAGCTACTGAAGCTCTTCCTGCCTCCTGGGCCACATCCCAAGTTGCCCAGCTAATGTGATCAGTTCCTTCGTCTCCATTGTGAATCAGCAGCAAGGGCCCCATGTGATGTTCCTCCTGGGTCATTTACTTCTCTAGCAACAAGGGGTTTTCAGTGCACCCGCATCTGCATGGGAGGATTACCAGGCACTTCTAGAACTGCCAGGGCCTCAGGGGAAGCTCAGCCAAGTAGATTGACTGGTGCGGACTGTCGGAGTCACCAGCAATCAGCATGGGGAGGAGCAGAGCTGATGCTGCAGTCCCAACCAAATGGCCCTTTCATCTGTGCCCTCCTCGGGGCTCTCAGTGTATCAAAAGGCTGTTGAAGAATATCAAAGGCAAGCAACCATTATCCATCACTCTTCTAGGTTAAATAACTTCCATATTGATGTGTTCACGAGACTCTAATGAGGAAAATAGCCTTCTGTTAAGTAAGCAAACCATTGACCTAAGAACCCATGGGTTAGCCCAGGCCCTCACCTACCACGTGAGCAGTTAGCTTCTAAAGCTGCCCAGACACCAAAAATACGCCCTTCCTCCCCAACCACATATGTTCACGCATGTCACTTTGGCTCTCATGGGGCTCCTTGATCCCTCCCTGAGCAAGTGTGCTCCTTTGGACAACATGGGTTTGGCCCGTCTCACCAAATCCTGGAAACGGAGGCCAAAGGTACTCTTGTCCAGGCTAGAGTCCTGACCCCAACTCTCTGAGGGGTGCATGTGTGATCCCAGATCATGGATATTGCCCTGCACAAGCTGGTGCAAGAGCAAGATACCCTAGTCTTCCTTTCCTAGATCAAATCTGCTCTGGTCATGTTTCAGGAGGCCACTGGGTGCTGGCCCATGCTTGGAGTTGCTTCCACAGCCAGCTATTGGTGGGAGGGAGTGAAAGGCAACAACAGAACGTGGACATGGAGAGAGAGACATTGAGAGACTCAGAGACACACTTAGGAGAGAGGCAGAAAGAGAACTCGAGAGAGCCGGTTGGTTTGTGTGAGAGTGAGGGAGAGCTCTAATCATTGGTTCAATTATCTGAGACTCTACTTTGACAACCATAGAGACTTCCTGTGCCTATGACAACAATTGCCAGGATGGGAGTGGTGGTAGGTTGGGACTCTGCAGATTTTTCTGACTCCAAATTCCTATTGTGACCTTGAGTCTCTGGTTTCCTATGAGCTCAAAGTGGGTTCTTCCTTGAGCTCCTTCCTTGAGAGGGCTAAGCTTGCTCCCAACTCCCTTTGTCACCTGTTCTCAAAACACCAGATGATTGGGACCCTCAGACCAGTGTCCAAACCAGTTTTATAGATGAGCAAACTGCAGCTCAGGGTGTAACCGCTGCCAAGTGCACATTATACACGAGTTAGGTGCTGGGCCATGGCAGTCCAGGAATGGCCTCCCCGCTTTACCGTTAGTTATCTACCTGCTGCCCACTCCCTCACTCCCCTTACTCAACAGTCTCTGTGCCAGGGCAACCAGGCCCTATCACCAGAGGAAAGAAAGTTTCTGCTAACCTGAAAACAAGCCATAGGAGCAGGAGGCCCTGAGTGCGCCTGCGGAGTTTGGAGCTCCTTCAACTTCACGACTAATTGCAGAGAGGCAGTGGGCGGGCTCTTGGCAAGCAATTAGCTGTCCCACTGCATGAATAATTTGCATAGAAAATGCTTTATTTTGGCAATCTATTAAAGGGCCCACAGTGCTGTGGCTTATCTCAGTCTCACAGCAAGGAGAAGGCTTGGCTATCTCGTTAAGTTCTGTTGATGCATAACAATTTGAAATGGGCACAGGCTAGTATGACATTTAAAGATGCCTTCACTTAATTATATTACACAAACATAGGGTTGTTTATCCTTGGGAATAAAGTCTTTTTGAAGTCAAAGTTGGCATGTGCATAAAGGAGGGCGTTTTAACCGATTTTTCAAGAGGAAGCCTCCTCACTTCAAACTTGGGGGGTTGCATTTCCCTAGGGCCTCGTAACACAGAGGGTTCTATGGCTGAGATGCAGACTTTGAGATTGGCTCTCTAGTTCTTCTTATTTAGGGGTGGCCTACAGTTTGGCACTTAATACAATATTGCGGAAAGAAAAGCTTATTAGAGCAAGGAAAAGAGACTTGCTGTGTGACCTTGGGGGAGCCCCTCCTCTTTTCTGAGCTTCCATTGCCTCCTGTGCAACACGTGGGGTGGGACTTTCCTTCTCTAAAGCAATGACTGGCAAACCACATGTTCTGCTTTCACCTTGCCACTCCTCACATTGACTCTGTAAATTAAAATACAGCCTCTTTGTTAAAAGCCAAAGGGAATTCAGGAGCCCCATAGCACGCTTTCTAAGGACTAGAATATGCTGGAGGAGGGAGATGAGGAAAAATAGGAAGGGGCTTGCAGCTGCAGCAGGTGTTGGTACATTTTGCTCTGCCAAGTCAGAAGGCCCCAGGAGACTGCAGAGCTTGCAGCCTTGCTTCATTTCCTTGAAAACTAGGAATTGGGTCCTGATTGGAGGAAATGCAAGAGGAACCCTAGGGGCTTTGAGAAAATCCATGAAACCCTGAGAAGCCTGCCTTGCTCACAGGTTGCCCATGGAAAGCTGACAGATGCCAGATAGCTCTTCACCTCTAGGCACTGGAGCAGAGACCAGTGCTACCCTGGGAGGAGCTCTAGGCGCAGGGTTGGGTTGGCTGGTTTCTGGCAGACCAGAGTCTTTGTTGATTCCAGTGAAAGTGCTGCCTGAGTGGGTCATTTAACAGAAGAAGATATAA
This sequence comes from Homo sapiens, assembly GCF_000001405.40. Lineage (NCBI taxonomy): Eukaryota > Metazoa > Chordata > Mammalia > Primates > Hominidae > Homo > Homo sapiens. The sequence goes on along the minus strand of NC_000011.10, from coordinate 8,201,603 downwards.
TGAGAAGGAGGGCTTTGTTTAGGGCCCTGGCTTCCAGACACTGTGCTTCTCCTGGACTCAAGCTTTCTGGAAAACAGACTCTTATCCCACCTCCCTACTCCCTTCCTGTACCTCTAGGACTGAGGACTGCACTCAGAGATGACATGTTCATGCTTCTTCCTGTTTCTGGTGTATATATATTTATATATATATAAATATATATATTATATATAATATTATATATATAATATTATATATAATATATATTATATAATATATATATTATATATATTATATATTATATATTATATATAATATATATAAAAATATATAATATATATAATATAATATTTATATATCTATATATTTATTTGTGATTAATGGGCACATTATCGCTTATTAAGTATAGAGACAATTCCCACTTCATTATGATTTCCTATAAATAAAACCCTGTTAAAACAATGGAGAAGGCCGGGCGCGGTGGCTCACGCCTGTAATCCCAGCACTTTGGGAGGCAGAGGCGGGCGGATCATGAGGTCAGGAGATCGAGACCATCCTGGCTAACACAGTGAAACCCCGCCTCTACTAAAAATACAAAAAATTAGCCGGGCGTGGTGGCAGGCGCCTGTAGTCCCAGCTACTCGGGAGGCTGAGGCAGGAGAATGGCGTGAACCCGGGAGGCGGAGCTTGCAGTGAGCCGAGATCGCGCCACTGCACTCCAGCCTGGGCGACAGAGCGAGACTCCGTCTCAGAAAAAAAAAAAAAAAAAAAAAATGGAGAAAACATGAGTTAGCATTAATAGTTAGCTTTATATTTAAATAATGTGGATAACATTGCTTTGCATAAGAGCTAAAGAAATGCCAACTCCTAAACACAATTAGGTAGTTCCTTGGCTCGTGTTTAACTGTTGTCAATCACTGCCTGCTCTAACATGATTGTCCCCATGGGTAGTCTTGAGTAAAACCTATCCACTGAGTATGTTAATCTGGAGTCAAAATGTTCCTGGTGGTGCTAGAAAGAGCTTCCTATCTAAATGTTAGCATTACACAAACAGTTGAGTTGAAAGAACTGTTAGGCTTGTAGCATCTAAATAAAACAAAGCAAAGGTACCACTGACTGAGCAGTTTGTTCTATACCAACCACAGTACTAAGTACTTTGGCAAGTTAAACCATATGACATTGGTGTTTCTGTGGTTGAAAAATAGCTGAATGGTGGCAATTTCATATGGTTCAACCTAATATTACCTCATTTAATCCTTACCATACCCTTACTATTGTTATTATGCTTTCCATATTACAAAATAGGAAAATGAGGCACAGAGAAATTAAATAACTTAACCTCCAAATTACAGAGCAAGCAAGTGGAGCCAGGTGCCATCTTTTGAAGACCAAGAACTCTGATGTCATAGGCATCCAGCCCTGATAGTTTACCTTTTACAAAGAGTTCCCATAAGCACTTCACATGTTTTAGTGAACATGATTAAACTGAACCTGGTACATTTTGTATGCTCAATTATTGTTTATTAAATAAATAGGTGAATAAAGGATTGAGGCTCCAATATCAGAATGGTGTACAGGAACAGGCTGACTAGACACTGCTGAGCCACAGACATTCCTGGCCTGAGGCTCCTCACATTCTCTTCCAGTCTGGACCCCTCACACCAGGCTCATTCCCTGAGACAAATATTGGGGGCAGGGGCCAGGCATGGCTGGAGGAGTGTAGGGGGAAAGGGGAGATTGATCTATTGGGGGTGAGGGGCAGGCATGGCCGGAGGAGTGTAGGGGGAAAGGGGAGATTGACCCAGGATGGGAGGTCATTTGGAGGAGCAGAACAAGGGAGAGGATGGAGAGCAGAACCGTCATGCCATGAGCCACTGTTGTCAGGTGGGAGAGATAGAGCTCTTCTGAATCTGGATTCCCACTCCCACCCAGTCCAGCTGCAAACAGGCTGTAAAATGTCCACTAGCATTAGAGTCTCTGTGACACATCCCTCACTTCCTGAGCACTTGGAGTCCTTTCTCTTTGAGCCCAGGTCTGCTCTCGGGCTCAGATCAAACCTGCCCTCTCATAGCTAACTAAATCCACAGCTTCTTCTCTTCTTTTAACATCTTGTAACAGTGCCCAGGGGACTGAGGTTAAGCATCCTCAATGGCCAGCGGTGGAGGGAGGAAAAGGTATGTGGGCACTGGTGGGCACTCCAGAGGACACACCATGATCCCACTCAAGGTATGAACCAGTGGGCTGGAATATAATTTAATATAATTTAATGTATTCATGAATTTTTGGTCAAAGACAACTAAGACATTGAAACCTATGAAATGACACAAAAATGCACAATAATTATGGCTGCCCTTATGAATAACTCCCAATAACAAGAAATAGATGTGGTTAGCCTAATTGTTGCCTTCAGTTTTGCATCAAGTAGAGTTTCCAAAAGGGAGTGATTGATTGGCAGATGCTGATGCTGTGCATCTGCCTCCCTCTGGGTAGCCACTCTGCACACTGTAATGATAATAGCAGTCTATGGTGATAGGAGTATACAGGAGACTTGGTGAAGTTGGATACTGCAGATTCCAGGCTCTCTCCTTGAGGAACAGAGAGATAGGTGAATGAGTGCAAAAGGAGGAGCAGCTGGTTCCTGGAGAACGGCAAGTGATGGAGACCTTTACCTTCATTGGACCTGAAACCTCCAGATCTGGGTCACTACTAAGGACCTCCAAAGAATGAAATTCAGTTCTATTCAATGACTTACTCAGCATCTATGTGATGCTTTACTAAGCCCTATGAGGCTACAGAGAAGAATCACCCATGTATTCTGCTCTCAAAGAGCTTTCACATTTTGCCTCGTTAAGACGTTATCTTATCTTGGATGCTACACTTTGTATCATTATCATTACAGTCCTATGCCTATGCACCATGTTTTATGATTTGCAAAGTTCTTCCAATTTGTTAGCTCATTTAATCTTGCCATAACTCTATAGGGGCAGAGATTATCATCTCTGGAGGGCACTGAAGTCTCAAGGGTAGGTGACCTTTCCAAATTTATTCAACAAGTCCATGAAGATGAAGGAACCAGAACATCAGTCCTTATTAATTCTTAGTCCCGAATTCCTTCCATAACGGCATACCACCTCCTGGGATGGGGTGGAGGAGAACTCTGGCTCTGCCATAATTGATCTGGTGTGGTATTAACAAGGTAGAACTCATCTGGCCATTGGGGTCTGCTCAGACAGCATAGTCTTCATAAAGCCTGGGTGCCAACAGCATCATCTGGATGGAAGAAAGCAACAAATGGAAAAATTACCTTCCAAACATGGCCAGAGTATCCAGAGTCATTTATCATTCATTCAATAAATATTAACTGAGACCCCACTGTGTGCCAAGAACTGTGCTGCAGGACACCCCGGATGGGGAAGACATCCCATCAGTCTCTGGCTCTTCTTCCCTCTCACCCTCAGTCTGGCTGTCACACCAAAAAGGGAAGTCAGAACTTCCATACCAAAGAGAGTTCAGTGCAGGTGTCCAGGAGAGAGACAGGCCATCACTTGCCATTCTCCAGGAACCAGCTGCTCCCCCTTTTGCACTCATTCACCTATCTCTCTGTTCCTCAAGGAAAGAGCCTGGAATCTGCAGTCTCCAACTTCACTAAGTCTCCTGTATACTCCTATCACCATGGACTGCTATTACCGTTACAGTGTTCAGTGTGGCTACCCAAAGAGAGGTAGATAAGGAGGGTCTTACCTACCTCCTCTCTTCTCAGAAACATCCTCATTTCCTCCGGGAAAATCCAGGGAAAACCTGGACTCACCCTACCTATGAAGGGAGCTGGTGGCCTCCATTTCCCACACACTAAGTCAGTGTTTCCCTTATCCCTTTGGCATATGGCACTCAAAGGCCAAGGAAGACTATCTGAATGTTCCAAGGTTGCTGAAAGAAATCTCCTAGATCCATTCTTCTTTGTTCTTTCTTCATCTGCTTTTTCCTGTGATACCATCTCATGTGGCTCAACTTTTGCCCCAAAACTCAAACTGATTCTGCCACTATCCTTTGGACTTTGTTGTGGGTGTTTCAAGTGCATGAGCTTCAAATTTTTCCTAAAATGGGGTAGGAGTTACCTTGCCCCTGTCTTGTCTTAGATGGGAGCCCCCACATGGCACCCAGGCCCCCGTATCAGCCATGTGGTTGTGCCCTCCTCTAAACTAAACCTAAATAGACCATTGGTATGGGCATAACTTTGAAGTGGCTCACCTAGGAGAGGAAGGGGAAGCTGCAGTTTGAGGACTATTTAGAGTTAGAGCCAGCAGTCAGGAAGAGGTTGAAAGTTGTTATTGATAGAGAAGGGCATGAAAGGAGTTTCCATATGAAGGTCTCTATTCCTTAGGGTTTTTTTTTTTATCATGACTGAAGTGGCTGGTGGTGCAGCAGGAGGTTAGAGGAGAGGAAATAAATTCTGAAATAGCTTCTGTGGAAAGCAGGAGACAGATATGCTGGGTACTGACAGAGAGATGGGTGGGAACTATGGAGGACCTGGAAGAAAGGAGACCATAATTTGTAGGATTCTCTTTCTTGTGTTTGGGTAATTGGCCCAGGACAACTCAGCTCCCTGTGTGCAGGGACAGGAAAGATGGTACTTGGATTGATGCCAGATTAGGAAATCACTGACAATGGCAGTGAGGAAAACAGAGGTCAATGGAACTGAGTGTGTTGACAAGACAGAGGTAGATGTAATGGATCAGTGGAAGGATAGAGAGGAACTAAAGCCAGGAGAAGTCTGAAGGAGTTCTAGAAAAAGGAAGACTTGAGGAGCTGCCACAATAAGGACAAGAACAGTAGAAGCAGGGATAAGGAAGTGTGAGTATCTCAAAAATAGGAGACTTTGGTCATAAGAAATACTAGAGAAGAAGGCTTCACAGGCAAAGCAGTTTGGGTAAGAACAAGGTCAACTTTGTGCCTATAGGCAAGGGGAGCTGAGAGATCTATGGGGATATCTCTGGCCCACCCAAAACCTGGACTTCCCAGTTTCTCAACCTCATTCCTTCATCTGCATATCCCTCCTATCCCTATCCCTACACCCATGATGGCTAAGAAAGTGTTCTCAGGGGCGTAAGTTTCAGGAAGGCATTGGCAACTATGATAATTTCAAGTTATATAAATTGTAAGAGCAAAGATAGGGGCTCTTAGTGAAAAAGAAGCTCCATGTTTTCTTTCTCCCAACCCACACCTAGTTGAATCCACATCTAAGACTATTAGATATGTATACAAGGCTTAGGAGTACCCCCATGAACTTCTGTTCTCATGAGCTCCCTTGGGCTATGCTTAGGTCCACTCTCTGGTCACCTCTTCCCCGGCAGATGGAGCATCATGGCAGAGTTGGTGGTGTGTGATAGACTGCAAAAATGGCTGTAAGTTATTCTTCTACTTTCCGTTCTGTAATGTGACTTGAAACATATCCCATCAAGAGTCTTTTTTCCTATCCCTTGAATCTGGGGTGGTTTTTGTGAATGGCTGAAAGAATATGGCAGAAGAGACACTTCAAATTCTAAACCTACACCAAAAGAGGCTTTACCTGCTTCCATTTGCTTTCCTTGAACCTTGAGCTGTCCTGTGACCAAGTCCAGGCTAGCTTGCTAATTGATGACAGACATGTAGCCCTGTTACCCCTGTACCCCCAAGTGACGTCCAGTCAACTTCCAGAAGCAGAGCTGTCAGCTGTGTGAGCGATGCCACCCTAGATCATCCAGCCCCTAGCTGAGCCTCCAGCTGAAGGCACACACGTAAAGAAGCTTAGCCTGGAGCAACGAAACCAGACTCAAATTAGCAGAACCACCCAGCCAGCCCCTGGACTCATAAGCAATAATAGATGGTTATTACTTTAAGCCACTAATTTAAGGGAGGGTTGGTTTGTTATGCAGCAAAAGCTACCAGACACAGGGTGAAATGGAGAAGAGATAAGAAATGCATTGTCCTATGTAACAAAAAGATTATATGCTAATCATAGTATCTGACACATCACAGGGCCACTTCTCTTCTGACAAAGGCACCCCTTTCTCCTTTCTTCTGGGTTGATGCAGCCCCACATAAAGATGCATGACTTGCCACGTGGTGCAGATAGGATACAGCTCCTACTTTCCCCCTCAGTCAGTTACCCTTGTGCATGGCACAACTTGCTCAACTGCAAGCAGCCTCCTTGCATGCCATCAAAGCGTCTTCTTTTGCCCTCTCTAGGCAGCAATACTGTACTATGCTATACCCCAACACAGCTCACTGGACAAGAACTTGGTACCTGACCAGGTGATGGCAAATCATATTCTTGCTTTTGGAAATCTGGATTATAAAATTGGAGAAAGTCAGTTAGTAGTAGGAGTAGAAGGTAAACAAAGATGCATCTAGAAAGGTCTTACAGTAGAGTATGGGGGCGTGAGTGCTGAAGGGCTGTGGAAGGTTATGGCAAGCTGAAATTGAGAAATCGTAAGTAAAAAGGAACTGGAAACACAGAGAGAATACAGAGGGTTGTGAGAAGAACGGTGATATCTGGCAGAGGAGCAGATACACTGGGCATGGCTTAGTTGGGTTAATGACACAGCACCACGGTGAGGAGTATGAGGACCTGTCCTGTCACTGAAGTCCTCCAGCCACCAGGGATCTGGAACTAGCTTCCACCTAGACTCTTGAGACCCTGCACTTTTAGGGTCCCGTCTGGGTTTCTGAAAGACTCAGATTCTTGGCTTATTTGTCTCCCTTACTTGGGTTGACCCCAGTGATGCTCTGTTCCTTGTATACTAATGACCCCCAAGTTAACCAGAAGCTTATCTCCCAAGACCCATGACCTCACAGATCCAAAGGCAGGCAAATCCCATCACTACCCATCTATGAACTTTCTTCTCAACAGTCCCCACCTGTGCCCCAGGTCTTGGTAAGACAAACCTAGGGGAAATGACTGCCAGGGTCAGCAGGGTGTGGGGCTGCAGAGCAAAGGAAAATGTGCCATCAGGAAGCAGCTATGGCACAAACACCCAGACCTACTGTCACTGCTGATCCAGCCCACAATGCCTCTCTCTCTGGACAAGATTCTTCCAACACCCAGTGTATACTCATATCTGGGGAGTCACCACCACCCATGAAGTCCTCTCTCCCACCTCAGGAAGGAATCTCTCTGCTCTCAGGCCTTGCTAACCCTCTCCCTTTAGGACCCAGTCATCCCAGAGCTGGAAGACCCTATAGAGATTACCCTGTCTCATTTGTAAATGAGGACCCAAAGTCACAGAGGCTGACCAAAGCAGAAAGCAGAAAGTGTAAGAATTGGAACCCTTAATTCCTGTCTCCTTCCTATTTGAAAAGGGCCCCAGCCAGCAGAGAGGGTCTATTAGGAAAACTGCGGTCAGTGAAAAATAGTGTGCATTCATTCATTCTGTTTTGATCAGTGATCGTGTGCCAAACCCTGTACTTAACAAGCTGAACTCACTGTGATTCCCTTAAATAATATAATCTTCAACATTCTCTTTGGACCAACCCAACCCAAGCCCAGAGCCTGGAGCCCAGAGCTCAGCTCAGAGCCAATGACAGAGCCCAAACCCAGATACCACAGGATACCAGTGACCCCAGAGGCCCCCAGAAAATTATCAATATGGGACACCCACCACGATCAGCCTTCTGTTTCCCATCTTGGCAGTGCAGGTGGAAAGCGTTCTTTTTCCTCAGCTGTAGTCCCAGAGATTTGGCCTCAGCTGGCCTGAGACCTGCTCTAGAATAAGGAGTCTGAGCTCAGTCAAGCCTTAAATCCAGTCACTAACCTTTCCTTTCCCCCCTACTGAGAGTATTTCTCAGGCAGTGTCCACCAAAACCAGAGCAGCTTCCATCCACTGGGGCTTGGCCAACACTCCCACCATCTTATGATGGAGGTACCATTAAAACTTTCATTTTACAGAAGAGGAAACTGGGGCTCACAGAAGAAATCATTAGCTCTGAGCCACGCAGATGGTAACTAGTGGAGTGGAGACAAGAAGCCATGTCTGACTCCACAGCCCAGGCCCTATTAGGCTGCTGAAGAAGAAAGGGCATCTGCAGGCCTCCTGAGGAGCAGTGCCTGGTGACTGTGCTGAAGGCAGCAGATGCTACAGCATCTCTGCCCAGGCCGGGGTCGCCATAGCGTCTGGGGTCCTGTCTGCTGCAATAGTGCTGGTGATTCAGTCCAAACCAGGCATCCTGAATCCCAGGCAGGACAGAGCTAGTTGGTGTCTGTGGAAGCTCTCATTTCAGGCTAGGGGGCCAGCCCAAGACCAGGGATGGTGGAGCCCAGGCTGTTTGCTGCTCTGGGTCCCCTCTTCAGGACACTGTAGTGGACATATGGGGTTTTGCCTTGAGAACAGGACTAAGTCAGTGAGGCTGAGCTGTAGGGGCCACTGGGAACAGGCTCAGAGCCCACATGACCCAATCCTTGCCGCAGGACCCTGGACACAGACTGCAGTGGACTTGGGAGAGCTGCCCAGAAGCTGCTTCAGCCTGAGAGCTGGGGCAACGCCGCTGGCAGGAGCTGGCTACACAGGGGCAGGCTTCTCAGTGGGAGGGTGCCCTGAGGGCCTGTGGCCAATCCCGACCCCTACCTAGACCCACGTGGAGCCTAAGCACTGGGCAGGGTGGGGTAGACCAGACTACTGGAAGAAGAAGGGACACCATGGCCCCAGCACTCCTGGATAAGCCTCCCCTTAGCAGCTCATGAGGGTAGTGGGTGATTCTTCAGGAGGATACATGACCCTTTATCTGATCATCCAGCTCTTTGGCAAGAAGGACAGTGATTTCCCTCCTATTCTCTAGCCTGCAGAATCGTCTGCTGGTGATCCCAGGAGTTTTCACCTTGGTTCCCATACACACACTGCCATCTGCTGGCAGGATGGAGGAGCAACCCAGAGGCTGCACTAAGTTCAGGCTCAAGCCAGAAGTCGTGTCCCTAGAAAAAACCATCTCCTGCTAGTTCCAGAGGATGCCCCAGCCTTCCTCTTGGCTTGCCTGCCTTCTGCTTCCTCTGGCCCCCTATGCCCTCTCTCACGTCCCCTGTGGATACCAATTTCTCTCTCTCGGGTTCCTCTTCCCCACCTCTCCACCTTAGACAGTTGCTTCCTGAGGGCACATTCAGTTCCAAGCACAGAGGTGCAGGTACAGAACAGGGGTTCACCACACAGTTCCTGAGGGCTGCAGCAGGAGGGCTTTGGGGCATGTGGGCCCTTGGGACAGGAGATGATACCTATGCCTTCTGTCATGCGCGGACCAGGAGAGAGAGGGCACAGGGTCCAACCCGTTGGAGGTCTGGAGGGAAGGTTACATGGAAGTGCTGCCGCCAATCTGCCTAAGGGCTGCAGGCCCAGAAACCAAGCCCATTCCAGGCTGCCCTGAAGTCTGGAGGAGTGTGTGTGCCTGCGTGCGTGTGTGTGTGTGTGCGCGCGCGTGTCCGCGCATGCCTCTGCCGCAAACTCTGGTAGCAAGTCAGAGCCACCTAGCAGAGCATCAGAGGTGGAAGAGCCCTGTATTAGTGCGTTCTCACGCTGCTAATAAGGACATACCTGAGCCTGGGTAATTTATAAAGAAAAGAGGTTTAATTGACTCACAGTTCAGCATGGCTTGGGAGGCCTCACAATCATGGTGGAAAGCAAATGAGGACAAAAGTCACATCTCACATGGCAGCAGGCAAGGAGAGATTGTGCTGGGGAACTCCCATTTATAAAACCATTGGATCTCATGAGATTTATTCACTACCATGAGAACAGTATGGGGGAACCACCCACATGATTCAATCATCTCCACCTGGCCCTGCCCTTGACACATGGGGATTATTACAATTCAAGGTAAGATTTGGGTGGGGACACAGCCAAACCATATCAAGCCCTTTGAGACCTCCCATCAGAACCTCCACTTTATGGATGAGAAAACTGAGGCTCAGAAATAGGGTGCATCACACTGACCCTTCTGATAAGATGGACTATGAAAGGACATTCCTGAAGGACTTAGAGGACATCTAGTCTAATCCCTTCACTTACAGATTGGGAAACCAGGGCCTGGAGGATAGCAGGAGGGAGGGATACTGATCTGTGTGAAGTTAAAATGCTAGTTAGTATCTGTTCTGTGCTTTTTCTGTGCACCAAACTGCCCCAGTGTGAAGAGGTCAGCTCCTAATGTAGAATCTGCTGAAGTCAGGAGGGCTTCAAGGTTAGGGTACAGAGGGTGGGCAGAGTGGCTGCTTCCAGTGAGGAGGAAGGCTGAGGCAGCAGCCACTAGCTGCCCTGTCCTGCCATGATGCTTCCACCATATCCCTTGCTGCGCAGAGCAAGGCCAAGGCAGGATGCTTATTTATTCTTGTGCTTTTATTTACTCATCTTTTATTCATTCACATCCTGTCGGTATATATTGTTTACATTATAAATCATATGTATTCCCACACTCCCTCTTATGGAAAAGGCCCAAGGATACAGATTGTTCTGAGGCTCTGAAAACGGCAGTGGTGGCAGCACTATGTCTCCATCCTCCCTGGGGCCTCCCAACAAGCTCCAAAATTCCCATATGCCAAGCTGAAAGCTGAGGCCACCTAGGCCGCAGGGCACCCACTCAGTGCAGCATGTGCATCTGACCTTCGGCAGAGGAAGCGTGAGACAGAGGAGGAATGAGAGAGGGTGGAGCTCTGCAGGGAAACCCAAGGATGGCATTTTCCTCGCAGCCCCTTCCTGAGCTGGCAAGTAGGGCTGGGTTGGGGAACCAGCTGCCTGAAACCATCTGAAGGGAGTAAGCAGTATCTAAGATAGTCTATAGGAAAGCCTCAAGCCAAAAAACAGAGAGACAGATTGCAAACACCAAGACCAAAGGAGAAGAAACAGATTTGTGAAGAAGAGATGGAGCCAAGAATTGGTAACCTAATGGGGCACGGCACTTGAGAAGAAGCAAGTCAGGAATAAATGCAGCAGGCCTAGGAGGGGCCTGGCAGATAGTTGCAGTTTGCATTTATAGACTGACTTAAGTAGGGTGGGAGGGCCTGGAGTTCTGGCCAGACTGAGATTTCAAAAGCTGGCCTAAGCAGATGTATCTTGCAGCTGTGAGAATGAACAAAAGGAACACACACACACACACACACACACAAACACACACACCACACACACACACACACACGCACACCCTTCACAAAGCTCCTTCTTCCCCTTTGGTCTTGGCATTTGCAATCCATCTCTCTGGTTCTTGGCTTGAGGCTTTCCTATAGATTAGCTTGGATTCCACTTACTCCCTTCAGATGGTTTCAGGCAGCTTGTGCCCCAGCCCAGCCCTATTTGCCAGCTCAGGAAGCAGGTGTGGGGGGGGAATAATATATATATATATAATATATATATACACACACTATATATATACATACATATATATACACTATATATATACACAATGTATATATACAATACACACACAATGTATATATACAATACACACACAATGTATATATACAATACACGCACAATGTATATATACAATACATGCACAATGTATATATACAATACACGCACAATGTATATATACAATATGCACAATGTATATATACAATATATACATATATAGTATACATGTATATACACTATATATACACAATGTATATATACACTATATATATACACAATGTGTATATATACACAAATATATATATATTTGGGGGACTGTTTATGTGTGTGTGTATATATATATATATATATGTATATATATGGAGGGAACAAAACCCCAAACTATTTCAATTGCATATCAAAACTTTTGGATATGTCTAAAGCTCTACTCAGAGGAAGAGTCATAGTCTCAAACACATTGTTAGACAAGATAAGTAACTAATAGCTGGCACCAAAGGCAAACTCTGAAATCACAGTGGCTTAACATATTAAAGGTTATTTCTTGTTCAGTGTCCATGCCTGTTTCCAACAGTCATTAAGAATGTAGGCTGATGGAGTAGCTATGCCATCTGGAATTCATGGCCTATAAGGCGGTGGTAAAAATGGACGAAAGAGGAGGGAGAAAACATACTGGCTCTTAACCCTCTCAGTTCAGACAAAACACACATCACTTCTGCTCACAACAAATGGGCCAGAGCAACTCACATGGCCGAAACCAAATTTCAAGGGACCCTGTGATATGACAGAGAGTAGCATGTGTGTATCCAGTGCTCCCTAGCTTAGCTACACATTAAACATTAGACAAGAAACAATTACAATAATTAAATTGATTCATGCATCCAACTAAACAAGAAAAAATACAAAATCATCCCAAGAAAAGTAGTAAGAAGAAATTAATAATAAAAATATAATTTAATTCATTAAGAACAATTTATTAACTACCCAATTGATGAAAAGGCTAAAATAAAGTAGATAAATTACTATATGTTAAGTATCCCTTATATGAAATGCTTGGGACCAGAGGTGTTTTGGACTTCAGACTTTTTCAGATTTTGGAATATGTGCATATACATAATGAGATCTCTTTGGGATGTGACCCAAGTCTAAACATGAAATTCATTTATGTTTCATATAGACCTTACACACATAGCCTGGAAGTAGTTTTACACAATATTTTAAATAATTTTGTGTATAAAACAAGTTTGTGTACACTGAGCCGTCAGAAAGCGAAGGTGTCACTGTCTCAGCCACCATGTGGACAATTTGTGGTTGTTTGGCATCACCATCTTTCCTGACTTTGAATTTATATGCTACCAATAAGCATTTTCTTCTATTTATTCACACAGAAGTACTTAACAGTAAAAAATATGATATACCCTTAATACAGTGAAAAAATAATGTGTTCAAGGTAACTAAGCAGCACAGTAGCATTCCCAGAATACCCGGATCAGCTGTTAAAAACAGCAACAACGCGCAACGACAGGCTTTTGGCCTCCTGACATGGCGTCAGGTCAGTGTTAGAAAAGGTGTGGATTTTGGAACATTTCAGACTTCAGATTTTCAGATTAGAGATGCTTAACCTGTAGTTAATTCATCAAAAAGAAGCACAAATACACAAAACAGGGAAATAACCACAAATATGTAGAAAGTTAAAATATTATTATTTAAAAATTTTCCATAACTCCATGCTAATGTATTTTTAAAGTTGTGTGAAATTATTTCTAGAAAAATGTTATCAAAATTGACTAAAGACATGTTAATAATCATGGAAGATATTGAGAAAGTTGTAAAAGAAATAGTACTTATATATACATGCATATGCACACATATACAAATAGTTTCTCATGTAACCTCTTCCAGACCTCTGAGGAACAAATAATTCTGAAGTTGAACTAGTCCAGTGCATAAAAAGGAAAGAAAATCTCAGGAGTCTTTGTAACAAAACAAGTTAAACAAATGTTGATGAGAACACATGGACACATCGCAGGGAACAACACACACTGGGGCTTGTCGGGGGACGGTGGGGGTGAGGGGCAGAGCATCAGGAAGAATAGATAATGGATGCTGGACTTAATACCTAGGTGATGGGTTGATCTGTGCAGCAAACCACCATGGCACATATTTACCTGTGTAACAAACCTGCACATCCTGTACAAGTACCCTGGAACGTAAAATAAAAGTTGAAGAAAAAAATACGTAAATAAAAAGTATGATCTATCCATGCTTAAAAACATATGCTGTCATAAGAATATCTTTAAAACATGTTACATGAAAAAATCAAGATGTATATCATATAAATTTTAATGGATACATTTATATATGTATATATAGTAAATATATACATGCAGATACATGAACATTGATCGTAAAACTTGACAAGACATGAAAACTACTACAGATTAATTTCATTTTTTTAAATAAATTTTTTATATATTTATTTATTTATTTCTTTTGAGACCGGGTTAGGAGACTGGCTAATTTTTGTATTTTTGGTAAAGATGGGGTTTCACCATGTTGCCCAGGCTGGTCTTGAACACCTGGCCTTGAGCGATCCACCACCTTGGCCTCCCAAAGTGCTGGGATTATAGGCATGAACAACCGCACCGGTCTAATTTCACTTTTGAATAGGAAAGCAAGAATCTTAAATAAAATATTAGCAAGTAGAACGTAGTAGCATATTTTTGGCAATACCAAGTAAAATTCATACCAGAAATGCAAGAGTGATTTAAAATTAGGAAAATGTTAATCTAATTACCATGTTAATACACTTAGATGTCCTCAGACTAAAAGTCAGCATTATGCTTAATGTTAAAACTTCAGAATCATTTCTATCAACATCAGGAATAAAATCAGGGTATACTGTAACACCAGTATTATTTAACACTGTTGCGCAGTTATTGACCAATATAAACAGCCAGAAGAAATAAATACAAGACGTGAAATTGGGAAGAGGAGGTAAAATTACAATTATTTGTAATTGATATGAAAAAATCCAAACAATTTAACGGAAACAACACATGGTAAATGACAATTAGAAAACTGAAATATAAAAACAGATTTTTCTTATATAAAAAATGGGTTAAATATAGTATAGGAAAAAAGTTCACATTTACAGTAGTGGTAAAAGCAGAAATGCCCAGAAATGCATTTGAGAAAAAGTGTTTAGAACCTATAAACCTCTACTGAGGAGTGAAAAGACTAAAATAAATGAAGATACAACTAATGTTTGGCTATAAACAAAATAAACTTAATTTTATAAAGATGGTAATTATCAATAAATAGATGTATACATTAATTGTGATACCAATCCTACCAATGGCTTAGAAAGTGATTATAATGTTAATCTGGAAAAGATATTTGTACGTATAGGCAGTAAAATTCTAGATAAGAGGAATGATAATGAGTTAGCTCCACCTGATAACGAAACATATTATTAAGCTATAGTAAATAAAACAGTACACTACTGACATGGTAGACTGATAATTGGCACAGAATGGAGAGTCCAGAGAGAAATCAAAACATAGATGTGAATTTACTATAAGGGTAGCATTTTGAATCAACATTTGAAAGCCTGGTTGTTCAATAAATGGTGCTGACTCATCAACTAGTCTTTTTTGTGGGGGCAGGGGATGGAGAAGCAGCAGCACCACCATTATTACTATTATCCGGACTCTGACCTGGAGGGGAAATGGTTATGGAGAAGGGGCTTAAATGAGGGTCATAAGATTATAATACAGAGAACCTGTGACTTTAGGATCCCTGCTATGAGCCTTATAAATCTCTTGAAACTGAGGACAAATGGAAGACAGGCACACTGGGCAGGTAAAATAACAGATTTGCTGAGGGGCCGTTTGCCACTACTGGCTTCAGTTGAAGCTGTGAACTATCTTAACTCACTCTTCTATCTCCTCTCCCCACACTTTTCTTCAACAAATAACCCACTCCATTTAAAGATGAGAACCAATCCCCTGGAAATTACACAGGACCTTAGCAAAGGGTCAGGGCTGGAGAACATAAGAAGAGGAACATAAAGAAAAAGCAGATGAAGAACAAAGTTCAAGAGGAATTACCCGCGCAAACAACGGAAGGACTCGGACAAATAATTTCCCACAGCTTTCATTAAATTATAGATGACATGATCTCTCTTTCTGAAGAAAAATTTAGAGAACAGACACAAAGGTATGGAGAAGAGCTTATAAAAAATGAAATAATAATCTGGCAAAAGTCAAGAAAATAAGCAAAAGCAAAAGAGAGAGAGAGAGAAGATTACAGAGATCCACTTCACATCAGAAACAGCAAATAACATTTAAAAATGAGTGAAAATACAGCCAGAGTCCTTACGGTCAGAATTAAGGAAATCACATAAGACAAAATGGAATAAAAAATTTTTAAAAATAGACATTATCATGAGGAAGTTGGTAGATAAGGAAACCCAATATATATAATGGGTGTTTCTTTTTCTTTTTTCCTTTTCTTTTCTTTTTTTTTTTTTGAGAGGGAGTCTCGCTCTGTCGCCAAGCTGGAGTGCAGTGGCACAATCTCAGCTCACTGCAATCACCGCACCACCACGCCCAGCTAGTTTTTGTATTTTAGTAGAGACAGGGTTTCACCATGTTGGACAGGATTTCACCATGTTGGACAGGATGGTCTTGATCTCCTGACCTCATGATCCGCCCACCTCGGCCTCCCGAAGTGCTGGGATTACAGGAGTGAGCCACCGCGCCCAGCTGGGTGTTTCTTAAGAAGACAATATTCCCAATAAAATAAAAGCTACCTACCTGTCTTTCACATACTTACCTTTTTTTCCTAGCTGTATCTGCATGCATGTATGAATGTGTATATCAGAGGGGTTTCCGAAATGATGTTCATCAAGAGTTAGAGATAGTCGTTTCTGCATGGTGATGTTTGAGAGTGAATATTAGCTTTCATCTTTGTATCTTGTATAAGAAACATGTGTTAGTTTGATAATGTCATTTTCATTCAAAAAGAAAGTCAAATAATTAAAACAACCAATCGTTTTGAAAAGTCAAGAATTAAAAGCAATTTATATAAAAATTAACTTTAAATGGGTAATAGACCTAAAGGTAAAATGTAAAACTATAAAACTCATAGAAGCAGGGATAGGAATATATTTTGACCTTGGGTTAGCCAAAGGGTTCCAGATGTGACACTAGAAGTACAATCCATAAAATAAAGTATTGATAAATTAAACTCCAGCAAAATTAAAAATTTTTTCTGTGAAGAATATGGTTAAGGAAATGAAAACATTGGCTGGGCATGGTGGCTCATGCTTGTAATCCCAGCACTTTGGGCAGCCGAGGTGGGCAGATCACTTGAGCTCAGGAGTTGAAGACCAGCCTGAGCAACATGGTGAAACCCCATCTCTACAAAAAAATACAAAAATTAGCTGGGTATGGTGGCATGCACCTGTAGTCCTAGCTACTTGGGAGGCTGATGGAGGAGGATGGCTTGAACCCAGGAGGCAGAGGTTGCAGTGAGCTGAGGTCGCACCACTGTACTACAGCTGGGGCGACAGAGCCAGACCCTGTCTCAAAACAACAACAACAAAACATAACATCGGCCACAGACTAGCAGAAAATATTTGTAAATCACATATCTAACCCTCAAAACTCAACAATAAGAAAACGACTCAATTTTTTTAAATGGCAAAGGGTTTAAATAGACACTTCACCAAAGGTATACTGATAACAAATAACCATATGAAAAGATGCTCAACATCTTTAGTCATTAGGTAAGTAAAAAATAAAAACACAATGACACACCAGCGTATACACTAACATGGCTAAAATAACTAAAACAAAACTGACAATATTAAGTGCTGATGAGAATGTGGAGCAACTGGAACTCTCAGATGGTCCTGGTAGAAATGCAAAATTATACAGCCACTCTGGAAAACATAAGCGCTTCCCTAAAAAGCAAAACATATGTTCACCTATGTCCCAACCATTTCATTTTTTTTGTATTTAGAGAAATAAAAACTTATGTTAACATAAAAATCTGTACTCAAATGTTTATAGCAATATCTCGTGATTACCAAAAACTGGAAACAACCCAATTGTCCTCCAGTACGTGAGTAGATAAACTGTGCTGTATACATACACTAGATACCACTCAGCAATAAAAAGCTATGCACTATTGATACACATAACAACTTGGATGAATCTCAAATGCATCATGCTAAGTGAAAGAACCCAGTCTCAAAAGATTACATACCATATAATCACATTTATAAGATATTCTGGAAAAGGCAAAAATATAGGAACAGAAAACAGATCAGTGGTTGCCAGGGGTATGTGATGAGGATGGGTCTTAATAAAGGGGCAGGAGGTGGGATTCTTTGGAACATTGGAATTTTTCTGCTTTGGTTACAAGAATCTATGTAAATGTAAAAACTCATAGAAAAAAGTGAATTTGACAGCTTGTCAATTAAAAACTTCACTGCCTCCCCACACCCTGTGTAAAATTAGCTTTCCACATTCAAAATCTTCTTGATATAAAGTTACATTAACCCAGAAAGTAGATCAGAGGAGCAGGTACAGAACAACACTTGGATCTACAGGTGCCATGACTTTAGGAAGACATGAGATTATATCCTTATGGTGACACGAGCTCATTTACATAGCTGCATCAGTTTCATAGGAAAACAAAAAACAAAAATAAAGCAAGACCACCCAAAGTACAACAAATACAAAAGTATAACACATTACCACTTCGAAGAAATATTGAAAACAAGGCTATTGAGGAGAGTTTCTGCTACGTATTAGTTTGGCACCCATCTTATCTTTGCCTTTTGTTTTGATCATGTAGTATTGAGAAAATCCTACATAGACCATTGGAACGGAATGCAGAGCCCAGAAATAATGACGCACACCTAGAATCATCTGATCTTCAACAAAGCCAACATAAACAAGCAATGGGGAAAGAACTCTCTAGTCAATAAATAGTGCTAGGAAAACCATCTGGATAACTATGCAGAAGATTGAAACTGGACCCCTTCCTTATACCATATACAAAAATTAACTCAAGATGGATTAAAGCCTTTAATGTAAAACCTAAAACGATAAAAACCCTGGAAAGTAACCTATGAAATATCATTTTGGACATAGGACCTGGCAATGATTTCATGACAAAGATGCCAAAAACAATAGCAACAAAAACAAAAATTGGTAAATGGGACCTAATTAAAGTAAAGAGCTTCTGCTGGCAAAAGAAATTATCAACAGAGTCAACGGACAATCTATAGAATGGGAGAAAATAATTGCAAAGTATGCATCAAACAAAGGTCTAATATCCAGAATCTATTTGGAACTTAAACAATTTTACAAACAAAGACCAAACTACCCCTATTAAAAAGTGGGCAAAGAACACGAACAGGTATTTTTCAAAAGAAGACATACATGCAGCTGACAAGCATATGAAAAAAAGCTCAGCATCGCTAATCACTAGAGAAATGCAAATCAAAACAACAATGAGATACCATCTCACATCAGTCAGAATGGCTATTACTAAAAAGCCAAAAAATAACAGATGTTGGTGAGGTTGTGGAGAAAAGGGAATACTTTTATACTGCTGGTGGAGTGTAAATTAGTTCAGCCATTATGGAAAGCAGTGTGGCAATTCCTCAAAGAACTTAAACAGAATTAGCATTTGACTTAGCAATTCCATTACTGGGTATATACCCAAAGGAATCTAAATCATTCTACCATAAAGACACACGCATGCGTATGTTCACGACAGCACTATTTACAATAGCAAAGTCATGGAATTAACCTAAATGCCCATCAGGGGTAGCCTGGATAAAGAAAATGTGGTACATATACATGGTGGAATATTGTGCAGCCATAAAAAAGAATGAGATCAGTTCCTTTGCAACAACATGAATGGAGCTGGAGGACATTATCCTAAGCAAACTAACACAGGAACAGAAAAGCAAATACCATATGCTCTCACTTACAGCTGGGAATTAAACAACGAGAACACATGAGCGCAAAGAGGAAAACAACAGACATTGAGGCCTACTTGTGGGTGAAGGGTGGGAGGAGGGAGAGGATCAGAAAAGAAACCTATCGGGCACTATGCTTATTACCTGGGGCACAAAATAATCTGTACACTAAACCCCTGTGACACACAGTTTGCCTATATAACAAACCTGCACACATACCCCTGAATCTAAAATAAGATAAAAAACAATAATAAAATAAAAAGAAAATCCAGACACTCAGAGAAACATAGAGAAAACAACAATGTATTTTCAGTTCACCTTGCACCCTCAAGATGATCTTCAATTAACTCGTTTCAGAAGCTTGAAAGAGAACAGTAGAAAATCATTATTTTTTCCAACAAAAAATCACAAAATTAACTGCTTACATCCATTGTGAGAAATAAAGTGTCACGAGTGAAACTTAAAATAACATTTTATGGACACACTTAGAAGAAATCCAAATACATTCATAGAAATGGCAGAATGATCTTTATTCCCAAGCTGTATTTTTTTTAAAGTGAGTTAACCTGACAGTAATGTGCCTCAGGAATTGCCAATATATTCAAATTTAATATACAATGCATTCAAGCATGCGTTTTACTCTCAAAAATATTTAAAAATATATTTGAAAACAAAATTAAGAACAAACATTGAAAGACACCCTACAGCACCTAGGTTTCTACAAAACACCATTTTAAAACCAGCCACCTACTGCTTGATAAACACCATCTAAGCCAAACGAGACTGTGAATGATCAGTCACTCAATGCAAACCTGTCCCCACCTTATTTACCCAATTACGCTTTTCAGTTGCTATATAACATATCTATAAGCTTACATTCAGTTAGAGAGGTTATTCAAAGCACTTTGTATAACCCAGATGCTGTTATCTTCATTCATGCACCCAATAAATATTTGCTGAAGTCTACCATATAATAGGCTCTGCTCTGGGCACTGCAGATGCAGAAGTGGGCAAGTAGACAAAACTGCCTGCCCTAATGCAGCCTCTACTCCAGAGGGGAGGGACAGGCAAGCAAGGAAGGGGATAAGCTTTAGAAGGTGGTAAGTGCAAGGAAGAATATAAAGCAGGGCAGGAAGATCAGGAGTGTTGTATTTTAAATACATTGGTCATGGAAAGCCTCATTGAGAAAGGCGATATTTGAGCAAAGACTTGAAGGAAGTGAGAGATTGAGCCATGTACATACTTGGTGTAAGAGCATCCCAGATGGAGGGCACAAGTGCAAAGGCTCAGGGTGGGTGCTTCCCAGGCATGTTTGAGTGAGAATGGGGAGCCCAATGTGGCTGGAGCTGGGAGCAAAGAGACTATAATAAGAGATGGGCTCAGAGAGGTGAGGAAATTATAAACTTCAGCTTCTTGGGGACCATTAACCATGTAAAAACAGGATCTAATTCCTCTCCCTGCCTCCTTCCATTCAAGGATCAATGTCTTCCAGTGTACTAGGGAGAAACAGCCTTTGTCTCAAGCGCATTTTTGACCTGGACACACTGCAGCCTGCTCCTCTGCTTGCACCTGGTGGCACCACAGCGCCCCCCATTCACGCTGTTTCTAGTTACTGGGAGTCGGAATCAGCATTATCATTCATTCACTGCTGCTGCCTCTGCCCTAGCCTTATAAGGGGGAAGTCCCTTGCTCCAAACAGGGAAGAGTGCCCTTCCTTAAACCCTAGGACCACTGACACAGCCCATGGTGTGTCCCAGACTTTTCTAAAGGCTTGAGGAAACCATAAGAGGATTACAGTGCAGGAGGAAAACCTGAATAGCATCTTACTGAAACCATGGCCCACCTGCCATCTCCCACCCTAGGGAGTTCTTTCATGGCTGACTCTCCATTAGGCCCAGCTCCTCCAAAAATCCTAGGTCTTTAAACCCTGTCCTCTCTTCTTCAGTCCCCAGGCTGTCAAATTCCCATCTCTGGGCCACCAGAGGAAGTCCCAAATTTTACCACACAACAACTTTTCATCAAAGGAAAACACAACTTTATTCGGAAAAGCCCCTTCATCCTTGTCTCAATCCCTACTCTGTCCAGATGTACCGCTGGGCCTTGCCTTTGCATAACTGGAAGATTCTTGGAAGCCTTTTCCCTCTGCCAAGATGAAGTCTTCCACAGGCCCTAGAAAGTAGAAACATCTCCCAGCAGCTTTTCTAAACATGTCAACATTTTGCTCCTATGATACTTGATACAGTTTAAAACTATTATGTGTTATGAAAAATATAAACCAGGAGCCACATTACTTGTTTACCGCACACCCAGGTTCCTGGGGTGTAAGTTGCTAACCAAGCAGCAGTTTGTGAACTTAGCGAGGTAGGGCCTATTTAACCATCAGGCACAGTGAGCACTAACATGTTTTAATTTCTCTTAAAATCAGGAGGAAAAAAATAGATTTTTAGGTCAAAGAACATGTCTTAATATATAATACTAACATATTTATCTTTATGCCAATGTGGTCATATAATATAAACATTAATCCCCATTAATGGGAGTCCATGAAGATAAAAATGCCTAAGGACCATGGCAGTCTTAGTGAGTCCCTGAAGCCAGGCAGAGCCTGCCATGTCTTGAACCTGACTGGGTCATTCATGCTGGGTGGTTTGTCTCTCAGATCTTGGTAACAAAGTTGTGGCCAAACCAACATGACTTTTAAGCACAACAGAATAATACTTAATTGCCCATTGTTAATGATGAGTAAGAAGATATTAAAGCTATAATTATTGTATAAAGTATCTCCCAGTGGCAAAGAAGGTAGCCATCAACATAATCAAGTTATGAAAAACACAAAAGAGAGGAATTAGGTAGAATTAAACTGACTTTTTTGTGATTCTTTTCTAGGCTCTAGCTTCTTGATCCATGGTCTCCACTGGAAGCGAGTCAGACATTAAATAATAATAATATGCACCAGTAATAGTATTTAATCTGTGACAGGCTCTATTCAAAATGCTTTGCATGCGAACTCACTTATTCTTTGTAAGAGTCATTAATACTTTCAGTTGCAAGAGACAGAAATCCAATTCAAGCAAGCTTAACACATACAGGGAGGAATGTATTGGTTCACATGGCTGGGAAGAGTTCAGGGCAGCTTCGAGAATCAAAGAATGAGAGGGAACAAAAGGAGTCTTGGGGGTGAAACCATTCGGCACCACCAAGCTCGCTCTCCACCCCCCTTATTTTTGCTAGCTTCTCTCTCACCTTCTTCAAACAGACCTACTCCATGTGGTAGAGAAAATAGTTGCCTGGGAACCCCAACTTTTCCTCTATCTTAGTTTGGGCTCCCCTCAAAGCAAACTCCAAGGCAAAAGTTTGGGTGTACCACTTTATTTGGAAGATGACACCAGAAGCAAAATGAGAGAGCAGGTAAGTGAGACAAAGAAGGGGCGGAAACCCCAAACGGGTGTCTCGGTGAGTGGGTTACAGCTGGAGCAAGTAGATCTCAATCCTACTGGGATGCCTCAAAAAGAATGTGTGGAGCACCACTCAGAATTGAGCCCCTGAAGAACAAGGAAGCTGAGGTGTTTATCTGCCAGCTCCTCTCCTTCATTGTTTAAGAGTTGCTCTGGGAGTGGTAACTCTCCCTAGCTTGCTCCCCAGGCCAGAGAAGCAGCTTTATGCAGAGAGACATAGGAGCTCAGTTTGTGTGCAGGGACTGTCTGAAGATGACCTCAAGGGTGAACCAATGGGATATGAGTGGAGCACCTATACCATCCACTACAACTCCTTCCAGCACCATGCCCCCCCCAAAGCAGCATGGAGCTGCTTCTTCTCCAGCTGCAGCAAGCCCAGCGAGGGACCTGATCTATCAGGCTTAGATCACATGCCTGCTGTGGATCAGTCACAGGTCCAGGGGAACAAAGGACTGCTTCCTAGGAAGAGGAGCAGCTTCATCTGTTGGAATACAAAAGGTTCCCCTAGTCCTTTTCCAGTAACCACAACCCATGTTTGCTACTTAAGTAGTGAATTGTAAGAAGAAGAGAGACTGGCCTTGCTCTGCCCAGTAAGCAGGGAACTGGCAGACACAAACCTGCCTGGTTCTCCAGTTTTCACCAGCTTGATCCCCTGAAGAAAGAAAACAGTCATTATCAAAAAGCCAATTGTCATTCTGCCTCTTTAGACAAATTCCCATTAAAGATAAAGCAAATTTTAATTAGATTAAGTATCCAATTATTGTAATTACATTTTTAAAAAATTCACATCATGAAGATGACCCTTTTTAAAAGGGTTGCAGGAATAATTAGTGTATTCATATTAACCAAAATGTATTGGATAATATTTATACCCAGAAGACAAAGTACATTACACACATTTCACCTTTGGGGAAAGCTTGCAAATGTTTTGGCAGTGGCATGAATATTTATAGGCAAGAGTGTGCTTTAGCAAGATTATGTGAGGAAGCATTTAAATACTCACCAATTTTTACCCAGGGGTAAAGTATACAGAAAATGTAGTGCAGAGATTGTGGATATGCAAAGTGTGACTTAAGCAGGGAATTTCTATCAGTTTGCTTAATTAATTGGCACCAAAGACTATTTCTCCTTATTCAAGGCAGAAATGCCCAAGGTAACCGACTGTGACTTCTCTCTGCTCTGC
Organism: Homo sapiens; assembly: GCF_000001405.40. Lineage (NCBI taxonomy): Eukaryota > Metazoa > Chordata > Mammalia > Primates > Hominidae > Homo > Homo sapiens. Next base: position 8,177,621 of record NC_000011.10, on the reverse strand, counting down.
GTCTTTCAGGGGCAGAGGCCAGTGAGGAGAGTTGGCAGGAAAGCAGTAAGGACATTCTCACCTTGACCACTCACCACCAAGAAACTTCTATCCTCGTACCCCTAACCTTTGCCCACCTGTCCCCATTTGGGTAGAGCTTTAGGATAAGAAATATGGGCCTTCTAGAGGCTTCCTCCCAAAGGTTTTCCTCAAAAACTCTTCCCTTTTCTGATTCCAATTTTCTTTCTTCAGACTTGCCTTTGAGCGGCAGCAGCTGTTGCTGTTTTTGTCTCACACGTGATTGCCTTCCAGCCTCCATCACATTTGCTAGCTCAGTGGGAGGGAGGCAGAACAGTCTCCATTTCACAGATGAGAAAACTAGGGCCCCAGAGCTTGGAATAACTCCCAGAACCACACCACAGAACTGGCCTCGTAAGGAAGCTCCAGTGCCACAGATCCCAGACCTGCATGGCCTCTGCTCTGCCTGTCAGGAAACTGCGTTGTGGCCGCTACCAGCCACAGGAACGTCCCACCTCTGCTGCCGCCTCACCCACCAAAAGAGGTAGGCCAAGCAAGCACTGCTGTTTCCTCTCACAGATAACTTTCAAACCAAAGTTGGACACGGGTATGTCTGATCGGGGAAACAGTTAACTATTTGCCTAGTAGCAAGAGAGGCCAGGAAATGTAGTTTGTTGGATTCTACATTGAGAACCTGAGACTCTCAATGTGGATAATGTCAAATGAAGAAAGGGTATTCAAAGATTGTGGATGTCTACTATTGGCAGGTGTTCATCATATTTCCCTTAACCCTGATCAAAATTCTACCCATCGTTCAAAGTCCAGGTCCCATATGCTGTTCTGTGCATTCTGTCCCATCTCCTGCTTTCCTTCTCTAACCTCTTCATTCTAAACTTTGGAGTTACAGGCCTTGCTCCCTTCTGCTCAGTGTTTTGGGCACCTGGGTCTCATTTTCCTGCTAACCACCTTGATTTCCTGCCTGTGGTAAGGTGTATGACTCTCCACAATGGGGACTCCACAGTGGAGAGAGGGAGAGAGAGAGAGATTTACTTTAGGCAGTTGGCTCATGTGATTTTAGAAGGTGGCAAATCCAGACTCTGCAAGGTGGGCCAACAGGCTGGAGACCCCGGAAGGACAGATGCTGCAGTTCAAATCCAAAGTTCGGTTGGCTACAGAATTGCTTCTTGCCAGGGCGAACTGGTTTTTTATTCTATTCAGGCCTTCAACTGATTGGATAAGGCCCACTCACATTATGAAGAGCAATCTGCTTTACTCAAAGTCTGCCGATTCAAATGTTCATCTCATCCAAAAACACCCTCACAGAAACATCCAGAATTAAGTATGACCACATATCTAGGCACCATCACCCAGCCAAATTAACACACAATTAATCATTACAGTCACTTCAGGGACAAATTTGGTGGCAAAGTCAGTGACTTTTTGAAATGAGACTCTCTGGGGTGTTTCTTCAAGGCAACTCATTGCTGATTCCTGGAGAGAGGTCTAGTTGCTCAGAGCAGTGGCAGAATCAATGTGTTTGAGAAACTAGCAGCCTCATACTTGAATAAGTATCTGCTGTGAACAAGTTCTGTGCTCAGTCATGCCATGGGAGGAGCACCCTATCCTCCCGGGACTCCCAACTAGGTGAAAAGGCCCAGTAAACCCATGAGAAACAGTGTCCACAGGAATCTAGTGAAAGGAAGAGTCAGCATGGGGTGGAATCTGGGAGAGCCTCCTGAAAAAAGTTCATAGTGTTTGGGCCTTATATTTTAGGGAAGATTGGCTATGAAAGGCAAGGAGGGAAGAAAATTGGGTAAAGGAGCATCTTAAGGGAGGAATACACAGAGCTCATGCTGGCCTAGAGAGGAGGGGATGATTTTGGGCAAGAGAAATGAATTATGCTTCAAGGATGAAGGTCCTTGAAAGAGTGGCCAATGAGCTGAGACTAAATATGGCAGCCAAAGGGAGTCATGGAAGGCTTTTGAGCAGGAGAGGATCCCAAGCTCAGATTCCAGCCTGGTCTGGAGGGTAAAGCACACTGGATAAGACTTAGGAGACCATGGAGTCTCTTGAAAACTAGGCTATTGCCTCTGGGCTCTGTTTCCCTTGCAGGGAGTTCATAAGAAGGCAACCACTTCATGTCCGTTTTCTTCCTTCTTGGTCTTCTTCCTCTTTCCTCTATTTTCTTCCCACCCCTCCCCAGCTTCTCTCCCACCTTATTTTTATTTTCCAATCTGAATTCTTCCTCCTCCAAATACCTTGTGTGAGTTCTCCTCTGTCCTCCCACTTCTTTCTTCAGCTCTTCATGGGCCTGTCTTCCAGGGAGACCTTATATTTAGGAAATAAACGGCTGTCAACTTAATCCCGGGAGAAGCTTTTCCACAATGACTTACAAGTAAATGCCCTAGAAATATAGTTTCCTGGCCAGGTGCAGTGGCTCACGTCTGTAATCCCAGCACTTTGGGAGGCTGAGGCGGGCGGATCACGAGGTCAGGAGATCGAGACCATCCTGGCTAACATGGTGAAACCCCATCTCTACTAAAAATACAAAAATTAGCTGGGCATGGTGGCATGTGCCTGTAATCCCAGCTACTAGGGAGACTGAGGCAGGAGAATTGCTTGAACCAGGGAGTCGGAGGTTGCAGTGAGCTGAGATCACATCGCACCGCTGCACTCCAGCCTGGCGATAGAGCGAGACTCTGTCTAAAAAAAAAAAAAAAGAAACACAGTTTCCTCAATTTCCATTCCCCCATGTTAGAATTCAACAAGTGCCCTGATGTTAAAGAAATTTTGACTTTAGGAGTGATTTCATGAACGAAGCCTTCCAACTCATAATGTTAAACATTCTGGGGCACTTTCCCACAGGCTGTCAGATAGGAAAAAGACCCAAGGAATAAACAGATTTCTAAAGTTCAGCAAATGAAGGGTTTAGCTATTGTTTTTGAAGACTATTTCCTCTTTGCTGTCCAAAAGAACTGGCAGACACAGCAGAAGTAGTGTAGAGAATCCTGCTCTGGGAGTTGGGAGAACTGGGTTTCAATCCCAGTGCAGACATGAATGATCAGGGTGATCCATAGCAAATCTTTACCCCTTTGTAGACCCCAGTTTTCCCTTTAATCTAATAAAAAGAGAATTGAGACAACTGACAACTAATCCCTAAGGGCCTCTCGGTCTCCCGTCCCCTGACCACCTTCAGTCTTCTAGAATGGGCCCCTTGGAGGCTACCAGTCTCAAAGGATGCTTTGGGGATGCCAAGTTCAGCCCAGAATGTACTGGTTAGAAAATACTTTTAAGTTCCCAGGGACAGAGCAGAAAATCCTTGGTTGCATTTACAGCAGAAAATCCTTGGTTGCATTTAAACTCCAAAGGGAGCCCCTGTGCAAAGCTGGAGTGATTCCTGAATACCTCTTTGCCCATTTCCAAACCTTCACTACACTCAAAAATTCCTCCCACTGCACCCTGAGTCCTTTCTCAGATAATGGCCCAAACATATCCTTTACCAAGAAAACGAAGGCAATGAGAAATGAACCCCCTTGACTTTCTGTCCCTGCACCACTCCTTTTATTAATATATGCACCTGAACCCACTCCATCTTCTTTTCTCTGAGCTGATCCCTACTGCCAGGGGACTCAATGTCTGGCTCCCATGTCTGCTCCACAATCTGGGCTTTGCTCCTACATTGGTCTCCCTTGCTCTGCTATTTTCCATCACTTCTTTTCTGACATTTTTCCTCTAAATATGTAAACATGCTTTTCTCTTCCCTTAGAAAAGTCACCCTCAAGTTATCACTGTAACTTTTATCCCTTCTTTTCATGCCAGCTCCATATACAGTGGGCTGTACTTGCCATCTCTACTTCCTTGTCATTTGCTCCTTCTTCAGCCTATAGCCATTAGACTTTTGATTTTTTATCTGAATTCCCTATCGTTACTTTTTTTTTTTTTTTTTTGAAGCAGACTCTCGCTCTGTCATCAAGGCTGGAGTGCAGTGGCATAATCTCGACTCACTGCAACCTCTGCCTCCTGGGTTCAAGCCGTTCTCCTGCCTCAGCCTCCTGGATGGCTGGGATTACTGGCATGCACCACCATGCCTGGCTAATTTTTGTATTTTTAGTAGAGATGGGGTTTCAACACGTTGGCCAGGCTGGTCTCGAACTCCTGACCTCAGGTGATCCACCCACCTAGGCCTCCCAAAGTGCTAGGATTATAGGCCTAAGCCACCACGCCCAGCCCCCTACCAATACTTTATTGGAAAACCTAAACCCTTAAGATCTTCAATTTTAGTGCACTCCCAGCTCTGATGTTATACCACCAGCCACCAGAGAGAGCAGCCATCCCAGGTCCCACTCCAAGCTGCCCCAGCTCCATGAGCTGCCTACCAGCTCTGTCGCCTTAAGGAGGCTTCCATGTCTTCCAGGTGCACATCCCAACTGACTGCAACAATGAATATGTTCCAAGCCAAATACTCTGTACTATAACTGTGTTTTCACCTTTCTCTAGGCCACTTCTAGGACTAATGAGATCACGATCTCTGCCCATTTACCTTGGCCACCATCTAAATTCCAAGCCCCCAAGGTCATCAATTTGCACACTGCCCCTCATCTCCATCCTGCTCACTTCATATTTTACTTTGACTCCATTTCTGACTTCCAAAGCTTCCACTTACCGTGCTGTATAGAGTCAAGAGCTATCATCAGAAAAACTCCTATATCCTTGACTTCTTTGAAGTTTCTCTTAACTTTCTTCTTCTTTTTTCTTTTTTTTTTATTTTGAGATGGAGTCTCACTCTGTCACCAGGCTGGAGTGCAGTGGCGCGATCTCAGCTCACTGCGACCTCTGCCTCCTGGGTTCAAGCGATTCTCCTGCCTCAGCCTCCCAAGTAGCTGGGATTACAGGCGCATGTCATCACGCCCAGCTAATTTTTGTATTTTTAGTAGAGGTGGGTTTCAGCATGTTGGCCAGGATGGTCTTGATTTCTTGACCTCGTGATCCGCCCCCCTTGGCCTCCCAAAGTGCTGGGATTACAGACATAAGCCACTGCGCCCGGCCTGTCTTCCTCTAATGAAAACTAGGCTGTTGCCTCTGGGTTCTGTTTCCCTTGCAGATCTCCCAAAGTAAGAGCTATTTTTCTTCCCACAGCTTAAAGCCTGGGAATAGAATAGATGCCCAACTTGTTTCCCCTTGCTGCTTCCAAATTGCTTCTTCCTCTTCTTCCTTTAAAAACCATAGCTCCTGGCCAGGCGCTGTGGCTCATGCCTGTAATCCCAGCACTTTGGGAGGCTGAGGTGGGTGCATAACAAGGATCGAGACCATCCTGGCTAACATAGTGAAACCCCATCTCTACTAAAAATACAACAAAAAAATTAGCCGGGCGTGGTGGCGGGCACCTGTGGTCCCTGCTACTTGGGAGGCTGAGGCAGGAGAATGGCGTGAAGCCAGGAGGCGGAGCTTGTAGTGAGCCGAGATTGCACCACTGCACTCCAGCCTGGGCAACAGAGCAAGACTCCATCTCAAAAATAAATAAATAAATAAATAAATAAATAAAAATTTTTAAACAATTAAAAAAAAACACAGCTCCTTAGAAGAGCATGTCATCTGGCTGCCCATTACTTCTTCTGTTCCTGTCACCTTCCAACCTTGTAGTAACTCCACATTCATTAAAGATTTTAACACTTGGATCACTATTTCCCACCTCATTTCTGTCCTCATACATGGGAACTTCAACATAATGTTGTGACCTAGGTTTCCATTGTGGCTTCTTACAACTTCACATGAGCACTCTCACTAATGCCATCTTCTCCTAGACTTCATTTACTATAGATGGGCTGATGATTTCCTATTGTTTCTAGCCCAAACATCTCTTCTGAGCTCCAGGCCCATATATCCAACTGGATATTTCTACTTGGATATTTCATGGAACTTCAAATTCAGCTAGTCAAAATCTGAACTCTTCATCTTTCTCACAAACCTGATTCTTCTATTCTTAAAATCATGTTATATAGAATTAATGTCTACCATTTACCCAAGCTAGAATTTGGTGGCGGAGGGCGGGGGGGAGTGTGGTCATTCCAGACCCCTCTGTATTTCTTAGAGACCACATCCCATTAGTCACCTCCTCCCTAAGCTGCATCTATAGTCCAGGAGTCCAGAGGTTTTCTGACTAAACCTCCCCAGACAGTAAACCTGGTAGCTAAGAGGGCAAATTCTTGAGTAAGCATGCCTGTGTTCAAATCATAGCATCCAGTTTATACTGTGTAATTGTTGGCAAGTAAATTATGTTTTCTGGGGCTCCATTTTCTTACCTGTGAAATGGGTATATAATAATATTGCTTACCTCTTGAAGTTATTGGGAGGAATAATTATGATATGTAAGATGCCTAAAACATAATTAGTACTCTAACTTTTAGTGATGTTAATAACATCAATGATAATAATGCCCGAGTGAAGCCAGCAGTGGCACCCATCTGGCTGCATGAATCAAGGAAAGAGATTCAGAAGATATCCATTGCTTTAAAAAAATCAAACAATTTTTTTTTAGAGACAGGGTCTCACTCTGTCACCCTGGCTGGAGTGGGTGCCCCTACTGGCTTCATTCAGGCATTATTATCATCTTATATATCATAATTAATTGTGGTTTCACACAATCATAGCTCACTGCAGCCTCAAACTCTTGGGCTCAAGTGATCTTCCCACCTCAGCTTCCTGAGTAGTTGGGACTACAGGTGCACACCACCATGCCTGGTTAATTTTTTACATTTTTTTGGTAGAGATTAGGGCTCTCCCTATGTTGCCCAGGCTGGCCTTGAACTCTTGGCCTCAAGCCATCCTCCAGCCTTGGCCTCCCAAAGCCCTGGGATTATAGGTGTGAGCCACTGTGCCCAGTCTCAACTGCTTTTTAATCAGATTTCCAGCCAATCCTTCATTCAGACCCACTCTGCACCCTTGGCTTTAAAGGAACCCAGTACCTCCAATTCTTAAGAGCATGGGTTCTGAGGGGCAAATTAGTTCACTCCTTACAGGCTTTCAGTCCACAGGCATTTAACTTTTTATGCTCTACACCTGCACTGTCTACTGTGGGCGCCAACGAGCCACACTATCGTGCTGATAAAATTTGAAATATTTTTGCTATCTTGGTTTAAAATATTATTAAAATAAATTTTACTTATTTTTACTTTTTAAATGTGGCTACTGGAAAAATTTAAATTACATATGTGGCTGGTATTATGTGTCTATTGGACAGTGTTGTGTGCGTCTTACAAAATTGACATTTCTCATCTGCTGTCATGTTTTCTATCATTGCATTTAGTCTTGTAGTTTATATACTTTATTTCTTTATTTTCCTTTTTGGGCACTGTCCCAGGAAAGCAAAGATAAATGCATATGTTACATCTGTCATGTTTAACTGGAAGTTCTACCTAAGCTTTTCACAATGTAGCTCCTGCTTATATTTGTGCACTTCGTGTCCTGTCACTACTCTATGGCCCTGCCAAAATGAATTACCAATAGCTTTCTGAACACACCAGGAAGCTTCCAGATTTGCCTTTATTTTTTTGGCCTCCTTTTTCCGGAATACCTTTCTAACCCCTCCCACCTGTCTGCCTATAAGTTACTCATTTTTCAACAGCTAACTCAATTTCACCTTCTCAAAGGGGCTTTTCTTGACTTTTCCTCGTACCAGTTGAGAAGACTGCTCGGGGATCCAGAATATTTCCTGCATTTTTTTTGTTTGGATAATTATCTGTCCTACAAAGGGAATCCATTTTATTCATCAGACCCTGTAGTGCCAAGTTGAGGGTCTAATACATAGTAAAAACTAAAATAATGTTAAATGAACGAATGAAGAGAGTAACAAAGAACGGTGGGATTGTAGAGAAAGGAGAGGCTGACTGAAAACGTTTCGAGAGAGCAGTGTTTTTAAGCTGTTCTTCAGAGAAGTTTTTGACAACTGGAGATGGTGTCAGGAATTTTCCAGGCAGTGGGAACAGGACAAGCAAAGCTTCCCTGAAGACAAGCAATATGCTAAAGAAATAGCAAATCATCCAGTTTGGAAGGAGCATTGGTAAGACCAGATCATGCAGGGCGTTGAGGTTATAGAAAGGAGTTTAACTATTGTTCTGAAGATAATGGAGAGTTAAAAGGTTTAAGCTGGAGAGAAAGAGAATTAGTCTTGTGTTTTAGCATTATCACCTGTGGCTGCAGACGGATAATGAATGCGAGGGGCATGAGTGGAAGCTGGAAGACAGCGAGATCATGGAGATGAGGAGAAACTGGATGTTGTGATCTACGGGTGGGTGGGGGGCAGTGGTGGTAAGTGGGGATAGAGATCCGGGCACGACCGCCGGATGTGTAGGCGGTAGAATGCACAGGACTCAGTAAAAGATGAACATGGGGAGTGAGGGAGGAGTTTTTAGTTAGTATGAACGGGAAGGCGAGGGTACCATTTACAGCGACGGGTAACCACGCGGGAGGAGCAGGTCAACTCCCGACAGTGGAGGTGAAGATGCGTGCGCCTCGCGCACCTTGTCCCTCGCGCGACGCCGTCCGCGCCGCCCGCGGTTCGGTCGGGAGCGGCAGCCCGTGCTCCGGTTCCGGTTCCGGTTCCGGCTGGCGTCTGCACCTGCGACCACCGTGAGCAGTCATGGCGTACTCCACAGTGCAGAGAGTCGCTCTGGCTTCTGGGCTTGTCCTGGCTCTGTCGCTGCTGCTGCCCAAGGCCTTCCTGTCCCGCGGGAAGCGGCAGGAGCCGCCGCCGACACCTGAAGGTAAGAGCAGGCCAGCTCCCTCTGAGCTTCCCGGCGCCGAAGAGTACGGAGAACGCTGCTTGAGGGAGGGGTGACTCTGAGAGTCTGCAGCCTTCACCGAAATATCCACCAAACTGACTGGAGAGGGCGGGCGAGACGGCGTTGAAGGGCCAATGCCCACGGTTCCGTTGTTATCAGCGGGTGGCGGCCCAGATGGTTCTGCTGCTGGAAGGGTCAGGAACGTATGCATGCAGGTCTGTGCATCCTCTAGGTGGCCTTGCGTACTCCCGTTTAGGCGCAGTCCCTTCTCTCTTACCCCGCTGGCTTAACTCATCTCGTCACCATTTGTTCACGTGCTTTGAGTCAAGGGTTCCCAGTTGGGTTTCCCTCTTTAGGTTTTCCGTGTACTTTCTGACGCGCCGCTTGGTACGAAATCAAGGCAAATGGAATTGGTACAGCAAACCTTAAGTCGTTATGTTTTTTCAACTTGGTGCTGGGCGCTCACTGCTTCAGGCTCTTCTTGTGCCTTTAAAAATATATCTTGAAGATTTTAATAACCCCAGTTTCAGTTACTGAGGTGGTTATGAACAAATTATTACGTTCCCCTTATTGAAACAGTATTTATCTGTTAATTCTTCGTTGTTGGCATGATGTATGTGGTGTTTAAAAATTCATCCTCTTAGCTGCACTGGGGCCTTTTACAGAATGAGTGTAAAGGCACGGTGCTGAAGGCTGGGAGAAGGAACCAGAACAGTTTTCTATAGGTCATGAAGTTCTACTGGTAACTTTCTCCTGTAAATTATCCTTGTAATATCTTTGAGACATGATTTTACGGTGTCTGAACACTTCCAGTAATGTTTAAACTGTTGATTGCTGGACAGCTCCTTTTGAACTGTAATCCACTTCCGTCTGCTTTATGCACATTGACTGTAGTTCCATTCTCTTGAGCATCATACACACTATAAATGCAAAGCACCAAGCTTTAGGGGTGGAGGGCAGGTTGAACACATAATTCTGTTTACAGAATTTGCCTGATAATCTTTATGCTTGTAAGACTATCCACTTGGGACGGACTTCTAAAACATCTTTGCGTATTTGTTCTTTTTTTTTCCTTTCTGTCTTATTGCAATAATCCCAAAGATTTTTACCTGCTTTGTCTAATGATATTGTCTACTTTGAAGAAGAGTCAATTCATGATGATCCTGAACAGTGAAGATTCTTCGAAAACTTTTTTTTTTTTTTTTTTACTTTCCATTATGGTGAATTATCTTGAACAAGTACTATTGACTGTGAGTGGGAGACACTCTTCTGAACGTTGTAGAAAATGTAGAGTGGAGATTAGACATGGGTTGTTCCCTTGAGAACTCAAGTGTTGGTATTCAGTGTTCTCATGTTAGGATCTTTGTACCTTCAGTTCTCTTTATTCCTGAAGTGCTGTGCTTTTCCCTCAGTGCCCTTCTCATCATTCAAATTTCTGCTCAAATGAAACCTCCTCAGAGAGACTTCCCCTGATGACACTAACTAAAATAACTCTTTTCTCCCATCATTCTCTATTTTATCATGTTTTATATTCTTCATGATAGGCATCACTATATGATATGGAATATTCTTAAGTGTTTACTTGTTTGTTTTTTTGTCTTCACCTTCTAGAATGTAAGTTTGCAAGGGTAGGGACTTTGTCTTGTTTACCACTGTTTCTTCAGTACCTGGCATATAATGGGCAGTCAATAAATACTTTAAGATTATTAAGCTACCAATACTGTAAATTCTGTTTTTGACAAGGAGAAGCTACTGAAGTAGTATAACCTAGGAAAAAACTTACCTTGAATGGTACATTCCAGTAACTGAAACTTGCAGCAAAAAATCTTAACCATTTTGGGGTTACATACACCATTGAGAATCTTATAAAAGCTATGTATTTTCTTTCTTTCTCTCTCCTTCCTCCCTCTGTCCCTCCCTCCCTCCTTTCCTCTCTTCCTGGCCCCCTTTCCCTTTCTCTTTCCCTTTCCCTGGGTCTCACTCTGTCACCCAGGCTGGAGTGCAGAGTCATGATCACAGCTCACTGCAGCCTCTACTTCTAGGGCTCAACTGATCCTCCCACCTCAGCCTCCCAAGTAACTGGGACTACAGGCACATGCCACCATGCCTGGCTAATTAAAAAAAATTTTTTTTGTTTTTGGTTGAGATGGGGGTCTCATTGTATTGTCCAGGCTGGTGTCGAACTCGTGGGTTCAAGTGATCCTTCTGCCTCAGCCTTCCAAAGTGCTGGGATTACAGGCTTGAGCAACTGCACTCAGCCTAAAACTGTATGTTCTCTCTAGAAAAAGGTACATACTCTTATTGTACTCAGAATTTCAGTATCAATTCAGAGAATTCTCAGAACCCAGAAATCCCTGCTTTGAAGAAAGGAATAACCCTGAGTATTTGAAAATTCTTAAAAATACATGTTGTTATGTCTTCCATTTTTGCCCATTGATGTGCATGAAACAAGCACAGTTCCCTTTCCACATGAAAGCCTTTAAGATAGTCTTTTAACAAATATTTATGATGTACCATATCACATACTGTGCACATAGTGTATAGACACTATGTATTCCAAGAAAAAATGAGCGAACTCCATGCTTTGAGGCGGCCACAGTTTAGTAAAGGAAAGTAGACATGTCAACAGATAAATGCAAAACAGACATGTTAGCAGATAAATGCAAGAGTGTCAGTCACAGTTACTCAAGTCTGCGCAGGGAACAATGGAGACATGTATGCAATGGTCAGTGTTATTGGGACTTAAGAAGGGTTTCATAAACCAGGTGTGACAGCTCATGCCTGTAATCCCAGCATTTTGAAAGGCTGTGGTGGAAGGATTGCTTGAGCCTGGGAGTTCGAGACCAGCTTGGGCCACATAACAAGACCCCCATCTCTACAAAATAAGTTTGTTTTTTTTCAATTAGCTGGGCATGGTGGTGTGCACCTGTAGCCCCAGCTACTCTGTAGGCTGAGGTGGGAGGATCGTTTGAAGTTTGGAGGTCAAGGCTACAGTGAGGTGTGATTGTGTAACTGCACTGCAGCCTGGGCAACACAGTGAGACTCTGCCAAAAAAAAAAACAAAACAAAACAAAAAAAAAACCCCAAAAAACAGGTTTCATAGAACATAGAGGAGGGAAGTCTTTTTTTTTTTTGATAACAGCTTTCTTGAGATCTAATTTATATATCATACAATTCACCCACTTAAAGTGTACAATTTATTGGGTTTCAGCATATTCAGAGTTGTACAACCATCACTACAACCAATTTTAGAATATTTCTTCAGCCCCCAAAGAAACCCTGTACTTTTTAGCTATTACTCCACAAATCCCCCAGCCCACCTCCAGCCCTAGGCAACCACTCATCTACTTTATGTCTCTATAGATTTGCCTGTTCTGGACATTTGGTATAAATGAAATCATATAATATCTGATCTTTTGTGACTGACGTCTTTTAACTAGCATAATGTTTTCAAGGTTCATCCATGTTGTAGCATGTAGCAGTACTTTTTTTATGGCTGAATAATATTTCATTGTGTGGATATACCACATTTCATTTATTCATTAATCAATTGATGGACATTGAATTTTTGCCTTTTAGCTATTATGAATAATGTTGCTACTGATATCTGTGTACAAATTTTTGTGTAGACTTAATGTTTTCATTTCTCTTGAGTGTATACATTTGGAAAATGTGAGCATTCCAGTGTGGCTGGAACTAAGCGTGGAATTTCTAGGTTGTATGGTTATTACATGTTTAACCTTTTGAGGAACTGCCAGACCATTTTCCAAAGCAGCTGTACCATTTTACATGACCACCAGCAGTGTAAGAGGGCTTCTGGTTTCTTGTCAATACTTGTTTGTTATCTGTCTTCTTGATGATAGCCATCCTAGTAGGAATGAAATGGTATCTCATTGTGATTTTATTTGCATTTCCCTGATGACTAATGACATTGAGCATTTTTTGTGTGTTTATTCACTCTTTGTCTATTTGTATATCTTGTTTTGGAGAAATGTCTATTCAGGTCCTTTTAACCCTCTTTAAAAGTCAGATTACTTGTCTTTTTTTTTTTTTTTTTTTTTTTTTTGAGAGAGACAGGGTCTCACTCTGGTGCACAGGCTGGAATACAGTGGTGCCATCATTGCTCACTGTAGCCCCAAACTCCTGGGCTCAAGTGATTCTCCCACCTTACCCTCCCAGGTAACTAGGACTACAGGTGTGTGCCACCATAGCTGGCTAATTTTTAAATTTTTTGGCAGAAATGAGGCTCTCACTATATTTCCCAGGCTGGTCTTGAACTTCTGGCCTCAAGTGATCCTCCCACCTTGGCCTCCTGAAGCACTGGTATTACAGGTGTAAGCCACCACACTTGGCGTCTTGTCTTTATTGTTGAGTTGTAAGAGTTCTTTGTATATTCTAGGTACAAATCTATTATCAGATATATGATTTGCAAATATTTTCTTCCATTCAGTGGTTGCCTTCACGTTCTTGATGGTGCCCTTTGAATAAGAAAAGTTTTACATTTTCTCTGACAAAGTCCAATTTATCTACTTTTTTCTTTTGTTTCTCCTGCTTTTGGTGTCATATCTGAGACAAATTGCCAAATCCAAGGTCATGAAGATTTATGCCTATGTTTTCAAGTTTTATAGTTTTTGCTCCTGCAGTTAAGTCTTTGATCCCTTTGAATTAATTTGTGTATATGGGTAAGGTAGGAGTCCAACTTCATGTGGATATATAGTTGCCCCAGCACCATTTGTTGAAAAGACTCTTCTTTTCTCATTAAATTGTTCTGGCACCCATGTCAAATCAGTTGACTCTAAATGTAAGAGTTTGTTTCTGGACTCTCAATTATATTACATTAATCTGTATACTTATCCTTAGCCAGTACCATGCTGTCTTAATTATTGTAGTTTTCTAAGTTATGAAATCGTGAAATGTGTCCTCAAACTTTGTTCTTCTTTTTCAAGATTGTTTTGCTATTTTGGGTCCTGTGACCTAGCATTTCCATAGGAATTTTGGATCATCACTTTGGTTTCTGCCAAAAAAAAAAAAAAAAATGCCAGTTGGGATTTTGATAGAGTGAACTGAAGCAATTTGGAGAGTACTGCCATCTTACCAATATTAAATCTTTCAATCTATGAACAGAGGATTTCTTTTTTATTTATCTAGGTCTTTAATTTATTTTAAAGGAGATTGTAGTTTTTAGTGTGAAAGTCTTATTTTGTTAAATATATTCATAAGTATTTTATTCTTTTTGATGTTGTTATAAATTTTGTTTTCAGATTGTTCCTTAGTGTATAGACAATTAGTTTTTGTATATTGATACTGTATCTTGTCACCTCGCTGAACTTGTCTGCATATAGAGATAGTTTTACTTTTTTTTTTAATCTGAATGCCTTTTATTTTTATTTTTACTTTTTTTGGCCTAACTGCCCTAGCTGGAACCTTTAGTGCAATGTTGAATAGAAGTGGTAAGAACAAACATCCTTTCTTGTCCTTGATCTTAAGAAGTATGCTTTACTAGCATATGTAATGTTATCTGGGGGCATTTCGTAGATGCCTGTTTTCAGGTTGAGGAAGTTCCCTTGTATTCTTAGTTTGCTGAGTGTTTTTCATTATGAAGGGGTATTGAATTTTATCAAATACTTTTTTTCTATGTCTGTTGAGATGATTATGAGATGATTATGTGAGTTTTGTCCTTTACTGATGTGGCATATTACATTAATTGAAATTTAGATGTTAACCCAGCTTTACCTTCCTTGGCTAAATTGAGGAGGCAGTTCTTAAAGTGTTTTGGGGGGTGTGTGTGTGTGTGTATGTGTGTGTGTGTGTGTGTGTGTGTGTGTGTGTTTAAATAATCCAGATGAAAAAGAAGGGCATTCTAGGTAGAAGAAATACTGAGCAAAGAAACACAGAGGCTTAGGGCCAGGCACGGTGGCTCATGTCTATAATCCCAGCACTTGGGGAGCCCAAGGCAGGCAGATTGCTTGAGGCCAGGAGTTCGAGACCAGCCTGGCCAACACGGAGAAACCCCGTCTCTACTAAAAATATAAAAATTAGCCCAGTCTGATGGTGCACGCCTGTAATTCCAGCTACTTGGGAGGCTGAAGCAGGAGAATTGCTTGAACCTGGGAGTTGGAGGTTGCAGTGAGCTGAGATCCCACCACTGCATTCCAGCCTGGGCGACAGAGTGAGACTCTGTCTCAAAAAAAGAAAAAAAAAAAAAAAAAAAAAAAAAAGAAGAAGCATGGAGCCTTGAAGTATCCTCAGAGTTGTGAGAGAAGACACCAGAGAAGTTGGCACGGGCCAAATTGTGAAGGTTTTTTTCTGTCATTCTTAAGGAGATTGGGTTTTATTCTAAAGGCAGATGAGGCATCATTGAGTGTGTAAGGAGAAGAGAAACATTTAACCTGGTTTTAGAAAGGACACCCTGGCAGCAGTGTAGACACTGCGTTGTGAGGATTTCTTCAGGGAGAAGATTGTTGTAGTCATCCAGTTGAGACATCATGAGCATCACCAAGTCATTGTCATTGGGTTCACCAGTTAGGGTGCTTGTGACAAGTGACAGAAAAGTCAGCTTGACTAAGACAGGGAATTTATTGACTTGTGTAAATGAAAAGACCCTGTGTTAGAAATGTCTTGCAGTATGGTTTGAACCAGAGACTCACAGTTGTCACACTGGGGCTCTAGCTCTTATTTTCTGTGTCCTTTTCACTCTGGGTTCGTTCTCAAGTTGGTTCTGTGCTCTGGCTGCCCTCTCAGGGTGGTAGCAATGGTTGCAACAGTTTCGGACATTACCTCCTCACATTCCATTGCCCGGAGAAAGTGAGTGTCTCATTTATAGCAACAGTTTCGGACATTACCTCCTCACATTCCATTGCCCGGAGAAAGTGAGTGTCTCATTTATAGCAACAGTTTCGGACATTACCTCCTCACATTCCATTGCCCGGAGAAAGTGAGTGTCTCATTTATAGCAACAGTTTCGGACATTACCTCCTCACATTCCATTGCCCGGAGAAAGTGGGAGTGTCTCATTTATATACGTGTGTGTGTAGAGCTGGCCTGGAACTCCTGGCCTCAAGTCATTGTCCCACCTCAGCCTCCTAACGTGCTGGGATTACAGCACTTTGCTGGGCACAGCTCCAGGCCTCTTTTCTTTTAAGTCCTCCATCACTCTCACCTTCCAGCCTCACTCCCAAGATTCTTTCCCAGAAGTTCCAGCAAACATATCCGTTCACGTTAATGGCTTGAATTAAGTTAACTTGTGGTGCTGTGGGTAGAAAGAATATACTGATGAATCCACTCTGGAGTTGAGAGGAGTTCCCAAAGGAAAATATGGATATTAGAGCAAGAGAGGTTATCAATGGATAGATTGGAGGGAAGAGAATAATTTTAAGAGACATTTTAAAATAGAATGGGAAAGTGAGGGAGAGGGAGACATCTGGATTATTCTCAGGTTTAGGTGAAGGGATAGATGTTGATTTCCTTTGCCAAAATAGGAATGGAGGAAAAGTAGATTAAAGGTGTGTGAAAAGAAAATAAAAACTTGGGACCCCAGTTCACTATGCCAAAAGGAAAAAATTAAGCTGAAAGCTGAGTCGTGCAAGAAACTGCCTTTCCTTTTGTTCCTAAGCAGGTAGCTACAGATAAAAAATTAAATATCTCTACAGGTAGCTACTCTATGTTCACCGTATCTTACGTGAAGTGCCGATTTACTGAGCACCAGATGAATACATAATTGACTATTCCTCTACCTGCTCCTTTTCTCTTGCAACATATAGATTACCATACCCTTCTTTCCCCTCCAGCTCACTTTTCCCCTTGAAATATTGAAGCCCTCAAAATCATCTTTGGAGAAAGGCACAGACCTCTCTCCTGGGCGTGTCCTTAACGTTGGCAAAATAAACTTCTAAATTGATTGAGGCCTGTCCCAGATACTTTTTGGTTTACAGGTGTAAGATGATTAATCCAGGAATTGGAAAAGTAGTATTATGTCCCTTTCTTCAGTCTTCTTTCCTGTGTTAACATCCCTAGCTCCCTCATCCGTTCCTGGTATGACCTAGGTGCAAGTGTTTGAACACAGCCCTCTCAGAAGAGGCTCTTAGAACTGCAAATAACAGCATATCTAAGACAGTTCATGAAAGAGCAATCTGTTGTTTCCCTGCACTCTTCTTCTTCTATACTTAATGCTTTCTGGGGATTGCTCTAGTTTTTAGCATTTTCCTTGCTGACTTTGCTGTATATTAGAATTCTGAGCCTTTTTTTCTTCTTTTTAATAGGAGCTGCTCATCTAGGTTTTGTTCATTTTCTACTGTTCACTTGATGTTTCGGAATGAAATGTAGGAATTTGTAGTTTTCCTTGTTGCATTTTATTTGTTTAAATTTGGCCAAGAATTCTAGCTCTTGAAATTTTTTCAGAGCATTCAATGTTTCATTCAATGTATCTGCTTACCATTTCTTAGCTGTGTGCCATTCTTGATTTTTAAAAAACTTTTTGTTAAAGACATTTTCAAACATAAGCAAAAGTTGAGAGAGTAGTAAAATGAATCCATATCATCCTGCTTCAGCAGCCATCAATACATGGTCAGTCTTGTGTCATGGGTATCCCCACCCACTTTTCCCCCCATTCACTGGATTATTTTGAAGCAAATCCTAGACATTGGATCATTTTTCATCCTTAAATGCTTCAGTATGCATCTCTAAAAACAGATTCTTATTAAAATGTAGCCACAATACCATTGTCACACCTAAAAAGTCAATACTTCCTTGATGTCATTAAATATCTAGTTGGTGTTCAAATTTTTCCCACCATGTTATAATTTTTCTTTTTTTCTTTCTTTTTTTACAATTTTACCTTTGATTATGATCAGCATGTTTTCTCTTTTTGTTTGTTTTTTCTCAGGCTGGAGTGTAGTGGCAGGATCTGAGTTCACTGCAACCTCTGCCTCCCAAGTTCAAGCAATTGTCCTGCCTCATCCTCCTGAGAAGCTGGGATTACAGGCATCCACCACCACGCCTGGCTAATTTTTTTTGTATTTTTAGTAGAGACGGAGTTTCACCATGTTGGCCAGGCTGGTATCGAACCCTTGACCTCAGATGATCTGCCTGCCTTGGCCTCCCAGAGTGCTGGAGTTACAGACATGAGCCACCATGCCCAGCCTCAGCATGTTTTCTTGATAGGTCAAATTATTTTTTTAAATGTCTTAGTCATTTAAAACTGCTTTTAGAGTCCCACCACTGTATTCATGGAAACGTTTTGTTTAGGGTCATTCAACCAGTTGGTTATTTGGTTGCTCTATTCCATCTTACTCTGTCACCCTGGTTTGCCTCCTTCCTCCTTCCCCACTTCAGTCTATTCTCAATATAGCTGCCAGATAGTATTATGTTGAAGCTTAAGTCAACTCACATCTCTCCCCTCCTCAAAACTCTACAGTGGCTTCCTGGCTTAGATGAAAAGATAGTCTATACATGACCCAAAAGGCCCTATGTAATTCTCTTCCCCATTTGCTTCTACTTTTCTATCTGTCTCACTTTGTTGTGGCCACACTGGCTTCCTCCTCACTGTTCCTTGAATATGCCAAGCATGTTCCCACTTCAGTGCCTTTGCATTTGCTGTTTCCCTTGTTTGAAATGCTCTTCTTTTGGATATCCATGTGCCTTTCCCTTCGTCTTCATGTTTTCTCTCAAACTGCATTTCCTGATGCCTTCTCTGGCCATTCCAGCTAAAATCTTAACTTCCAACACGGTCCTACCCCTTCTCCCTGTCTTATTTTTTCTCCTTAGTATTTATCATTATCTTGTTTATTGTCTCTTTTCCTACTTAGAAAGGAGGCTCTGTGGCCGAGCGCGGTGGCTCACGCCTGTAATCCCAGCACTTTGGGAGGCCAAGGCGGGTGGATCACAAGGTCAGGATTTCAAGACCAGCCTGGCCAACATGGTGAAACGCCGTCTCTACTAAAAATACAAAAATTCTCTGGGCATGGTGGCAGATGCCTGTAATCCCAGCTATTCGGGAGGCTGAGGCAGAGAATTGCTTGAACCCAGGAGGCGGAGGTTGCAGTGAGCTGAGATCGTGCCACTGAAATGCAGCCTGGGTGACAGAGACTCCATCTCAAAATAAAACAAAAAACAAACAAAAAACTTCTTAACTCTGGCTTCCTAGAGTTTGTGCTACACGATTCCTACTTTGTTGTCAGAAACACTAAGATCTCATTCTCCTGAGGTTCTCCTTTCATTTCATCAGAGCTTCTTCTTTGATCAGAGTAGCAGTTCTTCTGCTCTCCCTGTGTACCTGTGGAACATAAAAATGTCAGCACACTTGGTCAAGAACTTGTCAGTTGTTCCATTGTCAGCTGAATGAGAGTTTGAATAGGTTGCAGGGTAGTTGAAGTACTCCAAGATGACAGTGTGCCACTCTGTGTTGGAGGTGGCTTCAAGAGAGTCCTATCTACTACTTCTACTTGGCTGGGAACCTTTGGTGTTCCCACAGTAACACTGTATCTGGGCATCTTTCCTGCTGACCCTGCCTGAATGCTTATAAATAGGGTTCCTTAGTAGCCCCTCTCCAGTGGCCCTGTTCCTGTGGAATAGCACAGACCCTTTGTCACGATGTTCTCCCTAAGTAAGTTGTGTCCCACTGAGTCTTAATCTCTCTGAGATGTGAAAATATACAGATACATGTATATGTGTATATAAATATACACATACAAACATATACACATATACATGTATGACATACATATACATACATAGTTCTGTGTTATCTTAAACTAGCTTCTTATGTGTTGGTATGTAAGTGCCTGAAGACAAATATATTATTTTGGTTGGTTACCATTTATTTTCCCTAATGAAGCATCAGAGATCTACTCTGAAGGAATGTTTGAAGGACAGAGATTAGGAAATCATTTTGATTTCAGAGGGTCATTTTCCTGTTCATGTATTATGGAAATGAACAGAAAACAACAGACAATTTGAGAGCCCATGAATGCGTGTAAATTAGGCATTTTTTCAAGTTTAGAAACGTACAGGTAAGTGGGTATGGAATACCTTGCTTGATCAGTCATCCTAATTGCCAGTTTCTATTCTAGAAACTATAAAATTGAAAACTGGCAGGATAATGAAGTAAAAAACTATTTTTAGCCCTACAAATGACTGGGCAGGATCTTGAGATTCTAATAAAGGCTAACACTCCCAGTATAATTCATCCAAATCAGGTCAGCAAAGATTGTAGTAGGCAAGATCCAGAGCCTGCCCTGGGAACCCAAACAAATAAAACACTAGGCCTTTATTCAAGAAGTTCTTAGTTTGTCTTCCAGCCGGAGACCACTAGGAACACACCTGTAGTTGAACAAGTTGAGTGTATTACTCATTGCAGCAAGGGAGAATGCACACCATGGGGAATTGTGGGGCATCTCAATAAGGCACTGTTAGAAAAAGTCATTATAGGATTTGGGTTTGTGTTAGGTGATCTGGAGGATGGTTTAAGGATGTGGTACTTTACTCTGAATTAGATGCTTTCAGGAAGTAAGGCAAATTCTAGGACTGGTATCTTAACAGTTTATCTAAAGGGAGGGCCAACTAGAGAAAGGCTAAAGCTGTAATTGATAAAGCAGCCCCATCGTTCACATTACTCAGCACTGGGGGATATTAGGTATTTAGTGGCTTGGACAGTGTTCATGTTTTGTCTGTGTTCAGACAGATTACTGAGTGGTCTTGTTTTTTGTCTTGATCCGTCATGATCACAGAATGGCCTTGTCTAATGTTGGTGTTCTGAAATAGCTTATGTGTAACAGGAGAACACCACAACTTATCTGTGAGTACCAAGCCAGCTCATAGCAGTATTAATGCCTAGTTGATAATACCAGGCCAACTTTTAGATGTTAGAGGCTGCTTTTCTAGTTCTCAGATATGATATACACCAAATAAAATTGGATAGAGATGGTGTTTAGTGGAAAATGTTACCTGTTTTTGTTTCCCGGTTCATTTAAGTACAGGCTATAAGACACATTAATAAAACTCTTGATTAAGGCCAAGTGTGGTAAGTGCAATTAAAGAGGCTCAAGCAGTGTGTTTTACAGGCATGGGGAATAGCATGAGAAAATGCTTCGGGGGCATGGGGGCAGTATCTGGCCTGGGCCTTGGAGGATTGGCTGGATTTAGATATGTGGAGTTGGAGAGGAAAGCAAAGCCACTGGAGGATAAGCATAGGCTCAGAAGCAAGAAGGTGAAAGTCAGGTTCAAAGCATGGTGAGAACCCTAGTTTGACTAAATGAGTGGTATGTAATGGGAAAGTAGTGTGAAGAGCACTTTTGGGTTAGATTATGGAATTCAGTTGTTTAGGAATTCAGTTTGTGGGGAGGGAAAATCAGAATTTGTTAAATACCTACTATATGTGCTAGGTGCTTTGTATATATGATATTATTTAATCTGTAATTCTTGTAAACTCTGGAAAGTAGATATCATGCCCATTTTACAGATGATGAAAATGAGCCCTAGAAAGATTAATTTAACCTCCACTGAAATAGTGGGAGGCACAGCCATAATCTTAACCAGTAACTGACTGAAAAGGTGGCACTCATTCCACTTCACTCTGCTACCTCCATTCTGCTGTAATACAGCCTCTTGTCATCAGTGGAAACTATTAGAAGCTTTTGATCAGAGAACTGGCAAGACCAGTTAGAATTGTGCTTTAGGAAGATTATTCTGGTAACAAAACAGTGGTAATTGATGTGTATTGAGTGTGTGGATCGGGCCCTGTGCTAAGCAACTTAGACACACAATGATCTCTTTTAGTAATATATAGGATGGATTGAGAATGGAGAGGTTGATAAAAGATGAAAGAAATCTGATTAAATTAGCAGAAAATGTGAAAGCAGTAGAGAACAAAGCAGAATCAGGTAGAAGGGAAATGTAACAAGATAGGGCCCTTGGAGGAGACCGGTGAGGAAGAAACAGCTATTGTCTTGGCTTCTACTTCAAGTAATGCTGAATCAAATATGGCTTCTACAGCTTCCTCAATATTTAGGGAAAAGCTTGGCTATCTTAAGCAACTGGCCCCCTTAAGACCTTTCTTGAACCGCTGTTTCTATTTTTTATTAAAATAGAAACATGTCCAGTTCTTTATAGATTTATTTGCCCCAAGAATGAAATGCTGCAGATGAGTTAATGTTGCTTTCAGAAAACTCTTTTGTTAACAGTGCTGAAGTTTCTGTTTTTGTTTTTAGCAATAGGTATGGTTATTAACAAAGGAAAGTAGAGCTTCACTTTGTAAAATCCATTTTCTTTTCTTTTTTTTTGAAACGGAGTCTCACTGTCACCTACGCTGGAGTGCAGTGGCGCGATTTTGGCTCACTGCAACCTCCGCCTCCCGGGTTCAAGCGATTCTCCTGCCTTAGCTTCCCGAGTAGCTGGGATTATAGGCATGTGCCACCATGCCCAGCTAATTTTTGTATTTTTAGTAGAGACGGAGTTTCACCGTGTTGGCCAAGCTGGTCTTGAACCCCTGACCTCAGGTGATCTGCCCGCCTTGGCCTCCCAAAGTGCTGGGATTACAGACGTGAGCCACCTCACCTGGCCAGAATCCATTGACATTAAGTTTTTAGTTAAGCTTAAATGATAACTTAAGTGAATTTTTTTTTTTTTTTTTTTTTTAAGATGGGGTCTCCTGTTGCCCAGGCTGATCACGCGGTGGTGTGATCATAGCTCACCACAGCCTCAAACTCCTGGGCTTGAGCAGTCCTTTTGCCTCAGCCTCCTGAGTAGCTGGGACTACAGGTGCATGCCACCACACCCGGCTGATTTATAAAAGTTTTTCGTAGAGAGGAGGTCTTGCCATCTTGCCCAGACTGGTCTTGAACTCCTGGGCTCAAGCAGTTTTCCCACCTCAGCCTTGCTAAATGCTGGGATTAAATTTTAATAATTAAGGAAACCTGAATATGGGCAAAGCTTTCAATAAACAATTAGGATTTAGTCATGTTCCCTTTTACAGAATACTTAAGTACCTATAGAGATAGTCACATAGCTGTTTTGTTTTCTAGATTAGAAAACCTACAGTTTTATGTTCTGATATCTTTATTCTGATCTCTTTAGCTGTTTTTAATAAAGCAAACTTAAAAAAACACAAATCTTATTTGTAATGTAACTGTGAACTAGAACATTTGTAATAGAGAAAAATTGAAAATAATCTAAATGTTTATCAGCAGAAAAAGGGGTAAATAAATTATAATATGGTCATACAATGTGATGCTATATTGCAGTTTAAATGAATCAACTAGAGCTATACATGTCAACATGGATACATTTGTTGGCCAAAGTGTTCATTCCCCACCTGGAAAAAAAGGCAGAAAAGGAAAGTTGGAGAAGCATGTGTCCAATATAATCCCATAATATAAAGGACTTTTTAAAATTGTGGTAACCATTTTTAGGTAAACAGTTCAGTAGCATTAAGTACATTCACACTGTTGTGCAACCGTCACCACTGCCTATACACAATATGAAGTTTTAAAACATTCAAGGCAATATTATATGTTGTTTATAGATGCTTATATATTGTTTATAGATGCATAGTTAATGCAATAAAATCTAAAAGCACGCATTCTGATAATAAGCACCAAAATCAGAATGGTGTTTATCTCAGAGAGGGTGTGGGGGAAAAGTACACAAGGGACTTCAGTTATATTTGGGCAGTGGATATACAAATGTTCATAAAGTATGTATACTTTTATATACCTGGCATATTTCATAGTTTCAAATTTTTCTTTTGTAAAAAAAAAATTCCCACTAGAAATTTCCAAATGTTTTATAATCATTGACTTTTTATAGATTCTGGGCTATTCAGTTTTAAGAAACATGGTGGTACCAAGATCCAAGAGGTGAGGTTGCTACCTGTAGAGGCCTGTTAACTTTACGAGAAGAGAAATCTTTGCCAAATGCAGCATTGTCATTGTTGCCTACCGTCTTAAGTGTCACAGGTAGCAGAGGTTGTAGGTCTCAAGCCTGAAGTTTGGAGAGAATGAATCTACAAAGAAAGGAAATACAAGAGGAGAGCAGGTTTTAGGAGGTGAAAATGAGTTCATTTTTAGGCTTGAGGTGGTAGACATACAAGAAGACATATATACTGATTGTATTAAGAAATAAGAGACAAGAGCTTGGGGGAAAAGTCAGAACTAGAAGTACACATTTTGGAAATTACAGTGTATTCCTTGAATAAATGAGTTTGCTGAAGGAAAGTATAAAGAAAGAACAGGCTGAGACAAAGTATTGGGGAAGGGGATTAAAGAAGAACCAGTGAAAGAGATTGAGAAGGAATAGGTTGAAGGACCAGTGGAAAAAGAGAAGAGTAATGTGCCATAGAGATTAAGGCAGGAAAATTTGACAAGGATTTATTCAGATTAATCCAATATTTATTGAATGACCACTATGTGATAATTACTTTTTTGTATTGCAGAAAACTAAGAGTGAGAACTGACAAAAAGCCATTGGATTTGACGGTTAAGGTAGAGTTACCATGTCATTGTAACTATGCTCCCTGTCTGTAAACTCTTTTTAAAGACAGAGATTCTGTTCTATTTGTCATTCTAATCTCAGAGCCTGACATAGTGTCTGTCACATTGTTAAGTGCTCAGCAGTAAATATGTGAACAATAATACCGCATGTAAAGTACTCAGATTTCTTCTAGGATATAAAACATATTTTTTGCTATCTAGTCTATATGTTCCATTGCTCTCCAAATCCCTCTTCTGTCTTTGAAAATAGTATTTTTTACTTTTTCAACATCTCTTTGATGTTATCAATAACCTTAATTCTAATACAGGTTTCCTTATCAATTAACTTCTTTAATCAGTTCTAACATAGGTTTCTTTGGACCTCATCATGTTTTATTCAGCATTGCTTTTTGAAACCCTATTTTTTGTTTTCTTTCTTTCTCCTGTTACTCACTCATCAACTCTATATAAAGACAGTCCTATCAGTCAGAGCTGTGTAGAGGTAGGATGAGCTTCCTGGAGAAAGCATTGTTTTCTATCCTGAGGTATTCAGCAGAATTAGGACCACAATTTGAAGCATATGAGAGTATCAAACACAGGTGGTTAGACTAGCTGTCTTTAAAAAAAAAAAGCTTTATTGAGACGTAATTTACATATGCAATTCACCTATTTAAGATGTACAGTCACTGTAGTTTTTAGTATATTCGTAGAGTTGTGCAACTATCACTACAGTCAATTTTAGAACTTTTTAAATCACACACCTCCCCACCAAAAACCTCATACACATTAGGCAGTCACTTTTTCCTTCCTCTGCACCCCTCCAAACCCCAGCTCTAGGTAATCACTAGTCTACTTTCTGTCCTATAGACTTGACTATCCTGGATATTTCTTATTAATGGAACCATATAATATGTGGTTTTCCATGACTGGCTGTATTCACTTATAATATTTTCGGAGTTCATCCATGTTGTAGTATGGATCAGTACTTTATTCCTTTTTATGGCTGGATAATACTGTGTTGTGTGGATATACTACATTTTGTTGATCTATTCATAAGTTGATGGACATTTAGATACTATGAATAATGCTGCTGTGAACATTTGTGTACAAGTTTTTGTGTGAGCATATTCCTGGCTGTATACCTAAGAGTGGAATTTCTGGGTCACATGGTCCTCTATGTTTAACCTTTTGAGAAACTGCCAGACTGTTTTCCAAAGCAGCTGCACCATTTTACATTCCCACTAGCAGCGTATGAGAGTTCCTTTTTCTTTACATCCCTCAAACACTTGCTATTATCTTTTTCATTATAGCCATCCTAGTTAGTGTGAAGTGGTATCTCCTCGTGAGTTTGATTTGCATTTCCTTGGTGGCGAATGGTGTTAAGCATCCTTTCCTGTGCTTATTGGACATTTGTTTGTCTTCCTTGGAGAAATGTCTATTCAGATCCCTTGCTCTTTTTTTTTTTTTTTTGAGACCGAGTCTCACTTCTGTCCCCCAGGCTGGAGTGCAGTGGTGTGATCTCTGCTCATCGCAACCTTTGTCTCCTGGGTTCAAGCGATTCTCCTGCCTCAGCCTCCCAAGTAGCTGGAATTACAGGCATGCACCACCACGCCCATGTAATTTTTTTGTATTTTTAGTAGAGACGAGGTTTCACCATGTTGGCCAGGCTGGTCTTGAACTCCTGACCTCAAATGATCTGCCCACCTCAGCCTCCCAAAGTGATGGGATTACAAGCATGAGCCCCCACACCTGGCCACAGTTGTTTATTTTTACTTGGTTTATTTGTCTTTTTTTTTTTTTTGAGACGGAGTTTCACTCTGTCGCCCAGGCTGGAGTGCAGTGGCGCGATCTCGACTCACTGCAAGCTCCGCCTCCCGGGTTCACGCCATTCTCCTGCCTCAGCCTCCCGTGTAGCTGGGACTACAGGCACGCGCCACCATGCCCGGCTAATTTTTGTATTTTTAGTAGAGACGGGGTTTCACCGTGTTAGCCAGGATGGTCTCGATCTCCTGACCTCGTGATCCGCCCGTCTCGGCCTCCCAAAGTGCTGGGATTACAGGCGTGAGCCACCGCGCCCGGCCTATTTGTCTTTTTAATGTTGCGTGGTAAGAATTCTTTATATATTTTGGATACTAACCCTTTTCAGATACATGATTAGCAAATATTTTCTCCCACTCAGTGGGTTGTCTTCACTTTCTTAATGGTGTCATTTGCAGCACCAGAGTTTAAAATTTTGATGACATCAACTTTGCCTACCTTTTGTTTTGTTGTTTGTGCTTTTGGTGTCCTGTCTAAGAAACTGTCACCTAATCCACAGTCACAAGGATTTATGTCTATGTTTTCCTGTAAGATTTTAAAGTTTCAGCTCTTATAATTAGGTCTTTCATCCATTTTGAGTTAATTTCTGTATATGGTATGAGATAGGGGTCCAATTTTATTCTTTTACATGTGAATATCTACCTGTCCCCACACCACTTATTAAGACTGGATGACTTTTAAGGCCCCCTTTGACTCTGAGGCTTTGTAGTACTTTGGTTTCTGTTATTGTCTAAACAGGTGGACAGTCAGGATTTCATGTTATGGCCATCCATTTCTCAAGAATATATTGTGTCTGAAAACAAGGATTGCCATTAGTTTATGTGTTTCCAGGCTTCTCAGTTGCCTTCAATTTCATCCTCCTCTGACTTTTATGGTATTAGTTTGTTTCTAGTCATCTTTGGCTAGCGCATTTTTCTTTTCTTTCTCTTTTTTCCACATAAATACAATATTCTTCCAGCCTTTTGGTATTGGGAACCATTCACTCAATTTTAATTAGCTTTGTCATTTAGGTAGCTTAGAGTTTCCTCTTAAGCCTAACTGCAGTCTAATAAAAAAAAAATTCTGTATTCCATCAACAACTGGAATATAATGTGTGAAAAATGTATATTCAGTTGTTCCCTAACAGTAAGCCTTCCAAGTTTCTTCATTATCTTCTCTATCTTAAACTCTTGATCTTGGAGTTTTCTGACAACTCCTCCATGAGCTCTATTTTTGTTCAGTGTTAAATGGCACTGATTACATGGTAATAAACCTTGGACATGTTAACTTAAAAAATATGATTTATAAATTGAGAAGAGAAGAGGAGACTTTATTTCTTATAAAGGGTTACAACCTTCAGGGTGGCCATTCTGACAGGCTGGGAAGTGTAGCCTCCAGCCAGAAGCAAAAACATACACTTGGAGGGATGGGCAAAGGGAACAGGAATTCATGCTGAGCAGGGTGGCCGTATATACATATTCAATAAGCTGTAGGGGGAGTCATGAATATTTATGAAAGGAGAAACACGTCCTTCATGGGTCTTATACACACAAAATGGCAGTAATAGCGTGGTCAGAGAGTGGAGTTTTCAGCCCTCTGACATCAAAAGGTGAAGCAGAAGACATGAAAGCCCTTACTGTACATTCTCTGTAGACCAGCCAGAACCATTCTGTGGTTGGTAGTCTCTTATCAGGCAAAAAAGGAGGGACAGTATCAGGTGGTTGGTTGATAGCAGTGGTGGATTTTTTTGAAATGGCTAGTTTCTGTTTGGTAGTTAGAGAAGAAAGGCTAATCGTGGTTTGCGAGGGAAGGGGTATAATGAGGTGGGTTTGAACCCCCCATCCCGTCATAGCCAAGAATTTAGTTTTCAAGGTTACTTTGGGGTCCCGTTGGCCAAGAGATGACCCATCAGTCAGTTGGTGGGCTTAGAATTTTATTTTTAGTTTATAGACCTATCCTTTCCTTTTTATAGCTCTAGCCACCACCTCAGTGATTTGCATCTCAGTGCTAAGTTACTGTAATAGCCTTTTTGACGTTTTCCCAGACCCTAGTTTCTGTCTATATTAGAGCCTATATTCTGCTGCTGGATTAATCCCCATCAAGTACCCTTCTCATCAAGGTCCACTGTATCAAATTTATATATCACACAAGTTAGCATTTTAACTCCTCCCCATCTTTACTTCTTATCTCTTCTTACTTCCCTAAATGGAGCCAAACTAATTTGGTAGTAAGTCCTACTTAATGGTTTCTTTGTTCTCAATCTCATATACACAGTCTTCTTTCCTCCTGGTGTGCTTTTGCTTCTCTCCTATTCTTTCATTCCCTTCAGTAATTGACTCCATTTGCCTCCTGTTTTTTTTATTATTTTTTATTATATTATTTATTTATTTATTTTTGAGACAAGAGTCTCGCTCTGTCACCCAGGCTGGAGTGCAGTGGTGCGATCTTGGCACACTGCAAGCTCCGCCTCCCGGATTCATGTCATTCTCCTGCCTCAGCCTCCCGAATAGCTGGGACTACAGGTGCCCGCCACCATACCCGGCTAATTTTTTTTTTTTTTTTTTTGTATTTTTAGTAGAGACAGGGTGTCACCGTGTTAGCCAGGATGGTCTTGATCTCCTGACCTCGTGATCTGCCCGCCTAAGCCTCCCAAAGTGCTGGGATTACAGGTGTGAGCCACTGCGCCCAGCCAACTCCTCTTTTTTTTAAAGAAAGATTTTGCATCTTTTCAAAACTTGAATATTTAGTTTATCTAGTAAAAAGGTCCTTGATACCCTGCTGCTGCTGCTGCTGCTGTTATTTATGTCTTTGTTTTAGATATTCTGGTTTTGAAGGCATTGTTCCATGTGGGAACTATTGTTTCTATTACCTTTATCGCTCTCTTCTTTTCTTGCATATGGCAGAATCTTGAACATAATAGGATCCTAAAATTTTCCTGGCTGACAGATCTATAAAAGTTTTGGGGGAGATGTGTAATGTCATTCTTAAATTTTAGAGATGCAAAATAATGCTTTTCTGTAATTACCTGTTTTTAATTTTTAATTTTTTTGTTTTATGCCAGATTTGAAGATAGTATTCTCAACACAGTAAGGTGAAGTTCCACAACATAATACTACAAATATTAGATCCAGTTTATTGAACATTAGCCACCTGATAGATTCTCTCAAGAGAAAAGTTAGCTTCCTGAATGCTGGCTAGGCATGCTTTTGAAGGTGCATAATAGCCAAAGCCAGTACTCATCATTTAATTTACTAAGATCCTTGAAAATTTAAAAGGGGCATAGTCACCAGCATCCAGAATAAAGGGTGGTGACATGGTGATTTCCTTTTACTGTCTAAAGCTGTGCTTCTGTTGCTGACCCAGTCTCTAAAAGAAGCATTTCTTTTCAAAATTTTCCATATCATTTAAAGTCAATACTGAGAGGAAAAGGAGTATCACTGGAGTGGAGCTTGGCTGAGAAAGGATACAAGGCAGAAGGCAACTTCCAAGCCTACCTGCCCACCTACCTTCTTTCTTACCTCAGGAGCAGAGTTGACTTTGAGAACTAAATTCTGATTTTTTAAGTCTTACCCAAATTCGGCTCATGCCTGTAATCCCAGCACTTTGGGAGACCAAGGGGGGCAGATCATGAGGTCAGGAGATAAGACCATCCTGGCCAACATGGTGAAACCCCATTTCTACTAAAAACACAAAAATTAGTTGGGCGTGGTGGCACATGCCTGTAATCCCAGCTACTTGGGAGGCTGAGGCAGGAGAATCACTTGAACCAGGGAGTCGGAGGTTGCAATGAGCCGAGATCGCGCCACTGCACTCCAGCCTGGTGACAGAGCAAGACTCCCTCTCAAAAAAAAAAAAAAAAAAAAAATCTTACGCAAGTTCTACCTAACAGGCCTAGGGAGGCACACCCTACAAACAGTGAAGTCTCATCAGAGGGGTTTTATTTCACCCCATATAATCTAGCCTGCTTTCCCACCTGACTCTGGCATAACTTCACATAACAAATAAGAAAAGAAATAAAAATATTTTAACTCCAAATATATTTCTTTGCCGTATCTTGAAATTGCCCTGCAAGGTTGTCTCTTGTGGGAAAGATCCACATTCTATAGAGAATCTCCTTTCCACCCACTTTTTTTTTTCTTTCTTTCTTTCCAGACCCAGGAGACAATCAACTAAGGTACCCTTTTAAGTCTGATAAGTGTGAACACCCAAAATTTGAGACAGATCTCAGTTAATTTAGAACGTTTATTTTGCCAAGGTTCAGGACATACGCCCATGACACGGCCTCAAGAAGTCCTGACGACATGTGCCCAGGGTGGTCAGGGCACAGCTTAGTTTTATACATTTTAGGGAGACATGAGACATCAATCAATATGTGTAAGAAGTACATTGGTTTGGTCTGGAAAGGCGGGATAACTTAAAGCAAAGGCAGGAAGACTCAAAGTGGTGAAGGGGCTTCCAGGTCACAGATAGGTGAGAGAGGAATGGTTGCATTCTTTTGAATTTCTGATTAGCCTTTCCAAAGGAGGCAATCAGATATGCATCTGTCTCAGTGAGCAGGAAGATGACTTTGAATAAAAATGGGAGGCAGATTTGCCAGGACCAATTCCCCACCTTGAAGGGGCCCATGATATTTTCCTTTCATGTAAGAAACATTTTACAATCTACTCCCTCAGAAGTCTGCTATCTGAGAGCTTCCTTTACACAGTAAAATTGAAAAACCTGGTCGCCAGGACCCTTTATCTTAATCTAAACATTTCCTGTCTGTTGATCCCAGGTCTTTAGATAAACTCAACCAATTGTCAACCAGAAAATTTTAAAATCTACCTGTAGGCTAGAAGCACCCCGCCCCCTGCCACCCCGCCCCGCCTTTCAAATTATCCTGCCTTTCTGGACCAAACCAATGTATTTGATTGAAGTCTCATGTCTCTCTAAAATGTGTAAAACCAAGCTGCACCCTAACCGCCTTGGGTACGTGTTCTCAGGACCTCCTGAGGGCTGTGTCATGTGCCATGGTCACTTATATTTGGCTCAGAATAAATCTCTTGAAATGTTTTAGTTTGACTCTTCATCGACAACTTAAAGGCAGTTCTCAGTTCATAGCATTTTATTAACTTTGTTAGTGCAAGTTTACTTTCTTGTTTTATTCTTTTAGTTCTTTATCCTCAACCCACATTCCAGTTCCCTTTCCTATTCATATGCACCTACTCTGATGTGTTTATGTTTATGTCTTTATATCCACATATTTGCTTGAAAGATTAATATCGTTATGTGTGTGTTTTCAACCTGCATAATGTTATTTGCTTTTTCTTAACCTAACGGTATGTTTTTAAAGATGTATTCATGTTGCTGTAGGTATGTCTAAAGTGTGGTTTCCAAAGCTATGTAGAATTCCATATTAGTATTCACTCCATTTTGATTTTCCATTCTTCCAGTTAAGGAAATCAGAGTTAACTTCAAACTCCCTACTACACTATTGTCACAGCAAACATTCTTACATAGGTCTATAAAGTCTGTAGTTCACATATATATAACCTTATTTGAGATTTTCTGTGGGATTTATTCACCAGAGTGGGATCATTGGATCATAGGGTGTGTACATATGTAATATCACGAAGTACAGCCAGATCACTAGGCAGAATATCTGTATCACTTACCCACAGTGCATGAGGATTCATGCCTCTCCACATCTTTGTCAATTTTGTTCAAGTCAAATCCAACAATTTTTTTATTTCTATTTTTAGAGTGTTATTTATTTAGAGTGTTATTTATGCTCTCTAGTATTTTCTGTTCTATAATGTTATCTCCTGGTGGTTTTTCATACATGCCTGTTTATTTGGCCATTTGAGATTCCTTTCTGGTAGTTGGTGTTAACTTTTGACTGCTCTTGATGGAGAAAAAAAAAATGCAAGAAAATTGATGTAACACCTCCCCCTGCCTCTGCCCCTCCCCACAAGCCCTGCTCTTCCACTCACAAGATCCCCTTTTTCAAGAGTCCCTTTTTCACCCTGTTTGTGCTATATCCATCCTGTCTGTTCAGCTATAGCTGATTGGAAAGAGATGTATACCTACCCAAGCTGAGTACTTAAAGTCCTCCTCCAAGGAATTTGAAATTAGGATGTCTCAGCTAGCCTGTTGAAGAACATGCAAATTGAGGGGCTGGGGCGACCATCTTCCCCTGTGTGCACAAAGGAGCTAGAGAAATGGTCTGCAGAGAAAGAATAAAGAAGATGTGCACAGAAAAACAAAGAAAAAACCTTATGGCCCCATAGAGAAGGAGAGAGATTGAGCTAGAATGTGAAAGTACCTGTCCTGGATCCTGA
The DNA here is from genome assembly GCF_000001405.40 of Homo sapiens. Classification (NCBI taxonomy): domain Eukaryota; kingdom Metazoa; phylum Chordata; class Mammalia; order Primates; family Hominidae; genus Homo; species Homo sapiens. Next base: position 8,145,269 of record NC_000011.10, on the reverse strand, counting down.
TGGCTTTCCAGTTTCTAGTTCTCTTTTCTCCTGAGACCACATTGTATTTTCTTTCTTTTTTTTTTTTAATTTTTTTTTAATTTTTTTTTATTATACTTTAAGTTTTAGGGTACATGTGCACATTGTGCAGGTTAGTTACATATGTATACATGTGCCATGCTGGTGCGCTGCACCCACTAACTCGTCATCTAGCATTAGGTATATCTCCCAATGCTATCCCTCCCCCCTCCCCCCACCCCACCACAGTCCCCAGAGTGTGATATTCCCCTTCCTGTGTCCATGTGATCTCATTGTTCAATTCCCACCTATGAGTGAGAATATGCGGTGTTTGGTTTTTTGTTCTTGCGATAGTTTACTGAGAATGATGATTTCCAATTTCATCCATGTCCCTACAAAGGACATGAACTCTTCATTTTTTATGGCTGCATAGTATTCCATGGTATATATGTGCCACATTTTCTTAATCTAGTCTATCATTGTTGGACATTTGGGTTGGTTCCAAGTCTTTGCTATTGTGAATAATGCCGCAATAAACATACGTGTGCATGTGTCTTTATAGCAGCATAATTTATAGTCCTTTGGGTATATACCCAGTAATGGGATGGCTAGGTCAAATGGTATTTCTAGTTCTAGATCCCTGAGGAATCACCACACTGACTTCCACAATGGTTGAACTAGTTTACAGTCCCACCAACAGTGTAAAAGTGTTCCTATTTCTCCACATCCTCTCCAGCACCTGTTGTTTCCTGACTTTTTAATGATTGCCATTCTAACTGGTGTGAGATGGTATCTCATTGTGGTTTTGATTTGCATTTCTCTGATGGCCAGTGATGATGAGCATTTTTTCATGTGTTTTTTGGCTGCATAAATGTCTTCTTTTGAGAAGTGTCTGTTCATGTCCTTCACCCACTTTTTGATGGGGTTGTTTGTTTTTTTCTTGTAAATTTGTTTGAGTTCATCGTAGATTCTGGATATTAGCCCTTTGTCAGATGAGTAGGTTGCGAAAATTTTCTCCCATTTTGTAGGTTGCCTGTTCACTCTGATGGTAGTTTCTTTTGCTGTGCAGAAGCTCTTTAGTTTCATTAGATCCCATTTGACAATTTTGTCTTTTGTTGCCATCGCTTTTGGTGTTCTGGACATGAAGTCCTTGCCCATGCCTGTGTCCTGAATGGTAATGCCTAGGTTTTCTTCTAGGGTTTTTATGGTTTTAGGTCTAAGGTTTAAGGCTTTAATCCATCTTGAATTGATTTTTGTATAAGGTGTAAGGAAGGGATCCAGTTTCAGCTTTCTACATATGGCTAGCCAGTTATCCCAGCACCATTTATTAAATAGGGAATCCTTTCCCCATTGCTTGTTTTTCTCAGGTTTGTCAAAGGTCTGATCGTTGTAGATATGCGGCGTTATTTCTGAGGGCTCTGTTCTGTTCCATTGATCTATATCTCTGTTTTGGTACCAGTACCATGCTGTTTTGGTTACTGTAGCCTTGTAGTATAGTTTGAAGTCAGGTAGCATGATGCCTCCAGCTTTGTTCTTTTGGCTTAGGATTGCCTTGGCGATGCGGGCTCTTTTTTGGTTCCATATGAACTTTAAAGTAGTTTTTTCCAATTCTGTGAAGAAAGTCATTGGTAGCTTTATGGGGATGGCATTGAATCTGTAAATTACCTTGGGCAGTATGGCCATTTTCACGATACTGATTCTTCCTACCCATGAGCATGGAATGTTCTTCCGTTTGTTTGTATCCTCTTTTATTTCCTTGAGCAGTGGTTTGTAGTTCTCCTTGAAGAGGTCCTTCACATCCCTTGTAAGTTGGATTCCTAGGTATTTTATTCTCTTTGAAGCAATTGTGAATGGGAGTTCACTCATGATTTGACTCTCTGTTTGTCTGTTATTGGTGTATAAGAATGCTTGTGATTTTTGTACATTGATTTTGTATCCTGAGACTTTGCTGAAGTTGCTTATCAGCTTAAGGAGATTTTGGGCTGAGACAATGGGGTTTTCTAGATATACAGTCATGTCGTCTGCAAACAGAGACAATTTGACTTCCTCTTTTCCTAATTGAATACCCTTTATTTCCTTCTCCTGCCTAATTGCCCTGGCCAGAACTTCCAACACTATGTTGAATAGGAGTGGTGAGAGAGGGCATCCCTGTCTTGTGCCAGTTTTCAAAGGGAATGCTTCCAGTTTTTGCCCATTCAGTATGATATTGGCTATGGGTTTGTCATAGATAGATCTTATTATTTTGAAATACGTCCCATCAATACCTAATTTATTGAGAGTTTTTAGCATGAAGGGTTGTTGAATTTTGTCAAAGGCTTTTTCTGCATCTATTGAGATAATCCTGTGGTTTTTGTCTTTGGCTCTGTTTATATGCTGGATTACATTTATTGATTTGCGTATATTGAACCAGCCTTGCATCCCAGGGATGAAGCCCACTTGATCATGGTGGATAAGCTTTTTGATGTGCTGCTGGATTCGTTTTGCCAGTATTTTATTGAGGATTTTTGCATCAATGTTCATCAAGGATATTGGTCTAAAATTCTCTTTTTTGGTTGTGTCTCTGCCCGGCTTTGGTATCAGAATGATGCTGGCCTCATAAAATGAGTTAGGGAGGATTCCCTCTTTTTCTATTGATTGGAGTAGTTTCAGAAGGAATGGTACCAGTTCCTCCTTGTACCTCTGATAGAATTCGGCTGTGAATCCATCTGGTCCTGGACTCTTTTTGGTTGGTAAACTATTGATTATTGCCACAATTTCAGCTCCTGTTACTGGTCTATTCAGAGATTCAACTTCTTCCTGGTTTAGTCTTGGGAGAGTGTATGTGTTGAGGAATTTATCCATTTCTTCTAGATTTTCTAGTTTTTTTGCGTAGAGGTGTTTGTAGTATTCTCTGATGGTAGTTTGTATTTCTGTGGGATAGGTGGTGATATCCCCTTTATCATTTTTTATTGTGTCTATTTGATTCTTCTCTCTTTTTTTCTTTATTAGTGTTGCTAGCGGTCTATCAATTTTGTTGATCCTTTCAAAAAACCAGCTCCTGGATTCATTAATTTTTTGAAGGGTTTTTTGTGTCTCTATTTCCTTCAGTTCTGCTCTGATTTTAGTTATTTCTTGCCTTCTGCTAGCTTTTGAATGTGTTTGCTCTTGCTTTTCTAGTTCTTTTAATTGTGATGTTAGGGTGTCAATTTTGGATCTTTCCTGCTTTCTCCTGTGGGCATTTAGTGCTATAAATTTCCCTCTACACACTGCTTTGAATGCGTCCCAGAGATTCTGGTATGTTGTGTCTTTGTTCTCGTTGGTTTCAAAGAACATCTTTATTTCTGCCTTCGTTTCGTTATGTATCCAGTAGTCATTCAGGAGCAGGTTGTTCAGTTTCCATGTAGTTGAGCGGTTTTGAGTGAGATTCTTAATCCTGAGTTCTAGTTTGATTGCACTGTGGTCTGAGAGAGTTTGTTATAATCTCTGTTCTTTTACATTTGCTGAGGAGAGCTTTACTTCCAAGTATGTGGTCAATTTTGGAATAGTTGTGGTGTGGTGCTGAAAAAAATGTATATTCTGTTGATTTGGGGTGGAGAGTTCTGTAGGTGTCTATTAGGTCCACTTGGTGCAGAGCTGAGTTCAATTCCTGGGTATCCTTGTTGACTTTCTGTCTCGTTGATCTGTCTAATGTTGACAGTGGGGTGTTAAAGTCTCCCATTATTAATGTGTGGGAGTCTAAGTCTCTTTGTAGGTCACTCAGGACTTGCTTTATGAATCTGGGTGCTCCTGTATTGGGTGCATATATATTTAGGATAGTTAGCTCCTCTTGTTGAATTGATCCTTTACCATTATGTAATGGCCTTCTTTGTCTCTTTTGATCTTGTTGGTTTAAAGTCTGTTTTATCAGAAACTAGGACTGCAACCCCTGCCTTTTTTTATTTTCCATTTGCTTGGTAGATCTTCCTCCATCCTTTTATTTTGAGCCTATGTGTGTCTCTGCACGTGAGATGGGTTTCCTGAATACAGCACACTGTTGGGTCTTGACTTTATCCAATTTGCCAGTCTGTGTATTTTAATTGGAGCATTTAGTCCATTTACATTTAAAGTTAGTATTGTTATGTGTGAATTTGATCCTGTCATTATGATGTTAGCTGGTGATTTTGCTCGTTAGTTGATGCAGTTTCTTCCTAGTCTCGATGGTCTTTACATTTTGGCATGATTTTGCAGCGGCTGGTACCGGTTGTTCCTTTCCATGTTTAGCGCTTCCTTCAGGAGCTCTTTTAGGGCAGGCCTGGTGGTGACAAAATCTCTCAGCATTTGCTTGTCTGTAAAGTATTTTATTTCTCCTTCACTTATGAAGCTTAGTTTGGCTGGATATGAAATTCTGGGTTGAAAATTCTTTTCTTTAAGAATGTTGAATATTGGCCCCCACTCTCTTCTGGCTTGTAGGGTTTCTGCCGAGAGATCCGCTGTTAGTCTGTATTTTCTTATCTGTATTAGTTAGGGGTGGCTAACTGCTGTAACAAATAGATTCCACAGTGTATAATGACCCTAACACAATAGAAGTTGATTTCTCACTCTTACAGACAGGTCCAGATGACTCTAAGTTAGTGAGGTGGCAGCAGTGGAGGGCTCTGCACTACATAATTATTTAGGAATCAGGTTGATGGAGGCTTTGCTGTTTCTACCCGTGGCTTCCAAGGTCCCCGTGGGTGTTAGCATCCATGCTGCAGAAAAGAAATGATCACGGAGTTGAATAACAAGGGAGATTTTATAGACCAGGCCTTGAGCTAGCACAGTCCTAGTCACATTCCTTGGTTGGAACTCAGTTTATATGGCCACATTTAACTGTATGGGAGTCTGAAAAATGTGGTCCAGCTAAGGACCCAGAGGGAAGAGAAAATGGGTTTGGTGAACAGCTAGAGATGATCACATCATATTTAGGATATGTGTGATACCTCTGTATCCTTTTAATTAAGTTGCCATTTTTTTCTTCTACTTGTTTGTGTTGGCCTCTTTTATACCTTAATGATTTGGTGTTTTCATGATAGCCATCTTTAAAATAGTAGAAGAGATAAAAAGTGATTATTATTTTCTCAGGAAAATTGGGCCGATTTCCACCTATGATGCATCATCACCAGGCACCCTCAGATGGCCAGACTCCTGGGGCTCGTTTCCAGAGGTCTCACCTTGCCGAGGCATTTGCAAAGGCCAAAGGATCAGGTGGAGGTGCTGGAGGAGGAGGTAGTGGAAGAGGTCTGATGGGGCAGATTATTCCAATCTACGGTTTTGGGATTTTTTTATATATACTGTACATTCTATTTAAGGTAAGTAGAATCATCCTAATCATATTACATCAATGAAAATCTAATATGGCAATAAAAATCATTGTCTACATTAAAACTTCTTATAGTTCATAAAATTATTTCAAATCCATCATCTCTTTAAATCCTGCCTCCTCTTCATGAGGTACTTAGGATAGCCATTATTTCAGTTTCACATAAGAAATGTTTACTCAATGTTTAAGTGTTTTGCCCCAAAATTCACAACTAACAAGGCAGAACTAGGACTTGAACATGGATCTTTTGGTTCTTAATCCAGTGAGTGATACAATTCAATGCACTCCCCTGCCAAAAAAAAAAAAAAAAAAAAAAAAATTAACATCTTTACAGGCCGAAAAGGAATAAAGATTTTCTAAGAAGAGCTTTTATTATTGGGATTGGCACAGTGATTTCCAAATAGCCATTGTAAGGCCAAATAATGACACCACTTTATCCTGCTTGTTTCTCCACAGGAATTTGAGATGCTGTTTTTAATATTATCTCCAATAATTCTCCTGAGACAGAACTGTCCCTCCTGAAATTAAGCCTGATATTTCCTAGCTCTGGGGAGACATGGGTGTAGGTTCTTTAAAGCAGACCCCCAGTTGAGTTCCACCTCCAGGCAGGCCTTTGCAGGCCCCTGGCCCCTGTACTGTGAATTAGAGGCAGAAGACTCACTTTGCCCTCCTGTCTAGAGTAAGCTTAAATAAGATGAGTTCTTTCTCGCCCAGGAATTCTGCAGGCAGTCTGAGTTGAGTCTGTAAGAATGCCCATAGGGTGCCACACATCCCTTTTAGATGAGCATGAGCAAGGAAGATGACCTGTAGGGAGATTTTTTTTCCCTTGTGTTAGAAATGCTTGTTCTCTGGTGCCATAAAGAAGCAGCACTTGGACGTACATTTAATTTCCTCAGCAAGGCCATTTTTACTTTCTGCAGAAAGGGTACACTCACCAGCGGTTTTGCCGTGAGAGTACACCGAACAAAGGAGACAGGGTCATTTATAACCTGACGCATCCACCTTACTGCTGTGTCCGGTTTCCATTGGCTGGAACGGGACCTCACATTCTGTATTTGTGCTGATTGGCTAGCGACTTAGAACTTTTTAAAAGAGGCAAAGGCAGAGGAGAACAAAGGAAGGAGGAACTAACTTGTGGAATGCTGAGAAAGGTAAAAACACCTTCATATAAGGAAGAGGAACAGGCTATGACCTCATGCTTGCTTTGACAAGTATAAGCATGCCAGGGCAAATATTTAGGCTAAACTGTGGGAGCTAAGAACAGTTGATTTCTTTATTATGGCTAGCAGATATCTAAGCATGTTAGCACAGGTTCTTGAATAAATTTTGCTTCTAAGAGAAGTTACTATTCCTAATTATATGGGGAGTAAAGTCTCTTTGAAGAGGAATCTCTACTTTACTTTTTACACTTGTGCTTTGATAATTTTTTACTTGGAAACCTCATCTTTTGGCGTTTTTTTTTTTGAGCTATTTCTCTAGTGTTGCTATTTGATTTAATTTCTGACCTTCATTTTTGTTTCCCAACCTTTTTTTTTTGTTTGATATGAGGGGTTCCGTGACTGAGGTTCTGAGCTGCTGTTGATGTGCTATACCTCCTTCAATTCTCAGCTCTCAAAGGGGAAAACAACTGCAGAGGATGGGAAATGCTATACTGCCATGCCTGGAAACACCCACAGGAAAATTAGTAAGTGCCCCTTCTCAGTATATTCACAGGTATTATTGAGTCAAACAGTTTTATAGCCACAGGGACAGTCTGTGGGTATGTCTTAAAAGCATTTCTCAAAAGTTGCTCCAAATTAATCTGATGCCATTTTTGCCTTAGTTCTGGGAATTCTCAAAAGTTTTTATATTGATGTACTACAAAAAGTACAAAACCACCAGTTCACTTTTTAATATATTAGCAAATTAATATTTCACGTTTGGAATGACTTCTCATTTTCAGACTTCAAAATATTGGTAGCAGAGAGCAAAATGGAGGCAGAGAAATCATATCATTGCCAAAATCAGTTTTTAGATCTAGGGAAAGAGTTTAACACTTCTGACTGTTGAAACATGGCCATCAGATACTTATTATACAACTAGAATATTCTGTGTTCTCTAGGGAAATTAAATTTATACAACATGGCTCTTTCCTCAAGAATTTATAGACTAGAATGTATGTCAGGAAAAATAACCTATGAAAAATTTACCACCCGCAAGTAAGAGACTTGGCAAAAGCATTGCAGGAAATCATGTTTATCTGGGCTGTAACTGCTTTTTGGATTTACTTCTGGATTTTCTATGGAACTAAATATCCCAGTCACACTTTGCATCCTTTTTGGAAATCTTAAATATTCACAGAATCCTTTAATAAAACTGCGGTGTTCTTCAATGAGATAGTAATGGGAAGTTAGACAGTACAATAGCTTTTTAAAAATTTGTGGTCTCTTTAACAGGTTTAGGGAGTTGTCTCTGATGGTTCTTAGATTGTTGCTTATTTTTTAGCCAGTTTTGAGCTTGCTCAACTGCAAGAAAAACTGAAGGAGACAGAAGCAGCCATGGAAAAATTAATCAACAGAGTGGGACCTAATGGTGAGAGGTAGGTTTTCATGTAACGGGACTCAGACTATTTCTCATTTAGAAAATAAATTCAGGCTGGGTGCAGTGGCCGAGGCCTCTAATCCCAGCACTTTGGGAGGCCGAGGTGGGTGGATCATCTGAGGTCAGGAGTTTGAGACCATCCTGACCAACATGATGAAACCCTGTCTCTACTAAAAATACAAAATTAGCCAGGTGTGGTGGTGCACACCTGCAATCCCAGCTACTCGGGAGGCTGAGGCAGGAGAATCGCTTGAACCTGGGAGGCGGAGGTTGCAGTGAGCCAAGATTGTGCCCTTGCACTCCAGCCTGGGCAATGAGAGCGAAATTCTATCTCAAAAAAAGAAAAGGAAAGAAAATTCAAAATTATGCTTTTTTTTTGATAAATAGACCACTTATTTTCATTTTATGTACTGTCAGTTTTTAAATTGTAAATATGTCATTTACGTATTCTTTATCATTTAACATTTTTCATTCACATACTGTCAAGCAACCTCAGTTTTCAAAAGTTTAATGTGCAAATTATTGTGAAAGTGAATAAATTTGTGAGTAATTCCTACAGGGTGAAATAACTATGATTTAAGAAAGAAAATTTCCTAGCTGTCTAAAATAGGTATAATTTTAAGTAAAACCAGGTTATTGAACATGATGCTTTCTACTTGAGACAAAATGAGAGAAGAGAGCAAGTGTGATCAGATTAGGCATTCATGTTTGTGTCGACTGTGCCAGCACAGAATTACATGTAAATTAGATGTTAAGAGCCAAACTGGCCGTTTAGAATGTCCCAAAGGGAAGACACTCCTCTTGCTACCAGGCTGGCTGAGGATCTGAAAGGGTGGCTTCAGGAGGTTGATAGAAGTGGACAACAACCAAGAAAACGTGGATATAGAAAGGCCAAGAAGGAAAAACCAGAATGTAAGATGGAGGACAAAGAAGGGTTCAGTTTCAGCTAGGTCTTCTGGCAAGGATGGAGGAAGAATATTAGGGGGAGTGGCAGAATCCCATGCAGAAGGAAGTGTTGAAATGTCCCTCCTGCATCTTTGTGAGCACACTGTAGTTTTTGCCCCAGGAAATCGTTGCTCTACCTTAGCCTCTATTTGCCATCCTTTATAGTACTAGTACGCTGTGCCCTTTGTTCACTGGCTTCGGCCTTGCCTGTCTTTGGCTGGATATGAGAGAGTGGGTATCCTCAGATTGCAGCCTCCTGACCTGGCATTTCCCTGCAACGTCTGCAGTGCTGTTGAAATGACATTTGTGAGGATGAACCTTGCCTGTGTGGGCCCAGGAGCCTTGACCTTCTTTTTGCCTGGAAAGCAGAGTTACTATCTGGAATGTTCCCCAAAGTTGTATAGATACATTAATATATCTGTGTGAGTGTACAATAATAATTGATATTTATTGAACAATTACTAAGGACCACACTCTGAACTAAATGCTTTATATACATTATCTAACATATGACTATTTGTATGAGTGTGACTAAACCAATTTGTGCAATTATACTTTTCTGGCCTTTTCTGCCCTAACCCTGTAGCTGCCACCTACAGTCTGGGTGGAGAACTACCCAGGCTATTATAGACAGTTATGTCTGAAAAAATATCTTTACACTCACCTGGGCCATTGGCAACCCCAGGCCACACCTAAGGGTCATGAAAACCAGGAATCCAACTTACAAGGGATGTGAAGGACCTCTTCAAGGAGAACTACAAACCACTGCTCAATGAAATAAAAGAGGATACAAACAAATGGAAGAACATTCCATGCTCATGGATAGGAAGAATCAATATCGTGAAAATGGCCATACTGCCCAAGGTAATTTATAGATTCAACGCCATCCCCATCAAGCTACCAATGACTTTCTTCACAGAATTGGAAAAAACTACTTTAAAGTTCATATGGAACCAAAAAGGAGCCCACATTGCCAAGTCAGTCCTAAGCCAAAAGAACAAAGCTGGAGGCATCATGCTACCTGACTTCAAACTATACTACAAGGCTACAGTAACCAAAACAGCATGGTACTGGTACCAAAACAGAGATATAGACCAATGGAACAGAACAGAGCCCTCAGAAGTAATATCACACATCTACAACTATCTGATCTTTGACAAACCTGACAAAAACAAGAAATGGGGAAAGGATTCCCTATTTAATAAAAGGCTTTGGGAAAACTGGCTAGCCATATGTAGAAAGCTGAAACTGGATCCCTTCCTTACACCTTATACAAAAATTAATTCAAGATGGTTTAAAGACTTAAATGTTAGACCTAAAACCATAAAAACCCTAGAAGAAAACCTAGGCAATACCATAGGCGTGGACAAGGACTTCATGTCTAAGACACCAAAAGCAATGGCAACAAAACCAAAATTGACAAATGGGATCTAATTAAACTAAAGAGCTTCTGCACAGCAAAAGAAACTACCGTCAGAGTGAACAGGCAACCTACAGAATGGGAAAAAATTGTTGCAATCTACTCATCTGACAAAGGGCTAATATCCGGAATCTACGATGAACTCAAACAAATTTACAAGAAAAAAACAACCCCATCAACAAGCGGGCAAAGGATATAAACAGACACTTCTCAAAAGAAGACATTTATGCAGCCAAAAGACACATGAAAAAATGCTCATCATCACTGGCCATCAGAGAAATGCAAATCAAAACCACAGTGAGATACCACCTCACACCAGTTAGAATGGCGATCATTAAAAAGTCAGGAAATAACAGGTGCTGGAGAGGATGTGGAGAAATAGGAACACTTTTACACTGTTGATGGGACTATAAACTAGTTCAACCATTGTGGAAGACAGTGTGACGATTCCTCAGGGATCCAGAACTAGAAATACCATTTGACCCAGCCATGCCATTACTGGGTATATACAGAAAGGATTACAAATCATGCTGCTATAAAGACACATGCACACATATGTTTACTGAGGCACTATTCACAATAGCAAAGACTTGGAACCAACCCAGATGTCCATCAATGATAGACTGGATTAAGAAAATGTGGCACATATATACCATGGAATACTATGCAGCCATAAAAAATGATGAGTTCATGTCCTTTGTAGGGACATGGATGAAACTGGAAACCATCATTCTCAGCAAACTATTGCAAGGATAAAAAACCAAACACCGCATGTTCTCACTCATAGGTGGGAATTGAACAATGAGAACACTTGGACACAGGAAGGGGAACATCACACACTGGGGCCTGTTGTGGGCTGAGGGGAGTGGGGAGGGATAGCATTAGGAGATATACCTAATGTAAATGACGAGTTGATGGGTGCAGCACACCAACATGGCACGTGTATACGTATGTAACAAACCAGCACATTGTGCACATGTACCCTAGAACTTAAAGTATAATAAAAAATATATATATTAAAAAAAAAAAGAAAACCATAGATGAAACCTCTGTGGGCAGGGCCCCTCACTTGGGAGACCCAACTCCTGGAGCTTGGGGTAAGAGACAACATGAAGATATTTTCTCATTATTATTTACTGTTGAGTAACAGACTCCCTTAACTCAAATTACTCCACCATTCAGTCCATGTACATCATCTATCTATAGCCCAAGCCAGGGATGCAATACTATAACCTCTAACTACTGTCTGTCCTCTTCATCCCAGATTTATGTCTCCTTTTTTATGTGCAAAGGCAGAGAAGCTGTCACTGTACTACATCTGGAGTTGTACTGTCTCATTTCAGGGGCCACAGGTTCTAGCCCAGAATGTTTACTTTTTATAAGATGCTGAGTTGTGGACTTCTTGGGAACATATTGATTGAAGCCTGCAGCATGGCAAAGGTTGTGTAATACTTTTTCCACCCTACCTCTTAGGAACTGGGGAGCAACTCTTCCCACTGAAGAAAGAGCATGGCTCCTGGCTCTTTACCAAATCTCTCATTTTTTAGTTCTCAGATGTGATTTTTCTCTCTGACACTCCTTAATCCAACACCTTTTATCCTTACAGGTAGGCCCTATGGGACTTATGCCCTAAAGACTGTAAGGGCTAGGCAGCCCATATGTTCGTATGTTTTCTGTTGGTATAACTGAATACCACAGACTGGGTAATTTATAAAGAACAGAGGTTTATTTAGCTCACAGTTCTGGAGGCTGTGAAGTCCAAGGTTTACAGGCAGGTATCTGTTGAGGGTCTTCTTGCTGCATCATCATATGGTGGAAAGGCGGAAGGGCAAGCAAGCACATACAAAAGAGGGAGGCACCAGAGGCCAGCCCACTTTATAACAGCCCATCTTGGGATAACTAACCCACTGAGATAATGGCATTAATCTGTTCATGAGGGCTCTGCTCTCATGTCCTAATCACTTCATAAAGGTGCCACCTCTTAATACTGTTGCAATGTCAATTAAGTTTCAACATGAGTATAGGAGGAGACAAATATTCAAACCATAGCACCATGTTTCTACATGTTTTCCCTTTTATACTTACAGTTTGTGTCCTTTAACCTCATTTTCTGTGGCATTTGTTCTTTTACAAGTCTGTGCTCCTATGATTATTAGAAAAGCCCAAAATATTCCAGTATTTGTTCTGTCAGATCAAAATTGTATCACATCTCTGGGTTTCTGGGGGTAAAGCAAAAGATACATTCATTTACAGCCTCTTAAGTCCTTTTATATAATATTCCATAACTGCAGGATGTTGGCTTAAAATTAGAAAACTCTGCAGTTTCTGAAACTTTACCTTAATGCTTAAGTAAGAACAGAAATATGGGGAAAGTTTTTGATATTATCTAATCAAACTTTTCAGAAAGCTTTTACTTGTGAGGGATGTAGGTCTGTACACATATTTAAATAATGAAACCTAGAATGTCAGTCTTGTGCCATGTTCTGTCTGATATTAAGCACAGTGTTTAACTCAAGGACACTGAGACTAAGGAAAGGGTCTAGGAATCAGAAGTGAGGTGTCCTGATTTCTGTCCTTACGATTTTGGTCCTCTCTTCCCCCACAACACACACATATTTTGACTCTGAAGGCTTTTGAGGAGGAATGTAACGATTTGCTGTGCTTTAGAAAAATAACTCTTATAGTAATACATAGAGTGACTACATGCTAGAAGATTATTGAAAAGGTTTCAGTAAATGGTAATAAATAGGCCAGTGAGAGTGGAAAAGTGGGGATAAATTAAGGGGACCTAATGGAAGAAAAAAATCACAGGCTGTATTCCTTTCTGGAATAGCATGCCAAGTTGTAACAATTTACCTGCTAGAAGCATGGTATGGTCAAGCAGTCCATGAGAAAAGCAGGGAGGGTGCAACCTCTGGCAGCAAAGGGCCCTGGCAGGCATGTCAACTATGTATGTGGGACTACAGATTTTTGCCATGAATTCCTGGAATGTAAACTCTTTGAGGCTAGACTTAGCCTATTTTGTTCACTGTGTTTGTATAGTCGGTACTAAGGAAATACTTATTGAATTAGAATACCTATTCTTTTTTTTTTTTTTTTTTTTTTTTTTTGAGATGGAGTCTCTCTCTGTCACCCAGGCTGCAGTGCTGTGGTGCAATCTCAGGTCACTGCAACCTCCACCTCCCAGGTTCAAGTGATTCTCCTGCCTCAGCCTCCTGAGTAGCTGGGACTACAGGCATGTGCCACCACGCCTGGCTAATTTTTGTATTTTTAGTAGAGACAAGGTTTCACCATGTTGGCCAGGCTTGACTCGAACTCCTGACCTCAGGTGATCTGCCCACCTTGGCCTCCCAAAGTGCTGGGATTACAGTCGTGAGCCACCGCACCTGGCCCCTATTCACTTTTGATTAAGCATTTGTATGTTTTTGTGGTAGAAGAGGAAATCATGACCATTCCTTTACTTCATTTCCTGACCTCTATATATAGAGCCCACTGGACATATCTCATAGATACCTACCTTTAGCCTCATCATATAATAAATATCTGTTGAATGAATGAATGTCCAAGATGGCATTTGTCATCTATCCCCCAACTGAACCTATTCTACCTTTAATTTCCATCTCAGCAAATGGCTCCACCATCCACTTGGTTGCCCAAAGCAGAAATTAGATGTTATCCTTGATTGACCTTTTATTTTACTTCCCATATCTCATCAATCACCATGTCTTGTCATTTCTTTTTAATTAATAAGTCTGTCTTGCTGCAAAAGACTGTAGGCTCCGTGAGGTCAGGGATTATCCTTCTTAGCTGTAGAGCTTAGCACAGGCACATAAAAGGCTCCAAAAAAGTGTTAGATGAAGTAGAAGAGTGAGTGAGTGAGTGAGTGAGTGAGTGAGTGAGTGAATGAATGAATGCCTATTTTTGATACAGGTCATAACTATCTCATGTGATTTCTCTGATTTTGCCTCCTTTCGGTTTTCTTTCTGTTTTCCAAACAGATTATCTCTTTTGTTTTAATCCTTCAACAGGTCCCTTTTGATTTTGAAAAAGCACAGAATCTTTAACGTAGCTTACGTGGTCCTGAGTGACCTGGCCTTGTGTACCTCTCTTGCTTTATCTTTCTTCATCACTCTCTCTGTGGTCCAGCCACACTGACCACTTGCTGTTCCTCTAAAATACCTGTACCTTTTTGCCTCTGGACTTGGCATATACTTTTTCGTTTGCCTGGGTCCTCTCTCCCCCCCACAACACACACTTATTTTGACTCTGAAGGCTTTTGAGGAGAAATGTCATGATTTGCTGTGCTTTAGAAAAATAACTCTTACAGTAATATATAGAGTGACTACATACTAGAAGGCTATTGAAAAGGTTTCAGCAAATGGTAATAGGCCAGTGAGAGTGGAAAAGTGGGGGCAAGTTAAGGGGACCTAATGGAAGAAAAAAAATCACAGGCTTTATCAGGGTTCCTTGGTTGCAGACAGCCAACTCTGGCTAGCAAAAAATTTGGAGTACGAGGAGGCAGAATTTATTGGAAGAATGTGGGGTAGCTCATAATATCAAAGGAACAGCTGAACATGCAGGTTTCAGGAAGGGTGGTAACCAGAGCAGCTTTGGGCATTTAGGGAGCAGGAACAAAGGGAAAGTCTCCTCATGGACTGTTGCCTGGATGAATTTAATGTCAAAAGTATTCAGTTCAGGCTTCACTGTGTTCAAGGTCCAAAAGTACAGTTGGCCCAACTTGGGTCCTATATCTATCCCTGAATCAATCCCTGCAGTCAAGGGGATGGAATGTGATAATTAGTAGTGGGTCACATGGCCACCCTTGAAGGAGAGGTAGGGGATGGATGGCTCACGTTAATCTTTGCACTATGAATGGAAGAGGAGTTGGTTCCCCAAAAGAAAACTACTAACCAGATAAGAGTAATGGAGAAGAATAAATAAATAAAGATGCATTGGAGATTTACAGCCAAACTGGAAGGAAGATTATGGCATTAACTAAGATAAAATACAAAAGAAGGGAAAGTACATAAGGCTTTGGAGTTGGGATCATAAGTTCAGCACTGAGTGTGTCTGAGATGCCATCAGAACATCCATGTATAATATGAAACAGCAATAGGAAATTTGGTTCTTGAGGTCAGAGCAAAGGGCTCAGGTTTGGAAGTCATTGGCTGGGAGTGAGAGATGGAGAAAATCTCCATGGAGAAAGGTGAGATCACCAAATCTTTGAGGCATATCAGACTCTGCTGCAGTATCCTGAAATCTTTTACTGGTCTGAGTTCTGTTCTAACCATGAATGGTATTAACATCTATTTAATTCTCTGTACTTAACTCTTGCATTTGGAACTTGATGATTCTGCTGGGCTTATAGAATTCAAAATTCTGGTGAGGGTGTTTCCCAACTGTGACCTTTTATTTTTCTATCATCTTAGAATCTTCCATACTCAGCCTCTTCTGGTCTTCCTGTTCATGCAGTTGCTCACGATCCTGAGCCAACTGGGACCTGGTTTCAAGAGGTGAATTTAAGGTTAACTTTAACATAGTTCCAAGGCCTCCAAGTGGAAATGCCCAGGAAATAACTGGAGTTGTGAGACAGGAATTTGTGTGGAAAGTCAAGATTAATAGTAGCATTAGGACATCTTTTCTATAGAGGTGATGGTCTAATCTGTAATACTGGGTCAACTTCCTGAGGGCATGATTATAAGAATGGAGAAATGAGAGTCCTAGGATTGAGCCTTGGGAAAATTGTTTTGGGAGGTGGGTGGAAAAAAGTGAGTCAGGATCATAGATAAAAGGAATGTTTAAAGAAGTGGGAGAATACAAATGTCTCAATAGCTAAGGGAGGAGGAGGTTTCAAGCAGAGGATGGTCTATGGTATAGAGAAGTCAAGAAGAATGAAATGTGAGAAAAAGACCCTTGGACTTAGTAAAGTGAAAAATCACTTAGGAGTAAAAGTTTTTGGCCGGGCGCTGTGGCTCACGCCTGTAATCCCAGCACTTTGGGAGGCCGAGGCGGGCGGATCACGAGGTCAGGAGATTGAGACCATCCTGGCTAACACGGTGAAACCCCGTCTCTACTAAAAATACAAAAAATTAGCCAGGCGAGGTGGCTGGCGCCTGTAGTCCCAGCTATGCGGGAGGCTGAGGCAGGAGAATGGCGTGAACCCGGGAGGCGGAGCTTGCAGTGAGCTGAGGTGGCGCCACTGCACTCCAGCCTGGGCGACAGCGAGACTCCATCTCAAAAAAAAAAAAAAAAAAAAAAAAGTTTTTGCAACTTTTCATAAAATGATAGAACGGAATCCAGAATTCAGGGAGGTGGAAGAAAATAATGGATGGTGAGGAAATGGGGATCAATCAAACTAACACGTAATTATTGAGCTCTTAACAGTGATCATGGCATTGTGTCTATACTGTTGTCAACTTAATTATTACTGCCCTCTAGGAGTATCAAACCAAGTTGAGATGATAAGGAATCCATGAAAATATTCATTGCAATAAATTCAGAAGATGTCATAAGGTAGACCATGATTAATGCATAATGCATGATATGGACAATAAAAGTATACTTGTTAAGAGTGAAATGAGGATGCTTTGGTTTGGAGTTCTCTGGGAAAGCTCTTGTCTGTTCCTGCTTCCTGTAGTCTACCCATCCTCTTTTAGGATAAGGGCTTCTGATTTCCCATGACTTAGGAAACAGAATTAAGACTGTTTCATTCATTGAAGATCAGAATGCCCTGCGTACAGTCTGGAAAAGTAACATGTGCCGCCTGAAGAGACAAGAGTTTGTGATAAGCAGGTAAGCTCTTCTAGTCTGCCCCAGAAGCCTCACACAAAGTGGGTTGTTTTAACAGTAAGAAATAGGGGTTATGTGGGACACACGAGCAGTTGTGGAGAGTCAGGACTCCTGTACTGATGGGAAGAATAGAGCTATCAGAGGCCCTGTAAGTATAGGATTTTAGCTGAATGTGGAACAGACAGGCATCTTTAGTAGTTCATGGCTTTGAAGCTGCTTGGTGTGGAAGAAGTGGAGCTCGTGGTGTTTTCCATTTTCCTTTCACTGAGGTCTCTGGTAATGTTCATTTTCCTCAGTTACTATCTTCATGTTGAAAGGAGAAATACTCTTTTCATTTTCCTTATTAGTCATTAAGGCTAAAGTTAGGCTGAGCAGAGAAATGAATGCAGGCTCAGAACTGGCTGTTAGAAAAATAGACGACCATCTCCACAGGCTAGTACATAGTACATCATTTTTCCTTTGTAAGTGTTGTATTAACTTGTGTCTGGGTTTTAAGAAGAGAATAAGTAGCCTCCATTAAATCCTGCTGCTAGATAAAACTGGTCTCAAAGCAGATAGTTATCAGTCTTCTAAGTAGGACCTTGTTTGCCTGTCAGTGTGATGCAGTGCTTTCCTCTAGAAGAAAACAATCAAACTGTTATCCTTGAGTCTCATGTTATTTTTGCAGATATTTGCCAGAACCACACAAGTAAGTTGGGATTCAAACCAGGTTTTCCAAAATGTGGAACTTGAGCACTGTGCTTCAAGAATTGCGCAGAATGCAATCAGAAGCCTGGGTGGTTTTAGTTATAGTGCTTCATTAAGTGGCAGTATGAATATATAAACAATATTTCTCCTCTGTGGACCCCAGTTTCCTCAATTTCTCTAGTCTAGATGATTGAATTTTCAAAATCACCCACCTCTGAAATTTTAGAATATATCCTTATACCTGCACACGTAAATTAAGCCTGGTGATTCTAGTAGCATAAATTTTCCCCGGTTGATGCTAATGGCCCAGAACGTTTTCCTTTGATGACCTTGCTTCAGAGAAAAGTGGCTTGTAGTAAATGGAGTAATGTGAGTAGCAGTGAAATTGTTAGGCGATTAGAGAATCAGGGCATTGACATACCCTGAAAAAACACTGAACTAAAAGCTGAGACATCTGGGGTCTGGTCCTAGTATTGACATTAACTAATTTCGGGACCTTGGGCAATCACTTGATCTATTCTGGGCTTTAATTTTCCCATTTATAAAATCAAAGCATTGAACTAACATCTCTAGTTCCCAGCTATGCAGTTGGAGGATCAATTCCTAGAATAATTATCTGCTGCAATTGCACTTTCTATTCCAGTACCCAGACAGACCATAGTGATGTTTACGTCCATTGCCTAGGAGTATTTACCACTAAATGGTTGGATTGTCTGATATTTCTAAGCAGAGCACAGACTGTGACTTCTGACCAAGAGAAACGGTTGCTACATCAGCTCCGAGAAATCACCAGGGTCATGAAAGAAGGAAAATTCATTGACAGATTTTCTCCAGAGAAAGAAGCTGAGGAGGCCCCTTACATGGAGGACTGGGAAGGTAAACAGTGTCTTCTCATTTTTTTGTTAGCTGTCAGCCCAGAAAAGAGATGTTACAGATTTTTAAAAAATCAGCTTCATTATTGAGGTATAATATATAAACAGTAATATTAACCAGTTTTAAATGTACGGTTGGATGAGTTTTGACAAATATATAGAGTTTGTGTAATCACACCGTAATTTTGATAAAGAACATTTCCATTACTCCAGAAAGCTCCCCCTTTGTAGCTAATGCCCTTCTCCTGCCCCTGGAAACAACTGAAGTGCTTTCTGTGCCTTTAGTTTTGCCTTTTCTATGTAAGTGATCATACTGCATATACTCATTGGCTTCTTTGATTTAGCGTAATACTTTTGACATTCATGTTTGTTATTGAGTGTATCTGAAATTTTTTTCTTGCTGAGTAGTAGTCAGTTATATACTTATACCATAATTTGTTTGTCCATTCACCAGTTGAGGAGCGTTTGGGTTATTCCTAGCTTTGCACTCTTATGACTCAAGCAGCTATGAACTTTTGCATATGAGTCTTTGTTTGAACATATATTTGTATTTCTTTTGAGTCTATACCTAGGAGTGAGATTTTTGGGTTTAAGGTAATTGTATATTTAACTTTGTTTTTGTTTTTCAAGACAGTCTCACTTTGTCGCCCAGGCTGGAGTTTGCAGAGCAATCTCAGCTCGCTGCAACCTCTACCTCGTGGGTTCAAGTGATTCTCCTGCCTCAGCCTCCCAAGTAGCTGAGATTACAGGTGCCTGGCACCACACCTGAATAATTTTTGTATTTTTAGTAGAGACGGAGTTTCACCATGTTGGCCAGGCTGGTCTCAAACTCCTGACCTCAAGTGATCTGCCTGCCTCAGCCCCTCAAAGTGCTGGGATTATAGGTGTGGGCCTGTGGGCCACCGCGCCCGGCCACCTGTTTAACTTTATTAGAAACTGTCAACCTGCTTTCCTAAGTAGGTCTACTTTTTCCCTTCCCACCAGCGGTGTATGGCAATTAAAGTTCCTCCACATCCTTGGTAACACTTTGTCTTGTCAGTCTTTTTAATTTTATCCATTCTAGTGAGTGTAAAATGATACCTTAATTGTGACTTTAATTTACCTTTCTCCAGTGACTAATGATGATGAACATTTTTTCATGTGCTTATTTGCCATCTGCATATCTTTGAAGTGTCTGTTCAAGTAGTTTGCCAATTTTTAAATTGGGTTGATTAGGTTCTTGTTGGGTTGCAAGAGTTCTGTATATATTCCGAGTACAAATTCTTTATCATTTCTGTATTTTGCAAATATTTTCTGTAGCTTGCCTTTATATTTTCTTAACAGCATCTTTCAAAGAGTAGAAGTTTTAAATTTTGATGAAGTCCAACTTAACCATTTTTTTCTTTACGATTTACTTTTTTTTTTTTTTTGAGACAGAGTCTTGCTCTGTCACCCAGGCCGGAGTGCAGTGGTGCCATCTCGGCTCACTGTAAGCTCCACCTCCCAGGTTCATGCCATCCTCCTGCCTCAGCCTCCCTAGTAGCTGGGACTACAGGCGCCTGCCACCATGCCTGGCTAATTTTTTTGTATTTTTAGTAGAGACGGGGTTTCACCATGTTAGCCAGGATGGTCTTGATCTCCTGACCTTGTGATCCACCCACTTCGGCATCCCAAAGTGCTGGGATTACAGGTGTGAGCCGCCGTGCCCAGCCCATTTTTTATGTTCTGTTTAAGAAATATTTGGCTAACCCAAGGTTTCCCAATTCCCATGTTTTCTAGAAATTCTACAGTTTTAGCTTTTACATTTAGGCCTGTGATCTATTTTGAGTTAACCTTTATAGATGATCTGAGGTGTCAGGACTGAGGTTTATTTTTTTCCATATCAAATACCCAATTGTTCAGCTTCTTTTGTTACATTTAATTAGCTTGACATTTGCTTGACAAACCAGTTGACCATGCGTGTGCTTGTCTCTTCTGGGCTCTATTCTGTTCCATTGATCTGTATGTCTCTACTTGTACCAATAGCACACGGTCCTTATTACTATGTCTTTATAGTAAGTCTTTATTTTGGGTAGTTCAAGTTGTTCAGATTTTTTTTCCCAAGATTATTTTGGCTATTTCCTTCACAATTTCAGATAAATTTACAATCAGTTTGTCAGTTTTTATGAAAAAGCCTGATGGGATTTTGATTGGTACTGCTTTGAATCTTTAGATCAATTTGGAAGAATCAATACTGTAACGATATTGAATCTTCTAGTTCATGAACGTCTTATATCTCACCATTTATTTAGATCTTTTAAAAGTTCTCTCAGCAGTGTGTTGTAGTTTCCAGTGTATAGGTCTTGCATATGTGAGGGATATTGGTCTGTGATTTTCTTTTCCTGTAATTTCTTTGGTTTTGATTTCAGGGTAATCCTGGCCTCATAAAATGCATTGGGATGTGTTCCTTTTTCTATTTTCTGGAAAAGTTTCATAGAGTTACTGTTATTTATTCCATAAAAGTTATGTGGAATTCTCCAGTGATATTATCTTGGTCTGGAGTTGCTTGCTTGCTTGCTTGCTTGCTTGCTTGCTTTCTCTTTTTCTTTTTCTTTTTCTTTCTTTCTTTCTTTTTTTTTTCAGGGTCTTGCCCTGTTGCCCAGGCTGGAGTACAGTGGCACGTGATCATGGCTCACTGTTTGATCTCCTGGGCTCAAGCAACCCTCCCACCTCAGCCTCAGTAGCTGAGCCTACAGGCATGCACTACCATGCCTGGCTAATTTTTTAATTTTTCAATTTTTTAAATTTAAAAAATTAGCCAGGCGTGGTGGTGCATGCCTGTAGGCCCAGCTACTCATGCCTGGTCTTGAACTCCTGCTCTTAAGCAATCTTCTGGTCTTGGCCTCCAAAATGCTGGGATTATAGGCATGAGCCACTGTGCCCAGTTGGCCTGGAGTTTTATTTGTGGGAAGATGTCTATGAATTTAATGTATTTTATGGATATAGTGCTATTCGTTCATTCACTTCTTGAGTGAACTTTTGATAGTTTGTATCTTTCAAGGAATTTACATAGTTCATCCATATTGTCAACTTTATTGTTAGTATAAAGTTGTTCATAATATAGTCTAATTATCCATTTAATATACGTAAGATCTGTAGGGTGCACCCTCTTCTATTCTTGATCCTGGTAATTTGTTTCTTTTCCTGATCAAGCTGCCCAGAGGTTTATCATCCTTGTTGATCTTTTCAGAGAACTGTAATTTGGTTTCTTTTTGTTTGTTTGTTTCTTATTTCATTGACTTGTGTTTCTTTCTTTCTGGTACTTTTGGTTTAATTTGCCTTTCTCTAGTTTCTCAAGGTGGAAGCTTAGACCCATGATCTATATTTTTGGCCATTATTTTATTAATGATCTGTGTCTTTTTGTCTCTCTTTTATTTCCTTCTGGCTCTCCAGTTGCATATATGTTTGATATTGCCCCACAGGTCATGTGAGTTCTGTTCACTTTTTTTTTTCTTACCATGCTTAGTTTTGAATAGTTTTTCTTGCTATGTCTTCAGGTTTATTGATGTCTTCTTCTACTGTATCTAACCCACTGTTAATCTTATTCAGTGTTTTTTAATTTCAGACATTATCATCTCTAGAAGTTTCATTTGGGTCTTTTTTATGTCTCATTTATTCATATTTTACTCTCTTAAACGTATGATTCATATCTGTAATAGCTTTCTTGACTGTTTTAATTGCTAATTTCATCATCCATGCCATTTCTGGGAATGTTTCTGTTGACTAATTTTTCTCCTGGTAATGGGTCCTAATTTCCCTTTTTTTTTTTTTTTTTTTTTTGCATACCTGGTAGGTTTTGATTGGATGATGGATATTACAAATTTTGCATTGTTAGGTGCTGGATTTTGTTTTAGTACTTTAAATAGTGTTGGATTTATTAGGTTAGCATTTAGGTTAGTAGAAAATAGTTGAATCCTTTAAAGCTTTAACATTTTTTAGTTTGGGTCCAGAACAGCCTTTATTCTAGGGCTAATTATTTAGTTATATGCTTATACCATAATTTGTCCATTCACCAGTTGAGGAACATTTGGGTTGTTCCTAGCTTTGCACTCTTATGACTCAAGTAGCTATGAACTTTTGCATATGAGTCTTTGTGAATATTTATAGCAGCTTAATTTCAATAGCCAAGAACTGGAAACAACCCATATGTCTTTTAGGAGGTGAATAAACTGTGGTACATATATATATACACACTGTGGTATACACTTAGCAATAAAAAGGAATGAACTATATATACAACAACCTAGATGAATTTCCAGAGAATTATGCTGAGTAGGGGGAAAAAACTAATTCCCAAAGGTTACATACTATATGATTCCATTTATAATTGACGTGGCAATATTATAGAAATAGAGGACTGATTAGTTGTTGCTAGGAGTTAAGAGGGGAATAGGAGTAGGGAAGAGTGAGTGTGCCATGAAAGGGCAACATAAGGGGTCCTTGTGGTGATGGAAAATGTTCTGTATACTGACTATATCAATATTAATATCCTGGTTGTTATATTGTAGTACAGTTTTGCTAGATGTTGCCTTTGGGAGAAACTGGATAAAGGGTACATGGGATTTCTGTATTACTAGTAGTAGTATTTTTTAAAGGGATAGAGTCTTAACCATGTTGCCCATGCTGGGACTCAGGCGATCCTCCCACCTCAGCCTCCTGAGTAGCTGGGACTCCAGGTGCATGCCACTGTGCCTGGCTTGTATTATTTCTTATATGCTGCCTGTGAATCTATAATTATCTCAAAATAAAAAAGGTTAATTTTTTTAAAAGCAACACAAATTCTAAGGGAAAAGATTGTGTAGCTTAAATACATAAAACTTTTACCTTCTGCAGATCAGAGAATATCACACAGTTTAAAAGACAAGAATAAACTGGAAAAATATTTATAACAAATATGATTGAAAAAAGTTATTATTATTTTTTTTGAGACAGAGGCTTGCTTGCTTTTTTGCCCAAGTTGGAGTGCTGTAGCTTGATATCTGCTCCCTGCAACCTCTGCCTCCTGGGTTCAAGTGATTCTCGTGCCTCAGCCTCCCAAATAGCTGGGACTACAGTCATGTGCCACCATGCCCAGCTAATTTTTTTAGTTTTAGTAGAGACACGGTTTTGCCATGTTGACCAGGCTGGTCTTGAACTCCTGGCCTCAAGCGATCTGCCCACCACAACCTCCCAAAGTGCTGGGATTACAGACGTGAGCCACTGCGCCTGGTGGATATATTTAATATATTAAAAAGTTCTAGAACTAATTTAGAAAACACTGATATCCTTACAGATAAGCAGTTCACAAAGAGAAAAAAATGCAACCAGCTATGAAACATATAAAAAAGTATTTTAATCTCACAAGTAATTAATGAAATGAAATTCAGTTTTTCCTCCAAATTGCAGTTTTCGTTGTTCCCCCTCTACCTACCTTTTAGGTTTTGTTGAAATTATATGGAATTTTAACTACAAGTGATATTAATTTTTAAAGATATTAACCTTTTCTGTTTTAAGTGTCATTTCTTAACGGCAGCATTAAATTCCTAGGCCACATTATCAATACTTATTTTATGTTGATAATTCTTACAGATTTCATTCTTAACCACTGTCTCATATATAGCATCATCTTTCTTGAATTTAAATTTTGACTAATTTTTGTATTTGTCAAGAATACCTTTATATTTTTCCCATATAGTATTGTGTACTGAATACTTGGATATCTGTACATATTTTTCACCTGTACACAAATTGTTTGGCTGGGTATAAAATCGTTGATTATGCCATTTTCCCTAAAAAGTTTGAAAATATTGCTTCATTCTCTACTTTAATTTGATATTGAAAATGAGAAATCTTATCCTGGTCTGCTTCTTTTTCTCAATAGGTTACCTGTTTTTAGTTAGGTAGCTTGTTTGTTTTCTGTCTGGAAATTTGTTTTATTTTCTTTCTTTTTTTTTTAAATTATATTTGGGGTATTGGTGTCTTTTTTATTATTATACTTTAAGTTCTAGGGTACATGTGTACAACGTGCAGGTTTGTTACATAGGTATACATGTGCCATGTTGGTTTGCTCCACCCATCAACTCATCATTTACATTAGGTATTTCTCCTAATGCTATCCCTCTCCTAGCCCTCCATCCTCCGACAGGTCCCGGTGTATGATGTTCCTCACCCTGTGTCCAAGTGATCTCATTGTTCAGTTCCCACCTATGAGTGTTTGGTTTTTTGTCCTTGTCATAGTTTACTGAGAATGATGGTTTCCAGCTTCATCCATGTCCCTGCAAGGGACATGAACTCATCCTTTTTTATGGATGCATAGTATTCCATGGTGTATATATGCCACATTTTCTTAATCCATTCTATCATTGATGGACATTTGGGTTGGTTCCAAGTCTTTGCTATTGTGAATAGTGCTGCAGTAAATGTACGTGTGCATGTGTCTTTATAGTAGCATGATTTATAATCCTTTGGGTATATACCCAGTAATGGGATTGCCAGGTCAAATAGTAATTCCAGTTCTAGATCCTTGAAGAATTGCCACACTGTCTTCCACAATGGTTGAACTAATTTGCACTCCCACCAACAGTGTAAAAGCCTTCCTATTTCTCCACATCCTCTCTAGCATCTGTTATTTCCTTACTTTTTAACGATTGCCATTCTAACTGGCGTGAGATGGTATCTCATTGTGGTTTTGATTTGCATTTCTCTGATGGCCAGTGATGAGCATTTTTTCATATGTCTGTTGGCTGCATACATGTCTTCTTTTGAGAAGTGTCTGTTCATAATCCTTTGCCCACTTTTCGATGGGGTTGTTTGTTCTTTTCTTATAAATTTGAGTTTTTTGTAGATTCTAGATATTAGCCCTTTGTCAGATGGGTAGATTGCAAAAATTTTCTCCCATTCTGTAGGTTGCCTGTTCACTCTGATGGTAGTTTCTTTTGCTGTGCAGAAGCTCTTTAGTTTAATTAGATCCTATTTGTCTGTTTTGGCTTTTGTTGTCATTGCTTTTGGTGTCTTAGTCATGAAGTCCTTGCCTATGCCTATGTCCTGAATGGTATTGCCTAGGTTTTCTTCTAGGGTTTTTATGGTTTTAGGTCTAACATTTAAGTCTTTAATCCATCTTGAATTAATTTTTGTATAAGGTGCAAGGAAGGGATCCAGTTTCAGCTTTCTTCATATGGCTAGCCAGTTTTCCCAGCACCATTTATTAAATAGGGAATGCTTTCCCCGTTTCTTGTTTTTGTCAGGTTTGTCAAAGATCAGATAGTTGTAGATGTGTGGTGTTATTTCTGAGGCCTCTGTTCTGTTCCATTGGTCTATATCTCTATTTTGGTACCAGTACCATGCTGTTTTGGTTACTGTAGCCTTGTAGTATAGTTTGAAGTCAGGTAGCATGATGCCTCCAGCTTTTAAAAATCTGAATTTGGTTGGATAATCTGCATGTGTCTGAGCGTGTACGAATGTGTGGATTTTTCATAGTATTTTTGCCAAGCATTTAGCGAGTCCTTCCCATCTGAAGACTCAAGGCTTTCTTCAGCTAAAGGGTATTTTCTTTTATAATCTCTTTGATTATTGTTCCCATTTACCTTATTTTGTTCTCTCATTCTAGAATTCCAGTAATTCTGAGATTGGATATTGTTGATAGTTTGCCATGTAGCTTATCTTTTTTCCTCATAATTTCCATTTCTTTATCATTTTATCT
Organism: Homo sapiens; assembly: GCF_000001405.40. Taxonomy (NCBI): domain Eukaryota; kingdom Metazoa; phylum Chordata; class Mammalia; order Primates; family Hominidae; genus Homo; species Homo sapiens. The sequence continues at coordinate 8,118,966 of NC_000011.10, read as the reverse complement.
TTGTGCTGGGAGAATTCCTCAACTTGGACTTTTAATATACTAATTTGGTTTTCAGCCATGTCCATTTCAATCTGCTATTTTTTCTTTTTTTTTTTTGAGATGGAGTCTCACTCCGTCTCCCAGGCTAGAGTGCAATGGTGTGATCTCAGCTCACTGCAACCTTCGCTGCCTGGGTTCAAGTGATTCTCATGCTTCAGCCTCCTAAGTAGCTGGGACTACAGGTGCCCGCCATCACTCCTGGCTAATTTTTTTTGTATTTTTAGTAGAGACAGGGTTTTGCCATGTTGGTCAGGCTGGTCTCGAACTCTTGACCTCAGGTGATCCAACTGCCTAAGCCTCCCAAACTGTTAGGATTACAGGCGTGAGCCACTGCGCCCAGCCCAATCTGCTGTTTTCTTGCCTGAGCATTAATTTTTTTTTTTTTTTTTTTTTTTTTTTTACAATTATGGCTTTCTATTCAATAGCTCCTTTTTATTTCTTGTTTGCTACCTTTTTAAATTGAAGCCTGGCTAGGTTTTATCAATGCAGTATCTTCTTGAATATTATTAGGAATATCAATCATAAATTGGTTGATGTTAACGCCTTTATCTCCTGCACTAACTATTTTATTAGAGACTATTGGCATTGTTTGTTTTGGTTAGTTTTGTTCCCTCATTTTGAACTGCTGGTTTCCTCATAGGAGCAGTGAATTTTTGTTGCTTGCTTATATTTTTAATGATGGTCTTTTTTTTTTTTTTTTTTTGAGATGGAACCTTGCTCTGTCATGCCCAGGCTTGAGTGCAGTGGCAGGGTCTTGGCTCACTACAAGCTCCACTTCCCAGGTTCACGTCATTCTCCTGCCTCAGCCTCCCAAGTAGCTGGGACTACAGGCGCCTGCCACCACGCCTGGCTAATTTTTTTTAATTTTTAGTAGAGATGGGGTTTCACCGTGTTAGCCAGGATGGTCTTGATCTCCTGACCTCGTGATCTGCCCGCCTCGGCCTCCCAAAGTGCTGGGATTACAGGCGTGAGCGACCGTGCCCAGCCTTAATGATGTTTTTGAGTAACCAGTAATGATGGCTTACATAGGCTACCTCAGCAGTTTTATGAGTTATTATTTGATTTTCCTCAGTGGGCCTCTTCCTCTTTTAAAAAGAAAATTATTTATTTTAATTAATACATAAAATTATATATATTGATGTTTTGATATATGTATACACTGTGAAATGGCTAAATCAAGCTATTTAACATACACATTACCTCACATACTTAAGGATTTTTGTGGTGAGAACACTTAAAATGTACTCTGTTAGCAATTTTCAAATATACAACATACTGTTATTAACTATAGTCTGTATAATGTATAATAGATCTCTTGAACTTATTTATTCCTCCTATCCAGCTGAAATTTTATGTCCTTTGACTAGCATTTCCCTGATCCCCCTAGCTTCTGATAACCACCATTTTATTTTCTTAATGAGCTTGACCTTTTTACACTCCATATGTAAGTGAAATCACGCTGTATCTGTCTTTCTGTGCCTGGCTTATTTCAGTTAACATAATGTCCTCCAAGTTCATCTAGGTTGTCATAAATAACAGGATTTCCTTTTTGAAAGCTCAGTAGGCCAGGTATGGTGGCTCACGCCTGTAATCCCAACACTTTGGGAGGCCGAGGCAGGTGGATTGCTTGAGCCTAGGAGTTCAAGACCAGCCTGGGCAACACGGTGAAACCCTGTCTCCACAAAATACAAAAATTTGCTAGGCATGGTGGCATGTGTCTAGTCCCAGCAACTTGGGAGGCTGAGGTGGGAGGCTGAGATGAGTCCAAGAGGTGGAGACTGCAGTGAGCTGAGATTGTGCCACTGCACTCCAGCCTGGGTGACAGTGTGAGACCTCGTCTCCAAAAACAAAAAAATGCTAAGTACTATTCTGTTGTGTATATGTGCCACATTTTCTTTATTCATCCATTCATGGATGTTCAGATTGATGCTATAGTGTGGCTATTGTGAATAATGCTGCAGTGAACATGGGAGTGCAGATATCTTTTTGACATACTGATTTCTTATCTTTTGGATATATATCCAGTAGTGGGATTACTGGATCATATGATAGTTCTATTTTTAATTTGTTGAGGAGCCAGTATACTGTTTTCCATAGTGACTGTACTAGTTTACATTCCCAGCAATAGTATATAAGGGTTCCCTTTTCTCTACATCCTTGCTGACACTTATTATTGCCTTTTGTCTTTTTGATAATAGCCATTCTAACAGATGTGGTGATATTGTGGTTTAAATTTTCATTTCTTGAATGTTTAATGATGTTGAGCACTTTCTCATATGCCTGTTGACTATTTTTCTGTCTTCTCTTGAGAAGTGTCTATTTATATCCTTTGCCCATTTTTAAATTGGGTTTTCTTTTGCTGTGGAGTTGAGTTCCTTATATATTTTGCATATTAACCCATTATCAAATATATGGTTTGCAAATATTTTCTCCCATTACATAGATTGTCTCTTTACTGTTGTTTCCTTTGCTGTACAGAAACTTTCAGTAATCCCATTTGTCTATTTTCACTTTTGTTGCATGGGCTTTTGGTGTCATATCCAAAAATATCATTGTCCAGACCAATGTCATGGAGCTTTTTCCCTAGGTTTTCTTCTAGTAGTTTTACAGCTTCAGGTCTTATGTTTAAGTCTTCAGTGCATTTTGAGTTGATTTTTGTAAATGTGAGGTGTGAGATGAGGGTCTAATTTCACTGTTTTGCATGTGGATATCTAGTTTCCCCACACCATTTATTGAAGAGATTGTCCTTTGACCTTTTTGTGTTTGTCCTTTGACCTGTGTGTGTGTGTGTTTTATTTTTTGGCATCTTTGTTTAAAAAAATTGACCATAAATATGTGGATTTATTTCTGGGCTTTTATTCTGTTCCATCAGTCTGTGTGTCTGTTTTTATGCCAGTAACATACTGTTTTGATTACTATAGCTTTGTAGTAGATTTGGGAATCAGGTACTGTGATGCCTCTGGCTTTGTTCTTTTTGTTCACAATTGCTTTGGCCATTTGGGGTCTTTTGTGGTTCCATATGAATTTTAGAATTGTTTCTTCTATTTCTGTGAAAATTGTCATTGAAATTTTGATAGGGATTGTATTAAATCTGTAGATTGCTTTGTATAGTATGGACATTATAGCAGTATCAATTCTTCCAATCCATAAACGGGACATCTTTTCATTTTATTTGTGTCTTCTTCAATTTCTTTCATCAATGTTTTATAGTTTTCATTTCAGCCTCCCAAGTAGCTGGGATTACAGGCATGCACCACCATGCCGAGCTAATTTTGTATTTTTAGTAGAGGTGGAGTTTCACCATGTTGGTCAGGCTGGTCTCGAACTCCTGACCTCAGGTGATCCACCTGTCACAGCCTCCCAAAGTGCTGGGATTACAGGCGTTAGCCACCGCACCTAGCCTATACTTTCATATATATATATATGTATATTTGTGTTACTGAATAGTGTCCCTTGCTCTCTACTTGAAGAACACCCTTGAGCATTTTTTATAAGATAGATCTTGTGGGGATAAGCTCCTTCAGCTTTTGTCTGGCAGAGTCTTTGTTTTTTCCTCATTTCTGAAGGAGAGCTTTGCCAACTACAATATTCTTGGTTGACCTTTTTTTTTTTTGTTTTTGTTTTTGTTTTCCGTAAGCATTTTGAATATATTATCCCACTCTTTTCTGGCCTTTAAGGTTTCTGCTGATAAATCTGTTAGAACTCCCTTATAATGTGATGTACTTTTTTTCTTTTGCTGCTTCCAGCATCCTCTCTGTCTTTGATTTTTGATAGTTTGATTATAATACTTCTTGATATAGTCTTACTTGAGTTCAGTCTGATTGGAGACTTTTGACCTTCTTGTACCCAGATATTTATAACTTTCCCCAGATTTGTATAGTTTTCTGCTATTATTTCTTTAAGCTTTCTATCCCTTTGTGTCCGTCTCCTCCTTCTTGAACTCCAGTTCCCATAAATCCCATAAGCTTGCTTTCTTTTCATTCTTTTTTTCTCATCCAACTGTATATTGTCAAATAATCTGTCTTTAGATTCAAAGGTTCATTCTTTTGCTCAATCAGTTCTGCTGTTGATACTCTCTATTGCATTTTTCATTTCAATTCTCGTATTTTTCAGCTGTAGAATTTCTGTTTGATTTTTTTAATATAATTTCAATCTCTCGTAAATTTTTTGTTTTAGTTATTTATTGTTTTCCTGGTTTCCTTTAATTGTTTCTCTGTATTTTCTTGAAGTTCGCTGAGTTTCCTTAAAACAGTTATCTTGAATTCTTTGTCAGGCAGTTCATGTGTCTTCTTTTTCTTTCTTTCTTTCTTTTTTTTTTTTTGAGATGGAGTTTTGTTCTTGTTGCCCAGGCTGGAGTGCAATGGCTTGATCTTGGCTCACTGGAACCTCTGCCTCCTGGGTTCAAGCGATTCTTCTGCCTCAGCCTCCTGAGTAGCTGGAATTACAGGCGCCTGCCACCACGCCCGGCTAATTTTTTGTATTTTTAGTAGAGATAGGATTTTACCATGTTGGCCAGGTTGGTTTTGAACTCCTAACCTCAGGTGATCCATTTGTCTTGGCCTCCTAAAGTGTGTGAGATTACAAGCGTGAGCCATCACGCCCGGCCGTATCTTCATTTCTTTAGAGTCTGTTCCTGGTGCTTTATTTTGTTCATTGGTGGCAACATGTTTCCTTGATTGTTCTTGATCCTCATGGCTATGCATTGGTATCTGTGCATTTGAAGAAGCAGGGACTTTTGCTGGTGAATGGTTTTTGCATTCTGGCTTTGTCCGGAAAAGCCATTCACCAGTCAGCCTGCCCAGAGATTCTGGGTAGGCCATTTGGTGTGATCTGCAGGTAGACTTGCTGGTAGAGTCCTTAGGCAGGGTGGCCTGGTGTTGAGTCCGTGGGGTTGGGGTTGAAGCCTGGATCCACTGGGGTGTACCTGTTGATTGGATCCTCAGGCATGGACCTGGTGCTTGTATCTTGTGCAGAGAGGCTATCCCAAAGCCTAGGTCCACAAGGGCTGACCTGGGGCTGGACTGGGCCTTGAGCCTGGGTCTTCAGAGATTGGCCAGGTGCTAGGATGAACCTGGTGCCCGGGTCCACTGAAATGGGCCTGGAGGCTGAGTCTGATGGATGTGTCTGAAGGCTAGGTTCATTAGGGCTGGCTTGGGTCCTGGGGCCACAGGCCTCAGCCTAGAACCTAGGTCCATAGGGGCAGTCCTGGGGTTCTGAGGGCCGGCCCAATGCTGGGGTCTACTGGGTTGGGCTAGACCCAGGGTCTGCTGGATTGTGGGAATGCAGGGGCCAACCTGAAGGTGGGGGTGGTCATAGAGACTAGCCTGGCACTGGGCAGGCCTGGAGCCTGTGTCTGCAGGCTCCAATTTGGGTGCCATTGGGGTGCCAATTTGGCACTGGGCTATGTGGGCAGACCTGGCTCTGGTTTTGTCTGGAACCTAGGGTGGGACTGGATTCTGGGGCCATAGTTGCTGGCCTGATGCTGGGTGGGCCCGGAGTCTGTATCTGCAGGGGCCAGCATGGAGGCTGGGTCTGTGGGTGCAGGCATTATGACTAGGGATGCAGAGCTGGACTGAGGCCTGGTGTTGGGGTAGGCTGAGAGCCTGAGTCTGGGTGACCTTCCCTCTTAAAGCAGATAGTCATGAAAATTCAAAGATAAGCTTTGTTCTAAGTGTGGGAAGACAGGGACATGCCAGCAAATGGACTTCTTTTAAGCATTCAGTGGCTGGGAGCTGACTAGCAAGCAGCTTCTCCAGATCCTATCCTTGACCATGGTGGCTGAGGGTCTTGGGTTAGCTAAGCTCCACTTTACCTAGCATTCCATCCGCAGTAAGTTAAGCCTTGGAATAAAGACTGCATTGGCAAAATTCTTAACATACTACTGTGAGTGCTGGTGAGGGTGTCATAAGATGGACAGTCTTTATATCACTGGTAGGATTGAAAATTTATACCACTCTTCTGGAAAGTAATTTGGCACAGTATAAAAAAGGCTTTTATAATGTCCATTCCCTTTGGTCTAGTTTTCATATTTATAGAAGTCTATCTTAAAGAACTAGGGAAGTGGACATAGATTTATATTAAGAAATCTTAACTTGTATACTACTTATAATAGGGGAAAATTGGAAAGAATCTAAATGCCCTAGAAAAGAGGACTAGTAAATCATGTCAGTTATGTAGCTATATGATGAGATATTTTGCAACCAACTTTCAAATGCCTAATGACATGGAGAGATGCTCATGATATAATGTTGAATTGAAAAACATCAGGATATAACCTTTTATACACAAATATGATCCTTCTTTTTAAAAAAGGGGAATAAGAAAATACATGTTGGCCGGGCGCGGTGGCTCATGCCTGTAATCCCAACAATTTGGAAGACCGAGGTGGGTGGATCACCTGAGGTCAGGAGTTTGAGACCAGCCTGGCCAACATAGTGAAACCCCGTCTCTGCTAAAAATACAAAAAATTAGCTAGGTGTGGTGGCATGCACCTGTAATCCCAGCTACTCAGGAGGCTGAGGCAGGAGAATCACTTGAATCGGGGAGGCAGAGGTTGCAGTGAACCGAGATTGCACCACTGCACTCCAGCCTGGGCAGGCGACAGAGCGAGACTCCGTCTCAAAAAAAAAAAAAGAAAAGAAAAGAAAAGAAAAGAAAATATATGTGTATATACGGTTAAAAAAAGACCAGAAAAAAGCAAATTATTATGAGTGAAGATATTATGGGTGATTTGTGTTTTCTTTTTTAAACTAGCCTGTATTTTTTTCAAATTTTCTACAAATGAGTCTGTATGATTTTTATAGTCAGAAAAAGCAGTAAATGTAGAAATGTCTCCACACACACCCTACATTGCACCAAAAAAGACTTATTTGTCACAGTTGTAGGCAAAAAATGGTTTACGTTAGGGTTGAATTTGCCAATTATCATAATGGGCAAATGGGTTCTGAATCCTCCAGCTTTCTGCACTGTATCGTGATTACGGCCGCTGGTGCCAGTACTGGTGTGTGAGCTCCAGCACGGCCCATCTGCTGCTCAGGCTTGCTTGGCGGACACAGATTTATTTCATTTAGTTTGGTAATTTGGCAACAGTTTCTCTTTTCTCATTATCCTAGCTGGGATTCAGTACCAGTGTTACTCATTTTGTTTGCCAGTTTGTTGTTTTCTTTTGTTCCATTTTGTGAAGATGAAGAAGCCAACAACAGGAATTCTGTCTTCCGAAAATGCAGTGCTTGTCCTTTCGGGATCTTGGGCATGCCTTGCTAAAGTGCTCTCTATTTTTGACACTTGCAAGCCATTTCAATTGTTTGGATAAATAGAAAGCTTCATGGTGTATTTTTCAAAGAGCTTAGCATTCCTTTCCTCTCCCCACTCCACCAAGGAAGATTTGGAAATTGTTCCAAATAGAAATTATAAACATTAGCCTGGAGCTGTGCTGTCTCTGTCTGGTTTTGATGCTTTTTTTGTTTTAACTAAAGGCTCATGTTGTTTGTTTAATCTTCATCAGTACTGCAAAAACACATGGTATAAGACTTAACTCTGCCCCAAGCACCCTACACATAAGAAGGGATTTTCATCTGAATTAGTTTGTATTTCAAAGAGCACTGGGATAGCCAGATTGCTAAGAATTTGCTCAAGTAAAACTTTAGAACTATTGGAATCTTAGAGATGTCTTGAATGGATTTGTTAGGATAGGATGGCTGCTGCCTGAGAATCCTCTTTGAACCTGACACTATTTTTTTTTTTTTTGAGGAGACATTCTTTGTAATACTTTGTGCTACTTTTCTCTCTAGGTTACCCTGAAGAGACTTACCCAATTTATGACCTTTCAGACTGTATCAAGCGTAGGCAAGAAACAATCTTGGTGGATTACCCTGACCCAAAAGAACTTTCTGCTGAAGAAATAGCTGAAAGAATGGGAATGATAGAAGAGGAAGAATCAGATCATTTGGGTTGGGAAAGTCTGCCCACTGACCCCAGAGCCCAGGAAGATAATTCTGTTACCTCGTGTGATCCAAAGCCAGAAACATGTTCCTGCTGTTTTCATGAAGACGAGGATCCTGCTGTCTTGGCAGAGAATGCTGGATTCAGTGCAGATAGCTACCCTGAGCAAGAGGAAACCACCAAAGAAGAGTGGTCCCAAGACTTTAAAGATGAAGGGTTGGGCATCAGCACCGATAAAGCATATACAGGCAGCATGCTGAGGAAGCGTAACCCCCAGGGTTTAGAGTGAAAACAGCCAGTCTGAAGTATCCATTACTCAAGTCCCAAGGTGACCTCTCTCTCCTCAGATTTCCTTCTTGGCCCTGTGCCCTGCACTTTCTTCACTGTGTTCAAGTGTCATAGCTATCAGGCCACTATCATGGATATCATGTATCCTTCCTGGTGCTCACACACCTGTCACCTTGTAAAACACGGACATTAGTGTGAACACAGGACAGCTTCGCTCTTTCTCTTCCTGCCTTTCCTCTATCAGAGAAGTTGATCCATTAAGTAATTATGTTTGGTCTATTGTAATTACAGATGGGACCACTCAGGGGCAAAGGTCTGACTCTTCCTGGTAGGTGTAACAGATAGTTCACCTGTGAACGAACATCAGCTTACAGATGATGAGGACTTAAGGTTGCAAGAATGAAGATTTCAGACTCCAAGATCCCTTATTCTTTGGGCCTTGAGCAGGTTAGTAGTCCCCTGGTGAGAAGAGAACATTTTGTTTGTGGGGCTAATGGGCCCAGAGGAGGGTAAGACTCTGCTGTCTAAGCTGAAGCCTCTTCCTCGCAGCGAGGGTCTTCCTAGGAACATTGATGCTGCCTCAGACATCCTCTTTTCTCCAGAGTAGGGAAGACTCCCACTGATCTGAGAATGAGCCCAGAGGCTTGTTTGGGGACTGTTTTACTCTGATACTACCTGGATATCTAGCTTCCTTTACCCCTGTTCTGCTTAACAGAACTGCCAAGCCCAGAAGTACCTTTGCACTCCTGGTTTTCAGTGGACAGAGGAAGCTTTAGATAGAGACTTTAGACCCTGCCCTGCAGAGTCAAGACTTGAGGCCATTGAAGCTGCAGGAAGCCCTGCCCAGGGATGGTCCTGCCATGAGGAGGCTGCAACCCTATAAGAGGGCTCAAGATTGTGAATTCTGCTCCTGCCATGAGGAGCTCAGAAGGCCAGGAAGCCAGCAATAGGGGAGAGAATCTGTGTGCTTATGGACAGTCCTTACCTAAAGCTGTTTCTGAATGTTGCACCCTTTGAGAAATTTCTTCTCAGAACCATAAATTGAAACAAATGAGGACTGATCTTGTATACAAAGTGCCAACTCAAGAGGGAAGTTGGAGTATGTCTGTTGCAGAGAACCAATATAGCAGTGCCCAGGGGTAGAGACCATGTGTTCCATACTCGGATATTTGGGTCTTTTTGAGAGAGCTGGGGAAAGTAGCAGCAACTAGATTAAGACTGGGAGGATTTTGACCAAACTAAAGGCCTTTTCTCCTTACTGCATCTGACGTGTGTCTTCTTGAGACAAGATAGCACCCATGAATTACATCATGAGGTATGTGTGAATTCAGTTTACATGTAAGACCTGAGAGTTCGAAGAGGGCACATTCCCAAAGACATTCCCAGTCATGAAATGTAGAAGACTGGAAAATTAAGACATTATGTAAAGGTAGATATGGCTTTTAGAGTTACATTATGCTTGGCATGAATAAGGTGCCAGGAAAACAGTTTAAAATTATACATCAGCATACAGACTGCTGTTAGAAGGTATGGGATCATATTAAGATAATCTGTCAGCTACTACTAGGCATTTATTGTTAATTGAGTTACAGAAAGTCATTCAAGACTGAGTTTATAGAAAGCATATTGCATCTATCTCTGTGTAGAACATTTGATTCACATTGTGAAGAATGCAGTTTAAAATATACTGAATGCAATCTAGATGTATTGTACACGAAAGGTGAAAAATAACAGGTGCTCTTTACTGTTTAGATAAATTGTTTTCTGTGTTATTTCCCTTCGTTCACTGTGAGGGGTTGATTCATGAGGAGAGCCCTGGGTTCCTGGCTCAGGTTTACTTTTGGCCTTAGGATAGGATTCCCTTATTAGAGATAAATACTGCTGTTCTCTTCTAGCTCATTCATTCATTTAGCAGTCAATTGCTCAGTGCCAGGTGCTAGGAACAGAGGCTCAATCTCTACCCTCAGAAAACTCAGTGTGACGAGAGAGAGCCTGACAGATAAAATGAACTATGACCCTGTAAGAGGGCTCAGGATCGTGAATCCTGCAGGCAGAGAAACATGAGCCATAATCTGTCCCTGCATTTTCTAGCTGTGGAATCTTGGGTCAGCTCCTTAACTGGTCTGAGCTTTGGCTTCAGGGTAGTAAAGGGAGGGGTATTAAAGGTCCTGGTTAAATGAAATCATCAGTGTGTGTAAAACAGCATTGGTTCTAGCTCATACATGATAACCACTCATTAAGTGGTAATTATGTTTTTATTATAAGGGCTATGCTGTAATTCAGACATGGGCCCAAAACTACAGGAAAGATAAATTGTTTTTGCTAAAGTATTGCCAAGAAACTTCACAGTTTCTTGGGAGGTGGGCCTTGAGGCATGCAAAGAACTTCTTCAGGTAGGCAAAGAAGAGAGGACACTCTTGGCAGAAAGAGTTGTTGAAAAAAGCAGTAGGGTGTGAAAATACATGGATGTTCAAGTATTTTGGTGAGGCTGTTATGTAAAGTGTTGTTGGTCTTTGGGGAAAATTGGCTTATGGAAATTCCTGCCAGAAGTACTAAGCCCTTATGGTGGTTCTTCCTGCCCTAGCTCTTGGTTGGTTTATATATAAGGAATATATTTGTGTATTTATATATCAGACATTTGGATGTACCTTTCAGTTATTTAGGATTTAGAAAATTCTTTTTGGATTTTCCAGAATTATTTTATCCTTCGGGGATGACAGTTATATGTGTATATACAACCCAGGATGACAAAATCATGGGTCCGGTTTTTGTTGCCAGGGCTGCTGTCTCTTTTCTTGCGGTCTTCATTTCTCACGAGGGTGCTGGGAACTTGATCAGTCCCCTGGCCTTTTGGCACTGTGGCAGAGTACACAAGTCATACCTTTATGGACAGTTAGCTCACAAAACAACTGCATAATCTGGGATCACTCTTGGTAAATCAGGTGGGTGGTGCAGCCAGGAGATCCCCTTTCCTGGTCACAACAGGAGCACAAAGAAACCATTATCTCCATGACTAGCTCCAGAAGCTGGGCCCAGGGAGTCGTGATGAGGAGTGGAGGTGTATTTGGCCTGTAGAATCAACGGCCTTTGAGAACCATACAATGCACCTTATATGGCTTGGGTGATCAAATAACTTAAGGTCCAAATTCAAACACTTTGGAAAAAGGGAGCTTTAATATAATTATGCCAAGGTGATAGGCATAAACTAAGACTGTCCTGGACGTAGGGTCACCCCTGTCTATAGCCATTTAAGATTTTTGAACCTGATGACTAAACAAACAAAACCCTCTTTCCTTTTTAGAATATCCTGTATGCGCTATTTCCCACCAGAGGCAGAGGCCACAGGAGATAGGCCATGGTTCAGGTAGGAAATGCTCTTGGTCACATCAGAACTCTAGATCTGGGGGAATAAACAAACCCGAATTATTACCACACTCTCAAAGTTCTCTTCAATCTGGACTATTTGTATTCCAAAGAAAAATTTAGTGCTTTAGCTATTCAGCAATATTGAGAAAAAACATGAACACATTTATGACTTTGCCTTGACCATTGACTTTTCTAAAATGTGCTTCCTTTTCCTTTATTTCCCTTTTTTTATACAAAGAAAATAGCCCAAATTTCTCCTCTTAGGTCATTCCTTAACCTCTCAGAGAACCAGTTTCCCCATGAATTGGGAATAATGCTCTATTTACAGGGCTGTTTGGATTAAATAAGATGCTGTTTATAAAGTGTCTGTGCCAGGGCAAAGCATGTGGTAGGTGCTTGGTGACAGCATGATCCCTGTCACCACTCTGTCAAGTCCAGTGTTGCTGAGATGTCACACCTGACACCCTCTAAGGCTACCCTGATTGCCAGGAGTGGCCCAGGGCCCTTCTGCAGTCTCCGGGTGCCTTTAGTTATAACCTCTTGTCTGGGTCAGACCATTAGCTTTCATGTCTGCTTCTAGCTACAACTGTAGCCTCCCTTCCTTTTGCCTTCAAATCTGCCACAGCTGCCCGGCAACAAAAAAAGATTCCTAAGCATCTCGAGGTCCTGTTTAAATGGGTTAGGGTCCAAGCAAGCCCTGAGACATCAAGTGGTTGGGTCTTTTATACCTTTTTCATCTCTACAGCCCTGTTCTCTTCCTAAGGCCAGGCCCACAGGGGATACTGAGGAACCACCAGCCCCTTCAGGCGGCACAGCAGACCCTGAAGAGAACTGCTCTAACTTAAGTACCTTCTGACTTCACCATTTTTCCAGCCTCTGGGTGTGGTTCTGATGAACCTTAAACTTGAAAGGCACAGGCCAGAGGAAGGACAGTGTTGACCCACATGTCATTGGTGAGGTTATGATCTCTTTGCTATTATCACCTACTTACCCACCTGAGGCTCCTAGGAAACAATGAATGAAAGGTATAGAAAAAAATTAGGAAGTAAACAGGGCTTTTTTCCCCTTTATGAAAAAAGTACACAGAAGTGTTGAAACGATTCAAGTTTAATTTGTTGATATATGTGTGTACTTAGACAAACACTAAATTCTACAACATACATAATGTCAACATGGGAAAATACCAAGTTTGTCATTGCACATACCAATAAATAAATACATTTGCTCCAGAATACCAAAGTTTATTCAAAAAGTCAATAAAAGCACAGTTTTGCAAATTTGTCTAAAACGCCAGATAATCTTGAACAAAAATAAAATGTCTGACCACTCCAAAATAGGAAAAGACAATCTTGTGCAAATAGACATACACAGTCTAGGCATTGTGAAAACTGGCTGTGTTCCCAGCAAGAGATACTGCACCCTCCTGACCGAGCAGTCAGGCTTCCCTTTCCTAGCCATCCTAAGTTGCGTTCTAGGAAACTCTGGATCTCAGCCTCATCTCCAGCTTTGCCTGGACCTTGCTAGGGGGAGGGAGGGACAGGAGCACAGAGGAGGAGAGGAGAGGGATGTGATGTCTTTCTTAGGAAAGAAAAAAAGGCACAGTGATGAGCTATAAAGGTAGTGATGAGAGCTATAAAGGTAGTGATGAAAGCAAGGAATAATTTTCATTCACCCCAAATCCTACGGCAAGCTTTGACAATGTAACATCTTTATCTTGTGGTTAGGAAAATGGACCTAGAGAGATTATGTGGTTTGCTCAAAATCACATAGCTACTAAGTGCAGTAGTGCTTTCTATAAGACCAACTTGCCTTTCCACTTGGTTGGAAAATTTAAAAACCAAACCTGTCGTAATCTATCTGTTCTGCCCCTCCCGCCTGTATCATGAGATGACTGAAAATTCCAGGTGGCCATAAACTCAAACAAGAGCCTAGCCCTTGGCTTATTACCGGTGGCTACTACAAACCTACAGACCAGAGCCCAGGGTAGTATAGAGTCCCAACTCTGGGCCCTGACTGCAGGTCATTCAGGTCCCAGTCACAGTGAAAGCAGACTCATTCAGCTATCTGGAGAAGTGTAATCTGAGGGCCACTTGGCATCCTGAGTTAACACAGGGATGCCGCAGCTGGGGTAAGGAATTAGAGAAGGGAAGGCCAGTGTTACTGCAGTAAGAGAAAACCAGGAAGTCCATCTAGGAGATGAAATTTGTGCTTGCATAACAGAGCCATGGAAATGGCTATCCCAGCATCTCCCCTCACTGCAGACTCCATTGTAAGCAAAGCATGGACCTTTTTCTTTGAAACCAACCCTGTCACTTGTTAAATTTAGAATTACCTCTAAATGCTAAGTTTATTTAAGAGGTAAATGTCCTGCTATTTTCAGAATGGAGAAAAAAAAAAAAAAACAACCTTCTGCTTCTAGAATTTTGTGCCCTACTTGTCACTGAAGGAGGCAGGCTCCGAAAGTTCTCTTATAGCTTCTGATTATCACAGTCCTGGCTTCCAACACCTGTGTTCGCCATAGATCTGGACATTATGTGCTTCCTCTGAACTAGTGTCTTGATTTTTAAGGCACATTCACTAGAGTATGTTCAATTTCAACCAAAAGCATACGTGCAACATACCAGTTTTTTCAGGCAATGCAGAGCGGGAACTGAAAAGCTAACAACATTCTTGGATGGTGTCCTCTGACTCAGAACCCTGAGAGAAAAAGCTGGTATCTTCCCAGGTATACCTTCTGTTCAGAGAGCATGAGATGAATGGACAAAATCCACAGGCGATCATAACAACATCCTTATTCCTTTCCTACTCATTCATTCTCAGGAATATAATCACAATTAAGAAACCTCAGTTGATTGCTGATTGCCCTTTTCCCCAAATAAACACACAGACGCACAGACACACACATACACAGACGGACACAGAGCACCTTGGAGCCAGAAGGAAAGGAAAGCTAGACTTGGAGAAGAGTTGGGGAAGTGAACTTCACCACTCTGCAGAATTGTTCTGGGGCAGAGGGTGTAGAGTTTTGGGGTGTGGCCCCAGAAGCGGTTACAGAGAAGCTGCCTAAACTCACTCCCAACTGCCCAATACCATTAGGGACTGCTCATTCTGTCATTAATTCCCTGCCCAAAGACCATCCATCCAGGTAGAGGGTATGAAGGGCAAGAACTCTTATTGTGGGAGAGGCTGAACCCAGGTGGTTTCTAGGGGCCCTAGCAGCTTTACGAGTCCATGCACCCATGGCCCCAGGGCCAGTGGTCAAGGAAAACCAGGATCACCAGGAGTGCACTCAGCTACTGATGCTTGTCATTCAATGCCTGACAGAGTTTTGTGGCTGAGGCTATCCTTCTCCACACTTAGGCTAGAAAGCTCAGCCTGTCTTTCCTGACTCCACCAAAAGATCCAGCCAACTCCCTCTTTGTGCTACAGGAGAAAGCAGAGGCCAAGAGTTTTCCTTTGTGCTTCTGATTTTTCCACTGCCACCGGGGTCTCCGTCTCACCAGAACTCAGAACCAGCCTGTTCTATCTTAAAATCATAGATCCAGAGAAATAGCTTGACCTAACATTAGAGACGATCTAGTTTCCATCATCTCAAATGTCACCATGAAGATCTCTTCTCCTTAAAGGCAGGGAAGGGCTAAACTGGAACTATAGAAAGGAGGATGGCACCATGGTATCTCGCCAGCGCTGGCACAAAGTTCTAGTGCCCTCTAGAAACTGGACCATGTTGCAAAAGCTAATCGTTGGAGGGGGTCTCTCACAGAGATGTACGGCCGAGGTGTGGGCAGATCCTGCTAGGACAGGTATGCCTTGCTTTAAGCATTCAACATAGGAAAATCTAGATTACAAAGAAATGAGAGCATATTACTTCTACTTAAGTCAAAACAAGTCCTTCACCTATAAAGCCTAACACGTTTAAAATACAACTTCTATTTTAAAAAATTTCTACTTAGCTTTTCCAAACATCTACTCTAAAGCAAGGTACGACCCCTGCTTGCTTCCCACCAATTTCAGATCTCTATCTGGGCAAGAAGCCTCCACCAGGGTAAATGACAAATGAGCAAAAGCTTGAGCTTACAGTTCCCAAGCCTGCAGGGTGGATGGTGCCATCCAAGGAGAAATAGCGGTAGTGGAGGGAGTTAGGCTCAGGCCCAGCCCCAGAACCTTTATGCACTCTCTCCCACCTAGACCGAGAAGTGTGCAGCAGCCGTACTAAGGCCTGCTTACTGCTGAGTAGCCCTCGCGGAGGGGCCAGACACAGGCCAATCCTGGATCATACTCACGTGCAAAAAGCCAGACAACTTTCAACAGGGAACTGCCTGATTTCCTACTGGAATGGTTTCAATCTAATTTATCAACTCTGATGCTTCTAAGTCTCTGAATCGGGGGAAGTGGGGAGGGCATGCAGAATGGGCCCCCAGGAGGCCAGAGATACTAGTTTCTTGGGGGACAGTGGGAACAAAGAAATCAAGAGAACTTGAAGTTCTGAATGCTGCCATTAACCAGCTAGGTGACCCAGGGCAAGCCCCATTTTCTGAGTGTGACTCACCTAAAGCAACAAGGTTGTACTAGATTCCTAAGGGTCCTGCCACTGCTGATCTCTTGTGGTTCTAAAATATTCCCTGCTTTATTCACCCTGTCCCATTCCCTCCCAAGAACCTACATGGTTACCAACCATGACTTGGCTGACAGCAGTGAGAAAGTTGGGTCTTTCCAGAGAGAGAGAGAGAGGAGAGATTCTTCAAGGAGCATGCCATGGCTTGGGAATGGTTCTCTGGCAGCAGGATTCCCAGGCATGCCTAGCTGTGTGCAGTCAGGCTGGTGACCTGGACCCCATTTGTGTTTCCTGGGGGTTGTGCTGGGCTGCTCAGCAGAGAGCTCCTGGGGAAGCTGACAGGACTCCCAGAACAACCCTGATCCAGGGACCCTGTTCATGCACTTCTGCATGCTGAGCCTGTGTCTTGCAGGGCCCATCCACCAAGACAGCCCTGAGAGCTGGGTTCCTACTGCCTCTGTGAGACACAGCAAACCTGGAGAAATCAAATGCGCTAGAAACCTAGCCACCAGCTGATTCCCATAGCCACAGCAAGCCAGGCACCTGCAATCCTGACAGGGTCCTGCCACTTACCTGTCCCCACCACCCTCCCAACTTCTCTCAGGCTTGAGTGAGGCCTTCTGAAGTTGAAGGGCTTTCTGCAGTTGTTTAAGGGCCAGGCTTGGCCACCAAGCCCTTTGCTACATAAAGTTGATGTGGCCTTCATACATACACACATTCACTGTGCCCCTACCTGCTGGAGTACCCATTGCCATCTGACTCCTTGGCTGAGCGGACGACTGGGCCACAGCAGCCCTGCAGTGTGCTTCCTCTCCCTCTATGCCTCTTGCGGCCTTCCCAGCTGAAGAGGTTGCTCAGCTTGGTAAGTACGACTACAACACACTACTACCCCAAGGGTGGGAGTGTGTGTTGATCTCGTGGCATGGAAAGAATTATTCTCATCCCTTCACACCCACCCACCCGCTCTCCACTACTCCCCTGCCTCAGTAGCAGAGGCAAAGGAGCCAGTTCCTGGCTGGCTGGGCCAGGGAGCCCACTGAGGGCCAAAGCTTCATCTGGCGGAAGGCCTATATACAGAGGATAGGCAGGGCTGTCTCCACAGGCAGGCAGGCAAGCTCCGCTCCAGGCTGGGCAACCCCAAAGGGCACGAAGAGGCCTCTACTCGCACGCCAGCTTGCTGTCGAAGCTGGACAGGGCAATGGCAAAGGCCTGCAGTGCACACAGCGGGTAGTTGTAATCCATGGTGAACACATCCTCTGCTACCCGGCCAAACTGCATCACGATGTAGTCCGCTGGGGCCAAGCACAGGCACAGACAGAGAAAAGGACAGGACAGGAATGGTAGAGCCAGGGAAGGATAGACAGACACCCAAACCACATGAGGGAAGAACAAGTGAGAAGCAGAGATGCCAGGGGAATCACAAAGGGAAGTAAAACAAAGGCCAATTGGGAGAAGTGGCAGGAAAGAGGTGGCAGATGGCAAAGGACAAAGTAAGATGCATGTGAACACCAGGGGACAGAAAAGAGGAAAAGTCCTTTTAAAGGGTGTTCCCGTGCCTGAGACTCCGTTGAATACACAGAATCTAGGACCAGGGCTGCAAAGAAGGTTCTTCCAGGACCTCCCAGTCATTAGGGTTAGAAAGTTCCATACATCTAACCTTAGCTGTATAGCTCACATTCTTAAACTCTAGCCAGTGTAGGCAGGGCTAGGTGGGCTGAACCCTACGCTAAGGGCCTTGGGTATCCTACGGACCATAATGAGTAGGGACAGAAACACTCACGGTCATTGCCATGGATGATCTGGAAGTTCTTCACGGAGGCCTGTGTGACGCGCCCATGGAAGTTGAGTACATAGGACTGTGTGTCATCATTCCAGACAGGTGTCTTGTTTTGCAGCTCGATGATACTCTCCGTGTTCTTATTCTGCCAGCGTGCTAGCAGTGTCTCATGCTCCTGGGAGGGCAGCCTCACCTGAGCCAGGCCCAGGCCTTTGGCACCATGACCACCCCAGAAAGGGATCTATCCCGGGAATGGGGGTCCTTGGATTTCCCTAGACCTCCAGGGCTTTCTCACATGGTACCCCTCCACATACACACATCAGCTGGAGTTCTGCCCTTAGAAGCTCATGCAGAGACTAGGATGATGGGGAAAGAGGGGAGGAAGGGGTAGACACTCACGTTGCGGGGGCGGATAGAGACTCTCTCATGAACCATGTTCATGCCTGGGACAATCACGCTCATCTTCCGAGGCCCCTTGAAGCCTAAGACGTTTGTCTCCTGGGAAAGAGAACGCAACACTGGCCACCTGAGGCGTCTATTTACCTACTGGAGAAGGTGGGGGGGACGGGAATAAAGAGGAAGAGCTAGTTCCCACCATCTCCACTCCGAAGTCTAACACACATCCCTCTAAACCTAACACGGCCAGAACTGAGCCCCTGGGTCTCTACCCTGCCAGAACTAGCTCCTCTTATGCGTCATCCTTGCTTCTGCTCACGGCAATGCTGTTCTTCCACTCGCTCCGGCAAACTACTTGGTCACACTCGAGTCCTCTCTTCTACATCCTACGTCTAATCCATCAGCAGTTTCTGTCAGCTCCACCTTCCAATTATACCCAGACTTCCACCACTTTTCACCACTAGCTTCTCTCACCAAGATCATTCTAACAGCCTTTGCCTGGACTCCTGGTTTCTGTTGTTGGCCCTCCTATTCCTCCTTCCCACCATCTGTTCTCAACACAGCAGCCAGTGCTCAGGCACATTAAGTCAGATGATCTTTCTCCTCTGCTCAGAACTCTCCAGTGGCTCTCCAGCTCACTCCAAGTTAAAGCTGGAGATGTGACTTCACCTGCACGTGGCCCCATGACCTTCCTCTCCTCACCATTTACTGCCTGGTATCCACTCCATTCCTTCTTCATGCCAGGCATTCAGGACTTTTGTCCTCACTGTGTCCCCTAGACACGTACACTGCTGTTTTTCACTTCCTTCTGGTCTTTACTCAAGAGCTACCTCAGTGACGCCCTCCCTGCCATTCTGAAATTCTCACACATACCTTGACATTTCTTATCTCCCCTCCCCTACTTTTTCTTCTTAGTGTTTATAAAGAACATACTTACTTCACTGATAGATCTGTTTCATAGCTTGTCTGCCCTGCTAGGGCTTTAAGTCCCATAAAGGTATACATTTATGTCTGTTCATTACTATATCCTTAGTGCCTCAAACAATATGCTTAGTTGGAGCTCAGTAAGAACTTGAAGACTCAGGCTGCCTCCCCAAAACTGGTCAGCAGGTGGCACCACAGGATCATACAAAGTAGCTGTGGATTACTTACTGATGGCCTCCAAGAAGTGCCCATGCCCAGGTTGATGAGATACCCACCCCTGATTTTAAAAATGAAGAAAAAGGTTCAAAGGGGTAGAGTAATCCCCTATATTTATATTCCAGTTTGGTCGTTTTTGAGCTGTGTGACATCTGCAGCTGAGCTTCAGTTTCCTCATCTATAAAGAAAATAGGATCTACCTCTTAGGTTGAACGTTCAGTGAGATGACAAAGTGCCGTGTAATCCATGTAGAACCTGGCATGCCAGAGGGATGATCTGGGAAATGCACAGACAAGAACCCAGGGCGACCGTCTCCTTCTGTCTAAGAGACTCCTGGCCTGGACTGCAGAGAGCCAGGCCTGGTTTTCTGAGCTCCCCAAGCAGATGGCCGGCTGTGGTGTGAGCTCTGAAGTCAGGAGGAGAGAGCCAGAGCCCCTGTCCTAGGCCAGGAACACTCCACAGAGGACAGCCCCTCTCCACACAGCCTTGTCTACCCACTAAGATGGATGGGATAGCCCCTAGATCAGGCATCAAGTCCTGGATTTCATATCTACCTTGGAAATCAGAGACCCCCGAACCTAGGACTCACGTAGCACACAGCTGCCAGCTCCTGACGTAAGGTTCCACTTTCCAAAGTGGAGGATGAGGCCTTCTGAGGGTTGACTCCATTGTCATAAACAGTGAACTTGGTGCCCATCAAGTTGGACCTGAAATAAAGGCACAATCAGTATAGAGTCATGCACCCTCTGCCCCAGAGCAGGGAACAGCTCATCGTCTGTCCTATGAGGAGCCTGCAAAACATTCTGGGCTGGAACAGGAGCAGGCCCAGGGAGGCATACTGCTCACTGAATCCACATCTTTGAAGACACTTCGTGGGCAGAAGGCCTGGACTTGCTCTGAGTTGACTCAAAGTGCATTTCAGTTCAGTGAGAGCAATTCAGGGAGGTCAATCAGGATTCTTCAGAAGATTTATCTGGGGGAACATGGGAGTTCTCCTCATGGGAGGTGAGCAAACAGAATGGCATCTGATAAGACAGTGGAAGAGGCTTAGCACCCGTGGAGAGAGGATGAGATCTCCTCTGTCGCAGCCAGCCTAAGTCTCAGTCCAGCCCCATCTCCAGCTTTAGCTCCTGACCTCTCATCTTTATTTATGCTCCCCAAATCTGGTACTCAGTTCCTCAGCAAACCCTACCTCCCCACTGCCCCCACCTGGAGGCCTAGGCTCAGAGCCTTCCTGCCCCTTCACCACTGCCCCCCACCCCCAAGATTGCTGTGTGTCTCTTCCCTCAAGAGCTCACTCTCAGCCCTGTCCCTTGGCATTGACCATGGAGCCAAGGCAACTCTTCCATGGTGGCCTGCGTTATCAGTGACACCCTGGGGTTGGATCCATCACTCTTGGTGGGCCTGCACCCACCTCCTGGGAACAGCTTGGGGTCGGGTGTGTGATTCCCATCTCCAAGTCTGGCTCTAGGCTGGCATAGACATAGGCCTCCAGTTGGATGTGATTATCAGAGAGGATCCTGGGAGAGTATCCATCCCTGGCCTAGATCTCCTTCAGGAAGATTCAGGCCCTCTACAGACAGCTTGCCCCTGCCCCTCCCTCCCACTCCCGCCTGCTTCCTGGGGGAATGCTAGTACCGCAGTTTCCCGATATAGCTGTCCCCTCCTCGAGACAAGTCTGTTGGGTCCACAGAGATGAGGTAATTGGAAGTTTTACTCTTCTTTCTCTTCCTTCCCGCCAGGAGGAACACCTTGGGGAGTGGAATGAGGTCATATTCCAGACTCAGCCTCTGGTCTGCACACAGTCATGAGAGCCACTCACACAGACTCTCTCCGTTGCGTCAGCTCCCAAACGCACATATGTGCACACACACAAATGCACTGGAAAACACAAAGATGTGCACAGACCAGACACGAAGGCAGTTTCTTTGAGGAACTGAGAGGTCAGTGGTAGATATGAGACTTCCAGTCACATTTCAGCCCCTAGGATTTCAAAGGGCTGTAAAGCCTAGATGATAACATGCCCAGACCAACCTTACCTTCTTCCCATCCTCACGGTCCAGGTGCAGAAAGTAGGTGGGGTACATGCCCCGGTCCATCCCTTTCTTGTCCCGAGTGATGCGGCATTTGATGGTGATACCCTGGGGGGCCGGCCTCAGTGCAAACTCCTCAAGATCCTGGACCTCAACGTCCACTGGTTGCTCTGGAGCTGTTGGGCTAGGGGCTGAGGCTGCCTCCTATGGGGATGCAGAATAGGTGCCTGAGCCCCAAGGACCCTAAGCAGCCCAAATTGGTGGTCTGGGATCCAAATCTGCCTCCTAACGTGGCGGTGGGAGAGAGGGAAGGATCCTGGGATTGGGGCCTGGCCAGCCTGGGCCTGGGGTCAGAAGCTATCTTCCCAGCCCTGCCCTCAACAGTTCCTAGAGGTGGAGATGGGAGATACGGGAGGTCCTCAGAGGTCATCCTGTCCAACTGCATCTCCCCCCATACATCACCCTGCTGGCCTAGCTGAAGAGGTTAGGAGGCAAGGTAGAGGGACATAAGAGGCCAGCAGAGAAGCTCCTAAAGGCATACGAGTCCATCTCTTCACATGCAGTCCACCTCTAACGGATGAGCAGTCCTCCAAAAACTGCTGTGGATGCAGACTCACTCACTCACCCTGACGGACTTCCTGCTAGTAGCAGAGCTGGGGCGGGTGTTACTATTTAGCTGGGAGGAGCTGGAGCTATTCTCCTCCTCATCCTCCTCATCCTCGTCAAAGCTCATGCTGCTGGAGATGCCTGGGCCAAGGAGAGAAGAAGAAGGGATGAAGGAGGAGAAGTCTACGCTGCCCCTGAAATACACATGGTCACATACTCATGTTCAGACACTGACTCACCTGTACCCCCACAAACTTATGCACACACTCTTAGCCATATCTACACATATAGACTCCCATTCACACATATATTCCCACACATGTCCAGATATAAAAGGATATTCTCTCAGGTACACACATGAGCCGGGGCTGGCCACAATCCTCAGGATATATCCCCACCACCCAGTTTCAGCTCAGTCCCTACATTACCCCACTACCTAGCAGCCACCCTACCACTGTCTCTTGTGTATCAAGGCCTGCACTGAGCTCACCTTGAACTGGGAATCTCCATTTCTGACCTCAGGCCTATTAGAGGCCTTGGCTGGCATAGACCACGGAATCTGCCAGGGCACAGGCCTCAGCTCCTTCCTCAGCCCAATGTGGAGGGGACCCACTGACTCCTCATCTTTGCCCTGAGCTTCTATCTCAGCTGTCCTCCCGCCTGCCATTCCCTGGGAATGCCATCCCCATCCTCAAGTTGTCTCAAAGTCCTTTGTACAGGAAGCCATCCTTGATTAGATTCCTCACAATGTGTGGCACTGCCAGGCTTCTTCCCTCTGCCACCCTGCACCAGGGGCTCCCTAGGGCAGGGCTTGTGGTGGGAAAACTGAACAGCAGGTTTCCACGGAGGATCTACCCCGTCTCTTGGTATCCTGGCCCTGCTCCCAGTAGCTCAGCAAACATATGGGAAACTTCTTGCAAAAGGAGCTTTTTCTAAGGAGCAAAAGGAAAAGGAAATCTGCCCCCAAATCAGGGCCTCCCTGGGGCCTTAGCAGGGGCCCTGCCTAAGAGTTTCTCATTTGTCTCCGAAGTGTGCCCCACCCTCACCCACCATTGCCAGGGAGGGGTTTGGACACAGGAAGGCCATGCTCCCAGAGAAAGGTGCATCTGAGAACCTGGGACTGAGTTTTGGGGGTATCACTGGGTCCCCATGGGGCTCACCCTTCCTCTGCATCGTGGCACGGAGATCCTGCCCGCTGGGCCGTTCGCCCCCACCAGCTGCCGTCTCCCCTGCGTCCTGGGCGTGGTCTGACTGGCCCACAGTCAGAATCTGCACTGGGCCTTGGGCCTCAGACTTGTCTTCTGCCAGTGCTGCTGGCCCGCTGGTGCCTGCAGGCCACGGACACGCCTGAGTTACATCCAGGAGGAGGAGAGGAGGGCCTGGATTCTCAGACGTCCATGAAGGGGATGAGGGAAGAGTGGGGAAACCCTCTGCAAAACTTTATTTGCAAAAGTGATTTTTATAAAACTAATGATTGCACCAGCCTGTTAACAACTGGTAAGCTAGTAAGGGATGTGGGCTTCATTTCTTCTGCTCTTCCCCCAAATTAATTGCCGAGGGTTGGTTTACAACACCTCACGTCCTTAAAGCAGACGGCAGCCATCTACAAAACCAACTGCACAGTGGAAAAACAAGATGGAGAACAAGGACTGATCCAGACCATAGGCAAGGCCAGCAATCATTCATGGACACGACCAGCTACAAGCCATCAATGCTGGTGTTTTCTTCCACAAACAGACACAACATACACACGTGCAGTAACTCACATACATCATTAAAAACGTGGGCCCCTTGAGAAAGATTGCAATTGGCATACACTCGCCTTCCCAAATGGAGCATCTCCCATCCTACGTCAGCTTTCCTGCCCGTTACCACAGAGCTTCAGCAACAGAAGCAAGGCCTGACCCACACAGGTGGCAGCCACCCTGCCCGCCTACTGAGCTATGCCCAGAGTGCTCGGCCAGCTCCAGAAGCCCATGGCCTGTGACACATCACTGTCCAACCGTGACGCAGTGGCCTGGAAACCACTGTCCGTGAACAAAAGTTGAGGAAACGGGGTGTGTAGCCAAGAGACAGGACCTGGGGCAGGTACCGCCAATCACTGTCCTTAATCTTTAGGGGTCTTTTCTGGAGAAAGAGGAGCAGAGGGAACAGGCTGGTCTGTGGTCCAGAGGGTGGAACCTGGACTAGAATATGGAGTCAAGGGAAGTCCACATTATACGAAGAGCTGACGGCGAGGGCTGCATAAGGATGGGGCAAGCTGCCTGGGAAGCAGTCAGCCCCCAGTGCAGTGAGTGTCCTAGTCCAGGCTGGGTGAGATCCTCCTTGAGGGGTCATGATAAAGGGTGCTCAGGCCAAGGTAGCTGAGGTGGGGGACGGTGGTTCTGGGCCACAGCTGAGCAGGACTTCACTTCCTGGCAGTGTGGTAGGCATGCCCACACCCAGAGGCAGCCCAGGCACCTCCCAAGCTAGATGAGGCCTGTGAGCCACCTGAGGGGGTGCCCAGAGTGGCAGTCTGTGTCTTCCCTGAGGCTGTTCATCCTATCCCTCCCCTCCAAGTCAGGAGGACAAACCTTCCCCAGCCCTACAGTGGAGGCCAGGCCTGCTGGGGAGGGCTGTAGAGAATGTGAGCTGACCTTTGTGCTTTCCCTTCTTCTCCTTCCTAGCGGCGCCACCCTGGCCCCCTGCTGTAGCTGCCGCCTTGGTTCTCTTGGCTGAAGCTGGTGCTGTTGGGCGCGTGGCTCCCAGCTGCACACTGGCGAGTGAGTCGGCCTCTTGAACTGCTCAGGAAACATCCCCAGATGGAGAGAGAGAAACAGGCAGTGGGTGAGACCAGAGCTCCCACCTGAACACAGTCCCCAGCACAGCATTTTTGACTGCACCCCGAGTCCCACCAGGGCCCCTGTACCACTTCTACAGCCCACAGGATCAGGCCCACTCATCTCTACTAGGCAAAGATTCCAGGGCAGGCCCAGCTGGAAGGAGGCGGCACCCCCAGCCCAGTGTAATCAAGTCAACAGCCAGACCAAAACCTGTGATCAGCCAACAAAGTGCGCACTCAAAAGTTCTGGGCCACCAAACC
Source organism: Homo sapiens (assembly GCF_000001405.40). Lineage (NCBI taxonomy): Eukaryota > Metazoa > Chordata > Mammalia > Primates > Hominidae > Homo > Homo sapiens. Next base: position 8,093,743 of record NC_000011.10, on the reverse strand, counting down.
ATACTGAGCCTGAACAGGGGCAGGGAGAATGTCTGAGAGGATATGGCCATTGAAGACGGGGAAGAAAGAACAAAGGCTGCATCTTCTGGAAGAGACCACAACCAGGGCAAGCACTCCAGGGAGCCTACGAGGGGGCTCTGCGGGGATGAGCCCATGGGAGGCTGGGGTGTAGGAGTGCTCAGAACAACAACTCTGGGACACAAGAAGCTACAGGCACCAACAGTGAGGTCTCAGAAGGGTCCCAGCTGGTGGCCTCCAAATTCTCCATACTGCAGAACCCCAATCTGCTCAAAATCCTTGAATGGTTTCTGATTGCTCTTAAGCTGAAGACCAACATTCTCTCCCTTCCCCTAGGTCTAAAATAAACACATACTCCCCACCTCTGGGGCACCAAGAGTTGCAGCCACACCAGGCTGGTCTGTTGCCTCACATGCACTGCACTCCCTCTTGCCACAGGGCCCTTGCTCCTGCTGCCTGCACTGCCCTCCCCCTCGCCCCCCTCAGTGATCAACTCCCACTCATCCTGCAGATTTCAGCTTGGATGTCACCTCCCGAGGGACGCTGTGCCTGCCTCCCTCGTCAGAGCAGGTGTTGTCATCTACTCACAGAATTTGGCTTCCTTCCACAAAGCAACCCCGTGACCATCTGTTTAACATTGTCTCTCCACCTAGACTGTAAGGTCCGTGAAAGCAGGGACCACACCCATTTGTGCTCACTTGGGACCTACAGCCTCTAATCCAGAGCCTGACACAAACCTCAATAAATATTTAAGAACTGAATGAATGTGTAACATGAATGAGTATAGCCAGCAGGTCAAAAACCAGGATAAACTGTGAGGTCTGATGTGTATCAGACTCCCTCCTTTTCCTCTTGGAATGATCCCCTGAATTTAACGCCTGTAGCCAGTAGAGGGCAGACAGGGAGGCAACTAATGCTGTAGGCGGGGTGGGAGTGGCCTGGAAACACCAGTTCCTGGGTAGGCCACGCGTGTGTGCAGCAGCCTCCCCAGAGCTTTGTCCACCATTTGAACCTGGACAAAGACTGGGCCCCTAGAGAAGCAGTAGGCACCTCCCAGAAATCAAATGTCACATGTTCAAATGTCCTCTGTGAAAAAGGTCGTGGAGGCCCAGCCCACTCTGGAATGTCAGGGAATAGCAATTCCCTGATTTTGGACCTTGGAACACACCGTGGCTCCTTCGAGTTCCAAAGCCCTAAGACAGAGAAGTTTCCCCATTTTATAATGGAGGAAACAGATCCAGAGAGGGTAAATGGCTTGCCCCAGTCACAAGCGAGCAGGTAACTAACTGGTAGTGGCACGACCAGAAACTATCTTTTTCTTTTTTTTTTCTTGCTGGATTGCAGTGGCACGATCATAGCTCACTGCAGTCTTGAACTCCTGGGCTCAAGTGATCCTCCTACGTAGCTGGGACTACAGGCAGGTGTCACCACACCCTGCTCACTTTTTTTAAAGATGGGGTCTCACTATGTTACCCAGGCTAGTCCTGAACTTCCGCCCTCAAGCAATCCTCCTGCCTTGGCCTCCCAAAGTGTTGGGATTACAGGTGTGAGCCACCTAGCACAGAAACTGTCTTTTGACTTCAGTCCTGCACTTACGCCAGAGGCGCTAGTTGTACCACAGTCTTTCTGATGTCCTGACATCATCTGGAACACAGCTGCCAAGAAATACCTTCCAAAACGACTGCACGTCAATGACCTCTCACGATGTTGGCCTCTGGCACAAATTGGCAGGGCCCACAATCCTGGGTGCAGGCCCCTATTCTGTATGCAGCCTCACTCGCCCAGGTGCCAGGCTTGGCAGAGCTGGGGCTGTGATGCCACACAGCCACAGGCCACACGCCATATGACCCAGAACATTGGCCACCTTCCTGGCAGGGTACCACTACCACCCTTGGGATGGCACTCACAAAGGAAGTGGAGGAGCTGGCTGCCAGCAAAGGGTGGGGCTGGGGCCAGCTCTGTGAGGAGCAGCTGGGGCTGCCTCTGTGAGACAGCTGGGCTGAGGTCCCTGGTCCCCTTTTCTGAAGGCCTCTCAAGTAGAGTACAGGCATACCAGGTATGGCCAGGGTGCTGAACTGACACACACACAGGGGAATTAGCATGAAGGAGCTTTTCATCAGGGAGGCAACATAATATGGAGGAGAGACCATTTGGCGTCTGTTAGGTCTGGGTTCAAATTCTAGCCCTGCTGCTCACTAGCAGAGTACTATGAGCAGGTCACTGAGCCCCTCAGAGCCCACATCCTTACTGATGATGTGAGGATAATGAGTTCCTGTGAGGATGAAACAAGATAATGCAGGTAAAGCCTCTAGCACTGTACTTAGCCACTGGCAGATGTACAGCCAGCCTTTGTTAGAAGAAACGGAGTAGGCTTCCTCGGAGGGTACACATGCACACAGGGGACCGAGCCTGTATGGTGTGCCCAGCCACAAACTGGGCACCAGGCAAGTGAGACCCACCTGCTGCCCTCCAATGTGCAGACAAAGGGCTCAGGGAGCTATGGGTCAGTGGAACCCAGAGAAGAACCTAAAATACTGCGAGGCAGGGTATGGGCCAGCAGTTAGATGAAGAAGCTCAGCCCTGAGGTGAGGCAACTACCAGTAGTTCGATGTATCTGGAGGCTCCAGGTCATAACGAAGCCACAGAAGGAGGGGAGCACCACGACTGCTAAGGTTCTTCCTAACCGCAAAAGCCAGATGCCTGCAACCTTTTTAGAATTACTATTTGATGAAGTAGCAGCCTGGATTACTAGCACCAGCAGGGGGCAGTGGAGACTGAGTCTGAGTCCTCCTTTCAAGCTCAGAGACCCCCAACCCCTCAGTCTGGCCTGGCCTACTCTTCACCTAACCCAAGCAGGAAGGAGGGTCCTGAGAACAGAGATGTGCTGCAGCCATCTCTGGAGATGTGCTCTCTCCAGGATGAGCTGCAGAGAATTTCTCCCAACTGGGCTCTGCCGAGACCTGGAACATTTAAGGATGGGAGCTGCAGGCTCCAGGTCACTACAGCTCTTAAGGAGTTGTGAGCCAGAGAGAGGGATCTGCAAGTCAGAAGCCAGGCAGACACGGTGCAGAGAGGGAAGGAAAAAGGTGTTTGTACTGAGACACTGGTTGATATGGGGCAGGACAGTGAGACGGATTCCTCTCAGAATGTAGAATACTGGTGGGGAGCAGGTCATCTACTCTTAGAAGCTACCTCCTGCACTCAGTGAAATGCTCCAGATCAAAACTTGGACTTCTGAACTCCTGGCCTCATAAAAGGTTTAGGCTTCTGGCCTCAGTGCCTGATTCAGGAGGTGTCAGCTGGAGCATACACAGGCGCCCAAGGCTACAGGTCCACCTTCCCTCTGCCCTCCCTACTCAGCTGTCTGCCTGGGCTGGAAGCCATACACAGCCTGGGCATCCCCCGTCAGGACCAGTCCGCACCTGCCTAGGTGGGCAGGAAGTGACGGGCTCCCCGAAGCAGTGACGGGATGTGGGGCAGCAGGCAAGGTATACCTTGGTAGCTGGTGCTGCCACTGCTGCTGAGGTAGGACTCCACCAGGGGGGCTTGTTCCTCTGACTGCCGGGCCCGCCGGCTCCGGGGCCGCCCATCTGCATTGGCCTGCACCATCAGGGGCTCCTGGCGCTTCTTCTTCTGCTTCTGCTCCAGCAGGGCCCGCTATGGAGGCACAGAGGTTGGCTGACCCACTGCCTCCACCAGGAAGGGCGGGCTCCCAGTTATCGGGGGGTCCACAGCCCACCTTGGGCCAAGGCCCCATGTCCTTGGCACCCCAACACTTGGGGTCCAGGAAAGGGAGGCAAAACAGGGCCCAGGTGGCTGCCCTGGCAGGATCACAGCACAGCCAGCCCTCCAACTGCAGTCACCCAGCTGCCTGAAGGCAGGAGCCCATGTGCCGCGGCAGGGTTAGTGCTGAGCTGGGAGAGAGTGCACCTCTCTTCTTCCACATGGGAATCCCATCCCCCAATCAGACGGGATCATCCAGGGAAGATGGACAGCCCTGCCCCTCTGCCCTCAGAGATCCCAGCCCAGACTCTTCCCTTCTACCCGGCCCCAGGCCTACTCACCTGCCGATCAAGCTTCTGCTGCCTCAGGTTTCTGCCCTCATCATCTAAGACACTGCAGAGCGAAAGAGGGGTTTTCAGGGCTTGCCCGTGAGGTGCCAGGATATACAGCCCAGAGCCCACCCCCAGCATATCTGGGCCCGTTAAACCCATCCCATCACGGCTGCTGGGACTCAGTGAGCCCACATGGTAGAAGGAGGAAGGGTGGAGCCTGCCATCTTGAAACCAGCTTGAACCAAAAGGGCTCGAGCTGCCACTTTGGAAGCCTGCTAGGACCCCTGTTTCCCCAGGGACTCCCCAGTAAATACCGGATGAGACCCTCCCCTCAGATCCCTGAGCAGGGCCGGGCCTGACTGAGATCCAAGAGAACTATCCAGAGGCATCCCAGCAACAAGCCAGGCCCGAGGCCAGGCTTCAAACAAACCCAGGGGGCTGCTCCCTCCAGCTCCCTACTGGGATCTCACCAGCCCCAGCCTTTTCCTTCCTTCCCACCATTCTAGAGGAGGCTGCGTCCTCTGGGGCAGACCCTTTCCCCATCCGTTGAAAGCAAACTCCTAGCTTTCCAGGTGGGCAGAGTAGAGTCCTGACTTTGTCTACTCCCCTTCCCCACTTAAAGAGGGCAGAGGGTCCTCCTTCTCATTTGAGAGAATGAAGCTAAGAGACCAACCAGTCCCTCAGCCTACAGGGTTTGGGCCACACAGAGGTGTCTGCAGGGTGGACACAACACATCAATGTACAGCCCAGCAACCAGCTACCAGGTCCTTCCCGGGCTGCAGACATGGCACAGGCAGCCCTGGGGACATCAAATTCTTGAGCCCCACCAGTCTTGGGACAGGGAGCCTCATCTCACCCGCACTGGCCATGCCTCTGAGGAAGGCAGGGCACAAGTAGGGAACTGGTAACTCAAATCACTTAGCTTTTTGCTAGCCAGAGACACATGCATGAGACCTAGGCCCAAATGCTATAAAGGCCAAGGTGTGGACAGCTGCATGAGGTGAGGTTGGAGCCTGAGGATCTGAGCTCTGGGGAAGCCCCAGGCGGCCCTGGCCCAGTTATTCTGAAGCTGCCCCTGAACCAGACTGTGTCCAGGTTCCTGCACAGGCGTGCCCGAGTGCATTAGGTTTGTGTGAGGCCATAAGGAAGTGTGTGAATATCTCATGTGTGTGCACATGTGCATGCAGACACCTGTGAAGAAGTGGGTGTGCTCGTGTGAAGGTGAGCGCAGTGTGCGTGCAAAGGGGAAACAGGAGGTCACATCACCCTGAGGACAAAGTGAAGCCACTTTCACCTCCTCCTGATGGCTAGCCCTTTCTAGCTGGAACAATCATTGACCACCTACATGAGCCTTCAACTACTTGCACCTCCAAGGGAGCCAGTCAGAGGGTAGAAGGAAGCCCCCATAACACAGACTGCCCACCACCTTGGCCACGATCTATGAGGACTATGCATGTTTTTTAACTAGCAGGTGTCCTGCCTACTTGACATCTGGGAAGGTCTTTCCTTGTACCCACGAGCTGCTCTGCATGTCAGAGGAGCCCCAGCTGTGATCTGGGGCTGTGTGCACAACAGCCTCATTCACCAAACCCTCAGCTGCCAGAGCACAGGAGAAAACACCGCTCAAGAGCCATACTTCTAGGCCTTGGTCTTCTTGAAACAGCCCATCTGCCTAAGAGGGCACAGCTGCATTTGGGGCTCCCTGAGGGCATTGCCAGGACCACAGGATGCAACCAGGTCCCTAAATATTCCAGCTGGCTGAGAGGCTGGGCATCCCATTGTGGAAGGCACACACCCAGGCTGGAGGACTGCAGTGAAGACTTCTGAAGAAAGGGTTCAGGACCAGAGCGCAAAATGCCTGAGGGCCCTGCCAGGCCTGAGAGGCTACAACCCTCCCATCTCTACAGCTCAAGCCAACAGCCTGACTGAATAAGCAAAGTCAAAGCATTTGCCCACAGACGGACTTGAAAGGGTCAGACCCGAACACCAGTGTCCCCCGTGGTCAGCCACACGCACAGTGCATACACATCACAACTTTCAGGACACACGTGAAAAATGCAGTCTAAGCTCTGTACAGTGGCCCCTGGCTGACAGGAGCAACAGGGTCTGGAATCCAACTGTGCTCCCTCCGCTTGCCAAGCTCTGTGCCTGGGCACAGGGCAGCTATAAACCCCACTGTCATAAGCCAGTGGCCTGGCCCCTGTGCAACCTCCACAAGACAGTGCTGGCTTCCCTTTGTGCCAGCAGGAGGGGCCATTCCACAGTTTTCTAGGTTGTCGCAAGCCACTCACACTTTCAGAGGGCAGGGACTGGGCAGTCACCTGGGCCATCCCCAGCCCTGGGCTTGGCTGAGCAAGACAAAGAAGATGACTTCCATGGTGCTGACGCTCACATCTAGAGTCATTTAGAAAAGGGGACATCCAGCTGAGAGGTAAGACTCACATCAGCAATGCCACCTCCGGAAATGCTGGGTCACAGCAGCTGCTCAACTGACTAAAGGTATTTCCAGCCATAGTGGCCTCACTGCCCAGTGCCTTTTAATGCTCTCATCCATGCAGGGGGCACATTTCCCTACCAGAGGCCACCATCCCACTTGCCATGGACTATGCACAGTTATGCCAGAGGCAGGAGGCTGCTTTCCATGAAAACATTCCTTTCTCCTCCTCTGCCTCCACCTCCATTTCCTGATGGGGGAGAATGATAAAGAGCCACAGGCTTCGGTGACCCTGATTACTAGGTAAGATAACAGGGAGAAAGGACTTAACCACTGGCCTTCAGAGAAATATGGATGAACACAAGGGCTAGGCTACTGAAGAGGCTCCAGAAACCTCAGACATCCCCAAAGTACCTAGAGAGCCACCTACCACCTCACCCACCAGCGGGCATGTGCAAGCACACAGAAGGAAAGGAGCATGCACAGCTGGGGGGCGGCCACCGGGGAGAAGCCACCTGTGCCTGGCTGAGCAAGACCCAGCTAGGAGGGTCTACACTAAATCTACTAAAATGGGGAGGCTCTGAGAGTGGGCACGATTCCTGGTAAAGCAGTGTTCTAGAAGAGCTGCAAGGGGACGAGATGGGACCACGATTACCTAGCAGTGACAAGCTTGTACCAGGTGGGTGTTCCTAGCTAACGACAAGTGCGCAACAACTCTCCCTGGTGAATAACAAAGAATCCCCAGCCAACAGCAGCTGTTGTGGAGACCAAGGGCAACTGCGATGGCTGTCTCCAGGAAGAGCAGCACCAAAAGCTCCCCTGGCTTCCTCAATAGGCCCAGTTCCCTTCTCCGCCCCCACCCAGATGGCCCTTCCTCCTCATCTCCACCCCAGCACCATTCCTAAGGCATCTTCCTTTCTCACCGACGCTTCCCCAGCCTGCCTGTTTCTGATGGGCCCTGTTCTAGGCTGACCTAAACGATAACCACACAAGGAGACAGTAATGGTTTTTTAATGACTTCAGCTCCAATTATGGAATAACTGCCAAGCCCAGGCTGCCAGCTGCAGCCCCGCCAGGAGACTCAGACAAGAGACAGGGCGCTGATGGATAGGTCTTTCAGCTGACCCTGGAGTCTCCTACATCACGGGCACCTCCTGCTGGGGGCCTGAACAGGGAGGCTCAGGAAAGCCACTGGCTCATGAGGGCAGAGAAACCCAGGCTTCAGTGTCCACCAATCCATCTGCTCAGTCCAGCACCAACGAGGTGGCAGCTTCACCTCCCAGGGAACCTGCCCCTCTACATCCACTCACTTCCCCCAAGGCACCCCACAGATATCAGAGCAGTCATCCACGATTGACAACAAGGGGCAAGGACACAAGGACAATTCTGTGCCCTGGAAAAGCACACACAGCCAACATCCTCTAGCCTGTTTCCGAACTCCCTCTCTTCAGAGACTCTACCTTACATGCTCCAGCTACTCCATCAGTGCTAACCAGAGGCCCAGGGGTCAGGGAATCTAGGGACAGACCCAACCCTCTGGCCACACTTTCCATGTTGACTTCACCTTCTCCTCTTCCTGCCCTCATTCTTTCCCCTCAGTCACAGTGGAAGCTACCCCTGCTGGACCCAGGAAATCACAGATGTGGGCTGTCAGGAGAGGAAAGGCCACCAGGGCATCTGGCTGCAACCCTGTGCCCCTGGCTGCAACCCTGGACCCCCGGCAAGTCCAGATCTGTGGCTTCTGTCGCCTGGCAGCTTACTGGGACACAGTGGGAACCAGTGCAGCTCCAGAAGGCAGAGGACCACACTGCTCACAGGAGTTCCAGCCTCCCAGGATGTGCCGTCCCCATTCCAGCCAGCAGTTCCCAAATGTATCAGGTGCATTCAAACTGCTGGCGGGACTAAGCCCTGACTTGGTCATTCAGAACTGCTGGGGAACATCCCCCAGAATCAACCCACTCCTCTCTCTCTTTGTAAAAGCAAGTGCCATGGGTGATTCTAATGCTCAGCCATGCAAATGCGACCACGAGCCACAGCTGGTGATCTCTAAAGAACAACAAGAAAATCAGGGAGTCGTTATAAGGCTGCCAGAAGTAAAGTGGTGGGTCCAAGTGCCCAGGGCACCTCGGAGGCCGAACCTAGCAGCAGAACGGAAGGCGTCAGGAGTCCCACTACTCCCTACAAAACAAAGGAAGTGGTGGGAGGATCCTAACAAGGGCCAGGAGGAGGGGGAACCCGGAGACTTGCTTAGGTTCAACCTAAGGAAGAACTTGAAAGAAATCACAGCCATCTGATGGGAGGCCGTGTGGCAGGGATGCTACAGGGAGCATCCACACGGAGAACTAGATGACCTGTAAAGGCTCTTCCAGTCTGAGATTCTCTTTCTGTGACCTACAGAATGCTTTTCAAGCAGTGCTCCAGGAGGTCCCATGGTGATGTGAGAGTACTGTATCCCTCAGGTGTGCTTAGAACCCAGGTGTGGGGCTGGGAAAGCCAAGGAAGCCCTAGAGGCTATCCCGGGATGCCACTTTGATTCAAAGAAGTGGACGTCTTGTCTGTGCTGGGGACATGACCAGGAACCAGATAAGTTCCCTGATCTCAATTAGTTCATGACCAAGTGAGAGAAACACCAGGCAATGGCCTCAGGACCATGAGGACAAGGGCACTGAGGACGGGGCCACCCCAATCCCACCCAGCATAGTCCTCCAATACGCCGTGGGCCGCAGTCCTTCCTGACTCTCACTGCTCCACTTACAACTTATAAAAGGCTGTAAATGTACTAAGGGCATTTAATATTCCTCAAGAACACAGGTAAAGAGAAACTGGCAGAATTAGAAATTATTAGTACTAACAGAAACAAAAGACAAAAACATTCCAATTGTTAAACTTTATAAACTCAATGGCTCCCTTTGAACTCAGAATGTGAGATTAATCCATGATCATTATACACTGAGCCAAAATTACCCATAAGAAGATTATCACCAACTATCATTTCTCTAAAGAAAATAAGCTGGGCCCAGGGAATGCAAGGTGTAACCATTAGAGAGGGAGTAAAACCCTCACCAGCAGAACCAGCAAGAAGCCAGCCAACCCCTCTCTCCCAAACCAAATGCCACATTCCAGCTCTGACATGCTGTGACATTAGGGAAACCTCACACCAGTCAAAGCACGTGCATGCCACCCCCTGCCCCCACTCCCATCTGCAAGTAAAATGCTTTGTCTGTCTTCTGCCCCAGTTTTCTCTGTGATCAGACAGCATGTGGCTTTGACTGCAATCAGCAGCCCAGTTAATGCAAGAGGCAATTTGAATCTCCTCCTCTCAGCCCAAGTCTCCCATTTTGGAAGTCTGCACCCCAGTTCCAGTACTTTGCCACACTCAGTGCGTGCCCAGAAAGACCCCAGCAGGGCAGGGGGGATCCTGGCAACTGCTGACATAGCCTGCCTCCAGCTACACACCCCCCTCTCTACAACAGAACGAGGAGGTGGAGTGACAGGCATGGGGAAAGCAAGCAGTGCAGGGCTATAAGGGTGTTGAGACGCTCCTCGGGGCCAGGCTTCCAGGGAGGCAGGATTCTATGCTTCAGGGCTGAGTCTGCGGCCCAGGAAAGGAATTGGAGGGGTGGCGGTGGAGGGGAGATAGTAGTTGGACCTGGGCTGAGGCAAGTGCCAAATCACTCCTTGCAGGATGCCAGGGCCCTAGGCACTTGCTAGAACAGGATCATTTCCTAGAGACAGTTCTACCTTCCTGGGCCACCTTTCCCAGGAACAGGCTTAAGCCATTCCGTTTGAGGCATATTTTCTCTAAGACCCCTGCACACTCTCTACAAGTGGCTTTAGTCCCTGGCTCCCTGGGAGAAGCTTTCTAGAACCATGTCTTGGCCTGGCCCAACCTCCAGTTTGCCAGATCCTAACCACGTCATAATCTCCACAGCCGTAAGTGCTGCCCCTCCCACCCTCCTCGGTCCATGGCCACCACCCTGCCATCTGGACCCCCGCACACAGGTACTTCCACAGCACCGGAGTCCACTCAGCCCACAAGCACCGCCCAGGCACCTCTGCCGCGTGGCTAGAAAAGGTTGATGACGCTCCATGGGGCTGCACTGTCTTCTAGAAGGTCCTCAGCCCACATGTGCCAAGAAAGGCCAGGATCCTCCAGAAACTACCTGTGCCCCAGCCTGGACGTCTGTCTGGCGCAGCAGCTCTTCTCAGTCAGCACAGCCCCAGTCCCTGGTTCCATGATGGAAACAGCTCCCTAATCCATGTGAGACTGAAGTGTGACTACATGTGTCTGCAGGAGAGCCTGTGGGTGACCTGTATGTGCGCACGTGTGAGGGTGTTGCTGGTGGTTGTGGGGAGAGACACAAAATAACCTGGAAACCCCTGAATCCCCCACAGGAGCTGAGATTAGAGGTAACAATTCTCAAGAGAAACCCTGAGTTCCCAGGCCACGTGCCTGTTTTCAGAAGGATCTGCTTTTAAGAAGCCTTGGGCGGTTTCAGCTGGTTTCCATTTGGGACGCTGTCTGGACAGACTCAGAGAAGAGCCCTGTCAGAACTATTTTCTATCAGTGACTGGTATGAGGCTCTAACAGAGAGCAAGCTGTGTTACAAGGCGGGACCTGAGGATCTCATCCTGCCGTCCGCTAGCACGTGCACCTGGGTCGACAATAACACAGTGGGCCTTAGGAGTCCAGCACCCATTTTCCACAGAGACAGCCCCGTAGCCCATGGCAACCAAGGAGCCAATGGGTGGCCAAGAATCTGGCGCTGCCATGGCGATGAGCTCCCTTCCCTGGTAATAGAATGGAGTAGAGTGGATAGGGAAAGACCTGCACCTGTGAGGGGCCCCCCAGAGACCACCTCCCCGCCCCCTTCCCAGGCAAATGGGAAAGCCCAGCCATCCTTGAGATAGACCACAGTGCCTGGCAGCAGAGGGTGGGGGGCTTCCCTGAGTGTGCCTGGATTCTTGAGTGCCTTTCTGCATGTGAGGGCAGTTCTATGTACTGTGAGCTGGTGTGTGTCTAGGTATAGACCTGCTAGCAAGTAGATTATTCAGTGTCTGAAAGAGACTGAGTAGCACTTGTGAGTGAGAAGCAGGTGTCAGTTATTCTCCAGATACAGGAGGTGGACGTGCACAGATATGCAGGCATGTGTCTTTGTGAGCCCAAGAATTCTTGTGTGTAGAATATACGGGTGCATGTCCACATGACCACTGGTGTGCTCTTGGTTCAGAATAACTGTCTTCACGGATCCATGCTTTGAGAGTGTGAACCGACCAGCAGGAGCGTCTTTGGCCCAAGGCAGGGACGTCCTGTGGGTGCATGCGTGCAGATGTATGAGCGTGTGCGCGCACCCTGCACAGGCGTGTGACTGGGGTTCTGGGCCTAGGAGGGGGCTCAGAGCAGTGTGGACTCCTTCCCCAGGCGGCCACATGGTGCTGCCTGACCCAACAAGGCCCACACAGGCCCCTTCCAGCAACCCTGGCAGATAAGGGGGTGGAGCGGGGCAGGCGGGAGCAGTCCGCAGGGGCCCTCAAAGTTGAGGGAGGAAGGACCAGCGACTCCAACCCGCGCCCCAGTGCTGGGATAGGTGGGGAGGGCAGCGGTGCCCTGCGCCCCGGCCGCGTATCCCCAGCCAGCTCACGTCCCGAGTCGGGAGTGGTGGGCGCCCCGGCCCGGCGCCCGCGTACCTGTAGGGAATCCAGTCGGAATGCGGCTTGGAAGTCATGTCTCTCGGGGGCGGGGCGGTGGCTGCGGCTCTGGAGGCCGGGGCCCGGAGGGGCCGGCGCGGGGGCCCTGCTCAGCTCCCGGGCCGCCCCGGGCCGCATCCTCCCGGGCCGGGGCGCTGGGCCCCGCCGAGGCCCGCGCTGCACGCCAGGGCCCCGGCTGCTGGCTCTGCGAGCGGCTGCCTGCGCGGCGCGGCGAGGCGAGATGGGCGAAGCTCCGGGAGTGCGCGGGTCGTGCGCGCGCGTGGAGGCGGGGAGGCCGACCGCACCGTCCCGCGCCCCTCTGGCGCCAAGGCGGGAGTACTGCGTGGCAGCGGCGGCCTGCCCCTTCTCCCTCGCCCCGCCCCGCCCCGCCCCGCAGAGACCCCACCCCCCGGCCGGCTCAGGGCCTGCGGAGCGCCCTTGCCCCCTCCCCCGAAATCGTCGCGATCCACGCTCCATGCGCGTGACCGCGCCGGCTCCCACCTTCGGCTAACGGCGGCGCTGCAGCCGGGCCAGTCCCCAGGCCTCCCAGCCTCAGTTTCGTCTTCTGTGAAACGGGGATCATTCGAACACCTCCCTGTGTACCTGCCCTACCTATCTGCGCTATGGGATGGGAAACCGATGCGCGGATTTGGCGGGGCAGGGACCGGGCCGGAGGCGCGGATGGAGAAGGAATCCAGTCGTGCAGGAAGAGGCGGGGGAACCTCCGGGCCGAAGCGTGGAGGTTGGCCTTCCCTCACCCCCACCTCCGAGTTCCCACACCCCCGCCTGGGGAACCCTCTGTCTTTGGGTTAAGGAGGTGTTTCCTCAGCAGTGGCTCCCTCCCATCTAAGCTATAGCGTCAAGGGAAGGGGAACATTTACGGTCTATTGCATTCCCAGCCCTTGCAAATTTCTAGTATGTAATCTCCACAGTAGCCTTGAGAGACAAACATCATATCCCTATAACCCAGAGAATAGGAATGCTGAGATGCCCAAGGCCGTAAAGCTAGGAAGTGGTGGAGCTGAAACTGTTCTGTGATCTGTGTCCTCCAAAGCCCTTCCTAAGGGGCGCAGTTGACCGGAGGCAAAAACCCCTACAAAGATCATCTGAAAGTCTCTGCGCGCTGAGGAGGTCCTGGCTGTGACTAGGACCAGCTTGAATGCAAGGCATGGCACACTGAGAAGGTGCGGGACCCACAGCAGGGCGGGCGGAAGCAAGGAGCAGCAGGCTGAGGGGTCACCAAGGCCTGCGTGTGGAGCAGGTGATCCGGGAGAGGTCTGCGGAGGGGCACGGTCCCCACACGCCCCGTGGGCGTCCTCGTGTGCATCCTGGATTCTGCCGCGCCAACCGCGCCAGAAGAGTGTTGTGCGGGGATCTTCTGATGATAAATAGGCGGTCAGGACTGCCCCGCAGAGAGTGTGAGAACAGCCAAGGGGGCTGAGGGAGGGGGCTCATCCTGCTGCCCTGGGGCTACAGCCAGACCCCCACCCCAGGGCTCTCCCAGCCCTTCAGCCTTGCCTTCTCTTGCCCATTAATTATAAAACACAATAACCCACAATATTTGGATTATTTGCTGGGCGTCAGGAGCTGTGTTAGGTGCTACGTACATATTATAATTCGTTTAATCCTCATAGCCACCCTAGAAGGTAGGCACCATTAGCATACCCATTTCACAGCAGAGGAACTGAGTCACAGAGAAGGCAAGGATCTTGCCCAAAGTCACACAGCTGGTCAATGATGAAGCTAGCATTCACACACAAAAGGTCTGGGTCTACAGCACTTACCCTCAGCCTCCTTTTGGCCAATCACAGTTCATGTAGTGCACACACACACACCCCTACACACATGCACACACACACGCACACCTACACACACCTACACACATGCATGCACACACACATGGCCTCTCTCTCCAGGCTTCTGGAGCTCAGGACAGGTCAGATCCATCTCTGTCGGGCACAACATTGATGCTCTCTGAACACTATGACCTCTGATTATTTATCAACCTCCAAGAGCTGTCACTGTCACTGGGGACAGAGAGCAGACAAAATAAAACACCTGGGAGTGGGGTGCAGAAGGCAGAAAGCAGGGCTGTTTTGTTGCCTGCTGGGATGCTTGGCCTGGACTCTGCTGGCCTTCCAGGAAGGGCAGCAGAGATTGGTCCCTACCCTGGAGACCGCAGCAGAGCAGCAAAGCATTGCCCCAGAGGCCTCTGTCCTTCAGGGCAGAACCTTGCCTAGAGATCAGAAGCTTTGACCCCTGGAGGCCGCGCCCTCCAGGCCACCCCTTCCTGAGTTGCAATTAGTAGCTACCATGTCAGAGACAGCTAGAGTCTAAAAGACTTTCCCTTCAAGAATTTGAAGCTGTTTTCCTCCCTTTATTCCCAAATTACCTGACACCTTAAAGCAATCAGAATTTAGTTGGAAGGTCTCAGGAGCCTGGAGTAATTGAATCTATTAAATAGACAGTTTAGGCTCTGTCCTAAGGGAGCAAAATCTGGAGGCAGAGTGAGGTGCAGAAGTAAGATGGCTTTCCAAGTCTCTTTCTGCAGAAGTTACATAGGTACATGGGATGTGGGGGAACCATGGGACTGAGCGCCAGTGTATGCATGAGTGTGAGTGTGTGTACATGTGGGGGAGCCAGTGGGACTGAGCGCCAGTGTACGCATGAATATGAGTGTGTATGTGTGTACATGTGTGTATGCACATGGGTTGTGTGAGTCCCATACACTGGCACACAAGGGACTGTGTGCCAGTGTATGCCTTGAGTGTGTGTGTGCATGGGAAGTTGGGGGCAGCAGGACTGTTTCAGTGTACGCAGCAATGTGTGTATGTGTGTGAGAGATGGCCCTGCAGTCTGAACAGGACTGCACAAGAACATTTGTTGGATGGTACGCGTGCAGGAGAATGACGTGTGTGCTTCTTCGAGTTCTATGGAGTGCATGAGTGTTAACATTCTACTCAGAATGCATGATGGCTTTTTCCACTCAAATGACTTCCGTGGTTGACATTTTAAGTTTACGTCCTTGGCTTCCATCAAAAAGCTACTCCAGAAAGTCATATGATGTATATTATACTAGGCCATGATCAAAAGTTATATTTTTACAACTGCACTATAACCATGACCCTCGAAGAAGGGCATAAGCTTTTCAAATTTAGCCCCAGGAACAAGGTTATCTGGACTGAAACACCACCACACAGCAATCCCAACATGCCTCCCTCACCACCTGCCCAAATCCTGCAAGGGTAAGATATTTGCTATGAATTTAAATCATCCTGTTTGCATTTTAGGCATTTTCAAACGTGGTGATGAAATGTTTGTGAGGGGGAGTGAAGGAATGCATGGGGAGTGAAGCAGCCCAACAGAGACCCTCACATCTGCCACCTGAGCTTGAGGACCCCAGGGCCACCCCCTCTCCCAAGCAGAATCAGTTCACCCAGGGAAGAAGGTTAGCATTTTGGGACTTAGCCACCTATATGGAGTCTTATATGTGCTATACTTAAGGTGACATTTTTATTGAGTGTGGGCCATCTCTAGTCAATTTTGGAAGCAAAGGGATATGAATGATAAATGATATCCATTCAAATTGGGCCCTGTCTGTTGGCTTGGCATTGTGACCTTGCAGTCTGAGGAAGGCAATTCAAATCAATCAAACATCAACTAGCCCCTCAAAGGCTGATGCAGGGCTGCAGTGGCCTTAGTGGGGGTCAGGTGCATGGCTGCTCTCAGGGAGCTTTCGGTCTGGCAAGGGAGATAGGAAGAAATAATGACTGTACCCTACATTAAGGTGTTGGTGTTACAACACAAGTGTACAATGTGCTGGGGGCAAGGGGACACAGAAAAGAGGCAGTCAATGGAAGTCCCTAGAAGGGGGGAGATAAGGTTAGGACAAGCCTTCCCAAGAGTGGAAAAGGATGATAGTTGTGTTGGGCCCTGAAAGATGAATAGGATATTGATAAGCTGATAACAAAGGAAGAGGGAAACGTAACAGTTACTGAGATTCTACAATTGACCGGGCACTGTGCTAGGGTCTTTTACCAAAGGGCCATACAGACAGAGGATGACATGAGCAAAGTTACGCAGACATGAGAGTACATGCCCAATGCACTTGAAAACCAAGGTGCAAACCAGCATGGCAGCATTCAACCAATAGGTGAATGGTTCGGTGTGGCAGGAAATGGGCCTAGAAAGTTAAGGCAGGGCCAGGTCATATGTCATCCTGAACATCAAGCTAGGGCGTTTGCAATTATCCTATAATTTGGAAATATCCTATAGACTCTGTTCTAAGGATGTGGTTCCCAGTGGGGGACCACTAGAGGGTTTTAAGCCAAGAATAATCTGCCCAGATGTAACCTTTAGAAAGAAATAATTGGGAGCAGAATGGAGGATTGCGGGAGAAAGGCTAGTGGTATGGCAAACTGCTAGACAGCTATGAGTAAAGTCCAGGACAAAGATGAGCCAGCCCTAAAACAGAGTCAAGTGCCATTTTGAAGCTGTGGGTAGACATCATGGCAAGATGGTAGCATAACTATGGGTGGCCAGATAAAGCCCTCTGTAATTCCCATTTAAATAACTGCAGAATATACAAAGACCATTGCACCACTGTTGATGATTGAGATAAATAGGCTTACAATGTCTGAAAAAAAATGTAGGTCAACCACTAGTAAAATTAAAAGCAATGTCTATTTTCCAAATCACTGCTGAAAATAATAGCAAATCATTTCCACACACACAAACACACAAAAGCATAATCTACAGGAAACATAAAATGCATAGGGCATAAAACAAAGTAATAGGAATAAAACCAGATCGAATGGTTATGAGGTGAATGTAACTAGAGAGTCCGTGAGCCTGGATCATACACAGCTATCATTTGTTGAGTGCATGCTCTATGCCAGGTGCTCCTCTGTGTGTTTCATAAAGACAAATATGGCAATGGGAGGATGAGATGGGATGCTTCCAGTCTAGGATCCACTTGGGGCTCCAAATGAACAGATACCACATTCCAAAGTGAAGTGGGATACACCTCTTGGAAAAGAGGTGGCGAAAACCTGGGTCCATGCCATTAGCTGACACCCATCTCTAATGCATACAAAATGGGAGAGAGGTTGAAAAAAGGTTGTTGGAGGTTTAGAATGAATTTCAGAGACAGCCTTTGGGGTCCAGTGATCCCAAATAAATGGGAGGGGTACAGGGTGCTATCACCTTCACCTCAAAGCCAGACAGTGGGGCCTTGAGGAGACCCCTAAGTCAGTTGATATGTGGCCAAAATGGTCTTGGTGCCACAGTGGAGAAATCCAAAGAGCAGCAAGAGTGCTGCTGCTTCAGGACCAGCCTGTGCTCCCTGGTTTGCAGGGCAAAGCACACATGAGTGTCTCTTGTGGACAGAGGTAGCACCCAGCAAGAGAGCCAGATGTGACTGTCTTAGATCCAGGACAAGAGGGCTCCTCCAAGGGAGGAGGTGACACTGAGGGAGACCAGGTTTCCCAGAGCCTGAGAAAGAAACCATAGGATCGGCTACGGGGAGAAAGTATCACCCTCATCAAGGGAGGTGCAGGGTGAGACTCCAGCGATGGGGTGGTCTCCACCAACCCACAAAAACAGCCCAGTGAGAGAAAGGGCCCAGAGAACAACGGGACAGCAACTCATCAGAGTACAGTCGTTGAAGACCTTTCCCAACCATCTCCTCTCCTACCTACCTGCCCCTCCACCTTGGACCCTGGAAAGGGTCAGGACTGTCATGTGCAAGGTCCCCACAGGCAGCTGGCCTACAGCAGACCGTGCTGGGAAAGAGATGGTGTAACTCTGACGTTTCAAGATTTTTTTTTTTATTACAGCAGACAGGATGCATTAATTACTGACAAGACAACCTCTGGTTACCTGAAAATGGTCAGAAAAGTCATGGGACTTACCCTAAATTTAATATAATTTTAGAAGGGAAAACAGCCCTATAGAATAAATTTAAAGAGACTGTGGGAGACAAAAATAAAGTTTGCTTTATGATTACATCTCATGAGTCATGCCTATGCCTATTCAACTTAACAATTACACATCACTTCTCCCATTTAATCCTCAGAGCAACACTTCAAGGTAGGTACTATTATAATCCCCATTTTACAAATGAAGCAACTAAAAGGTTATATATAATCTGCTGAAAGTCACACTGATAAGAAGTGATAGAGTTCAAATTCAGATTCAGGCAGATGAGCATTGTAGAGCCCAGAGAACTACCTTCCTCCAGAGAAAACCAGATGATGGGCGCCTTAGCCCTTTGACTCATTAATTCCTATTCTAGAAAACTAGTCAAAGGAAATTGAAAACGAAGTCAAAAGTTTATGTACAAAGATACTGATGGAAACTTTATTGCTAATAGGGGAAATTGGCTGGGGGAAGATAAACAAAATGTCTATTAATTAGGACTCCTTTAAGTAAATAATTCAGTGTTCATAGGATGGATCACTAAGCATCCTTTATGGGGAATTTTTGTTTTTATGAGACAGGGTTGGCCTGGCACAGTGGCTCCTGCCTGTAACCCCAGCACTTTGGGAGGCTGAGGTGGGTGGATCACATGAGGCCAGGAGTTCAAGAGCAGCCTGGGCAACATGGCAAACCCGTCTCTACTAAAATTACAAAAATTAGCTGGGCGTGGTGGTGGGCACCTGTAATCCCAGCTACTTGGGAGGCTGAGGCAGGAGAATCACTTGAACCCGGGAGGCGGAGGTTGTAGTGAGCCAAGATTGTGCCACTGCACTCCAGTCTCGGTGACAGAGCGAGACTCCGTCTCAAAAAAAAAAAAAAAAAAAAAAAAAGACACGAGGTCTCACTCTATCACCCAGGCTGGAGTATAAGTGGCGCTATTGTAGCTCACTGCAGCCTTGAACTCCTGGGCTCAAGTGATCCTCCTGCCTCAGCCTCCAGAGTAGCTGGGACTACAGGTGTGAACCACCACACCTGGCTAATTTTAAAAAATCTTTTGTAGAGATTGAGTATTGCTATGTCTCCCAGGCTGGTCTTGGACTCCTCAGTCAAACAACCCTCCTGCCTCAGCCTCCCACAGCATTAGGATTACAGGTGTGAGCCATCGCACCCAGCCTTATAGAGAATTTTTAATGACAAAGTAATGGATTTATCAGATGGAATACAATATTTTAGGTGAGTATAATGCTCTATAAAAAAGCCCCACCAGCTGACACATATGTGGTTTCATACAAAGATGCCTAGAGTGAGAGACACAGTCCAGTGTCTCAGCTTTGCCACCCTAGGGGCCACATCCTCCATTCCAGGTGGCCCCTTCTTCCAGGTGTTTGAACCTCCTCTTAGCTCCAGCTTTGGCCCCTAAGACCTCCTAGTGATCCCTGAACAGTGCAGACAACATCCCCACCCCCAATGTTAAGAGAAGACAGACGATAAACACACACTATTGGTACAAAATAGATTTGGTAAAAAAAAAAACCACAAAAACCCATATATATAGTAACGCCTTACGAGTTGACATATCCTCAGTTGCCTAGTGTAATATGGTGTGTCACTAAGACAATAGCCAACTGGCTGCAAGAAACACCTGCAATTCTTAGCCTGGTTATTTATCTTGGAAGGGAGCAGAGGAAGTGCAGGAAGGATGATGCTGAACTACGGTTCTGCTCTTTACCTGCTCTTTACCTATTCTGAGGCATTTGCTGAGTGCTTCCTAGGCAGGGAGACCCAGGGCTGGAGTACAGGGTCTCTGACCCGGGGAAGGTTCTGTTCCCAGCAAGTCCTCTTGCCCACTTGCCCAGGGGGCATCTAAGCCCAGCTCTCTGGGGAGCACAGGCTGAGATTATAAATAGAAAGAGTGGTTCTGAGGCTGAGCGCTCAGGCCCCTGTGCTCAGCCTCCAGGAGGGGTTTGTTTCACCAGCATTATTGGATTTGCAGATAGGCAACAAGGAATTAAGGTGATCAGGAAGAGCGGGAGAGAGCTTTCATTTATTCATAAATGCAGAATTTATCTAGCAGAGCCCTCTCCTTTGTCAAACAAGAGCCATTTCCTTTATATCCTCCAGCAAAGAACATTTTATTTTGTAACCTTTCAGAAAAGCCTATGAGTTTGTGTTTTTGACCTGTTTTTCTCCCTGCTCTAAGAAAACCATGATTATTTAAAATGTGAAATGCATATTAAACAATCCTATTCTGAATTCACAAACCAATCTCTCCAACAAGAGGAATCAGTCCCTGAAATGCAATTTAAACTCTTTGAAAATTTATTACTCCCAACACACCACCTTTTTGCTCCATGGCCCTTCCCTTTTGCTGCTGCTGATTCTAAATATCAGACTCTAGAGCCACCACTGAGGAGGCAGAGTCCCAAAAAAGGTGGTGCTATGGGATTGGAGTCAAGCTGTGAGCTGAGTTTTCCAGACTCTGAAGTGGGGATAAAAGTTCCAAGACCTATGGAGGCAGCAGCTATAGAGGAAAGAACACCAGTGCCAGGTTCCAATCCTGGCTAAGTTGCTAATGTGCTGTGTGACCTTAAGTGAGGATGTCCTCTCTCTGTGCTTCATGAAAGAGAGTGGGACTGTCTCTAAGGCTCCTTTTAGCACTAAACGTTCTCTGATACTTTGACTCTTTAAAGCAGGGCTGTTAGGAGACAAAAGAAGATGATTATAGTTTACTCAACTCTGAAATAAGGTGAGAATTCTCGCTTTATTGTTTTTTGTGTTAGCATTCTTGTATTTTATGTAAGAAACACAGCTGTGAAAACACACAAGACTGAGGGGAGCTGAATTCTTATCCTCTCTGCTGCTAACTCACTGGGTGACCAGAGACCACTTTCCCCAGGCTCGCCTCAGTTTCCTCATCTGTTGATTGGAGACAACGTATTCCTTGCCTACTGCACATAGTGTGTGAGGATGAACTGAGAAGGGACGTGTGTCTGTGAATGCTGTGCTGGAAGTCCAAAGCACCACGGAGATGGGACAACATTTAGTACTTAGAGCTCCCACTCACTGAGCCCTCACACAGGGCCAGCACTGTGCTAAGTGCTCGCTTGTATTGTCTCATTGATTGCTGGCAGCTCCCCGAGGAGCTATTATACAGAAGGAAGCAGAAGCACTGTGGGTGGTCACAGCAGCAAGGATTTACTCAGCCTCACCAAGCCTGTGGCATGGGGCCTCCGCCGCCCACCGCAGATGAGGGTGAGAACAGGTGGTCCCACCACTGCTGCCCTGCCTAGGCTCTAGGAGGGAGGAAGGGAAGGAAGGGAGAGGGTCCCTTCCCCCTCTGCATCTCCAAGCTGAGCTCTGGCCTGGAGGAGGCGACGCGTGAAGACTCCTTCTAGGCTTCCTCAGGTGAGATCACGCCCAGGGGTGGTGGGGCTGTGGGGCAGTACCCGCCTCTGCCTCCTTCCCCCTCTGCGTCCTTTGCATCACTGTGTCTCTCTCCCGACTCCTGGTCCGATCACAGCCCACCTGCTCTCCATGTCTCTGTGTCTGCTGAGCTGTCACCACCCTCTCCGCTGCTGCAGAGTGGCCCCTTCCTGTACCTCCATCCTGAGGAAGGCACAGGTGGGAGCTCTGAGGATGGGGGCTCAGCTTAGCAGGACGAGGCCCTGGGATTCTGAGCTGGGCATCTCATGCCAGGTGGCCCTGTCCCAGCCCTTACACTTCTGAGGATTTCTGGGGTCTCCCTGGAGACAGGCAAGTTGGGTTGGCCCTCAGATGGACTTCAGAGGTCTCTCTTCCCCAGTGGGAGGGGCCTCGGGCCACTGTGTGTTCCTCTAGCTCAGGTCATCCTCTGCTTGGCCCCAGCCTCCTGGCCCTGCACCGCACACACCCCAGCTCTCTCTGTCATGCTGTGGCTCCCCATATCTGCATCTCAGCCTGCCTATTCTGAACTGTATTCCACCCCATCCTCCTGGCTCTGACAGACAACTGAAGCGGTTTGGTGAAGGACATGAATCTCATATAAAACTTCCCTTGCTCCTTACAGGTGACCAGACATTTGCTGATGTTGTAGGCCCATGTTCTCACTTGATCTAAAAACACCATTAGTGTCTTGGATGTCAGGAATCCCAAGTTTAGGCCTAAGTCCCCAGCCTCCTATATGACCATAAAGAAGTGCCTTCCCAATTTCCTTGGCCTTAGTGTGTCAGTGTATAAGATGAGGGGGTTGGATTAGATAAGGTCCAAGGCACCCAACATCACTAGAGCTCCATCATCATGGGCCCCATCTGATAATTTATGTTAAAAGGATACACATTTCTCACCTCCCGCTCCCACTTCCCTGGGAGAGCAGTGTACAGAACACTCAGGCTAGACCTACCCCTATGAAAAAGGCACGGTGAGTACAGACCCACCCTCACCCAGTCACACACCCAGAAGACAGATGGCAGCGCAGGATGCACTCCGTAAGTGGGTCTGAAGTCCCTCCCACCCTCTCCGTGAAAAAGAGTCGAGGTGATGAGTGCTTAGGAACAATTCAAATGTGCTCTGCCATGAACCACCTGTATGCCTTGGGCTGTCCTGGGGACTTAATAGTTAATATATATAAACCACTTAAAACAGGCGGTAAGAGTTAGCTGTGGTTACATAATGATCTGCACCCCCTTTCCCTCCAGCCCCCCTGCAGTCTGTTCTCACATGGCAGTGAGAGTGATTTTTTCATAATGCAAATCTATCCTTGCACCTGCTGCTTCAAATCCTTCACTCACTTCCCTTGCTCACAGACCAAAATTTTAAAAAGTTCCTACAAAGCAATGAAGTTTCTGGTCTGTAGCTATACTGGTATGCTTTTAGAGAAGCCAGGCTTTCTCCACCTTTGCAGACTTTTGGGTCTGGAATCCACTTCCCATCCCTGCCCCGCAAGCCAAAGCCCTATGGCTGAGACTGAAGTTATGGTTCAGTGGGGACCGAGGAGGGCCCAACTACTTGTATTTCTTTAAAGTTCCTGAGGGGGGCATTGATGAACAGTTATTAGTCTACTATGTTAGAAAGGACTCATGGTTTATATTATTGCACATGATTACTGTACTGGACCTGAGAAAATGTAAGGGAATCAACAAGAAAACCCCCAGAATCAGAAAGTTGAGTAAAGTTGCCAGATAAAAAGATGGAAAAATAGCCAAGAACATTTCTATAAAAAAATTATCATTTGCAAAATGAGAATGAAAAAGATCTCATTTACAGTGGTACAAGACTACATATGAAAAGTTTTAAAATAATACCAATGAGACTGATTTGTGATTCATATAAAGAAGATTATAAAATGCAACTGAGATTTATAAAAAGAACTTGAAGAAATGGAGATTCCTAATGTATTTCTATATGATAGGAAGACTGTTTTAAAGACAGTCATTCTTCCTAAATGAGACTTCATTTAGTTCAAAGCAAAATTCCAAGGGGATTCTGAAACTTGATAATGTACAGAGATTTTTTTATGCTTCCCTGTGGTGATGATTTAAGGAAAGGAGGGCGAGCCCCAAGATGGTTTGTGAACGTGGGCTCTGTGATAAGAAAGCCAGTGTGGCCATGTTGCCTCGCTGGCTAGTGTCGATCAGCAACACCACCTCCATTTTCCCGTGAGAGCATGCCCACACGGTGCGGCCATCCTGCCCCACATCCCAGGATGGCAGATTAGTGGGCAGCAGTGAGAGTTTGGGGTAGTCAGGGCATTGGTGCCCCCACTACTCTCTTTTTTGCCTGTTTCTCTCAATCAATGGCCGTTTTTACCATTTTCAGAGCCATGAATTAAGAGTGGCCAATTCAGCTGACCTGTGTGGATGCCCATGATTAGGGCAGACTGGGATAAGCTACTCGTCTGCCCCTAATTCCTCTAGATAACCCAGGTATAGATTATCTGGAAGGAAAAAAAAACAACAGCAAAAAACAAAAACAAACAAAACAGGTAAGAAAAGCAAAGACATTTCCGATGACGGCTAATGAGAGGAGCGCCAATCCCATTAGATAGGAAAATAAAAGACATTTCTGATGACGGCTAATGAGAGGAGCACCAATCCCATTAGATAGGAAAATACACATCTGCAACAACTGAAGCAGTGTGACGGTGGACAGGAATGTCATGTGAAACGTCAATGGAAGAAAACAAGCAACCCAGAAATCTACTCTAAGAACTTAATTTCTCTACAAGAATTTAGGGTTAATTACCCCCCCCCCCCGAAAGAATACAAAGAATACTAAATTTAAAAATGAGAGTGTAAAATCATTATGACAAAAGTGTAAAATAAAGTGTCCTGTGGTTATCTGGAAGGGGACAAAGAGAGGTTCCAGAGCTATGAGACTGGGCTGATTTTCAGCATAAGCAATTGTTGTTATTGTAGTAGGTGGTTTGTGTAGAGAAAAAGCAAAGATGGAATGGTTCAGCAAAGCAGAAAGCACACTGGGCTAGAAGCCAGGGGTCTGAATTCCAACCACAACTCCTCCCTGTGGAGTGATCGTGGGCTAGGTCTTTCTCATTTCTGGGCCTCACTCCAACATTTCAAAGATAAAGAATTAACACAGATGACCTGCAGCGGCCCTTCCTGCTCAGTCTTCTGGGATTCAACGATCATTCCCCATTTGTGGTTTCTACAGCAGGACTCGACGGGAGTGCAGAAAGAAACTCAGATCTTTCCTGCCCCAAATCGCGGAGTGACCTCGTAGGCCGGCCCTGTTCATTTCAGTACTGAGGCTCGCACTGCACCCAGCCCCGTCAGTCACGGGGACCCAGAGATGACTAACACAGGGCACTGGCCTGTGAAGATCATGGGTTACTGGAGGACACAGATGGACACAGATAACAAACAATAATCCCAGGTGGTATGAAGTCAACCCAGCCAGAGGTGAAGACCCGTGGGGGCACAGCAGAGAGAGCCAGAGGAGTCTGACAGGGAACCAGGCAGGGCTTTGCAGCAGAGACGGCCTTTGAGGCTGGGTATTAAAGGATACAGAGCTCAGTAAAGGTAGACGGGGTGAGGAAGCCACGGGAGTTAGGAAAGCATTGGGGTGGACGGCCTGCCTGGCTGTAACACGTGGGGAATGAGTAGGGAGAAGAAGGGTCTTGGAGAGGTTATATGGGACTGGGGAAGTTGGTCTGGAACAGGGCCAGGCTGCCTGTAAACAATGGAAAATTGCAGGGGTGCAGGGGTGTGGTGGTGCTGGGGAAGTGATCCCGCCTGTAAGGGAGGGGATCATAGGCAGCCCTGGCAGCAGGGTCTGTGGTGAAGCCAGAGGGAATTAGAGATACCAGTGAGCAGGCTCTTCAATAGCCCAGGGCAGAGCTAGATGCGGCCCAGGAGGGGCCTGAGGTCAGTGGTACAGCTGAGGCAAGCCCATGGGACCCGAGGCAGGACAGCACAGCGGCAGGAAAAGCACAACTGAGGCCAGACAGCCTGGGCTCTTTGTCCGGGCTCTGCCTAACTGTGTAACCTAAGGCTGTTTAACGATTTCCGCCTCGGTTTTCTTATCTGCAAACAAGTGGAATGGTTTTTAGGGACGTCAGGGGATTCCATGATTTAATAAATAAAAGCTTTTAGCATGGTGCCTGCACTAAGTGCTCTATTCATGGTGGCGATGGCGATAGAAGAGCTGCATGTTGGAGGAAGAGGGGTCTGGACAGTGGCTCCTCAGGGAACCCAGTGGGAATAGCAGGTTTGAGAAGGGGTTGGGCATTGTGAGTTACTATTCAGATGTGCCAGGTTTGAGCGTCTGCAGGTCACCCCATTGCAAGTGACTGGAAAAGCGCATCTGGAGCTTAGAGACAGGATGTGTGAGGAGAGGGAAATTCAGGGAATCCTGAGCCCGGGAGGAGGCTGAGGCAGAGGCTCAGGGGAGGGTGCAGACTAAGGGAGAGGAGGGCTGACAACAAAGACTTGAGTGTGTGGCTGTGGAATCCAGCATAGAAGCTCCTTGAGGACAGGGGTTTTCACTGTTTTGCTCCCTGCTGTATCCCCAGTGCCTAGTACAGTGCCTGGAAGAAAACAGGAGTTTAATAAATATTTGTCGGGTGAATACATGAGGAGAATTTTTCCTGTCATTCACTCTAAGTATTTTGTTAGGCACAAAATAATAACAGTAGCTAACATTTATTAAATGCTTACCCTGTGCCAGGCACCATGCTAACAGCATATAGGGTCCCATTTAATCTTTACGACAGCCTGGAGGGAAGGTACTATTATTATTTCCAGTTTATAGATCAGGAAGCAGGTCTCAAAAGGTAAAACAACTGGCTGAGTTCACACACCTCATGAGGAGCAGAGCCAGGGGCCAAACCTGGGGCTGCAGGACTCCCTGTGGGTGCTCTCCTAGACCCTGACTCAGCAAGAAAGGAAACGGGGAGCAACAATGCCCTGTGCCGGCTCTCATATGCGCAGTATTTTTAAATCTTGCTGGAGGAGGTGGGGAGCCAGAAGAATGAGCTGGAGAAGCTGGACCTCATTGGCGTCAGACTTACGGAGTGAGGCCATTCACAGACCAGTATTTGGTGAGGCCAGACGGTGGAGGAATGGGAGCAGATCAGGAGCCGGGAGTGGAGCTGCCTGGAGCGGGAGGGGCAGGATGGAGGTCAGAAACTTACTGAGAGGAAGGAGCTCCATCTGTACACGGTGATGGCTGTGTGTGTGAATGTGTGTGCATTTGGGGGAGGTAATGGGCTGCAAAGGTTATCCAGAGGATTCAGGCAGGTCCAGAAAGATCCAGGGTTGTCCCAGGGTGACAAGGACTAGAGGTCATTTGCAAAGTGCAGGGGCTGCACGCCTGGTAGGCTGTTCATGCAGGTCTCGTCACAACTCTTCAACCTGCTTCCATAACCAGTGCTGAAGTCGTCAAACACCCGCAGTTATTACACCTCTCCTAGACGTGAGCTCTGAAGAGGGCAGGAGGAGTCAGACAGGCTAGGCTTGCCCCAGGTCTCCAGCTCGCAGGCGACAGATTGGGATTCAGAACCCTGAACTCCTCTAGCTGCTGAGCGGTGTTGCCCCAAGCAGGGTGGCTGCCCAGGGAAGTCTGAGGCAGCTTCAGCCTCTCTCTCTCCAGGTTGTCTGGACCCTCTGTACAGCCCTGCTGCCTCCAGAGAACGAGGTTCATCACTTAGTCCCCTGTGCACAGTAACTGGCTGGGACTGGGATCCGGGTCAGGGCACAGGCTGTGGAGCTGTACAGGGGCTGAACCCAGAGCCAGCTCCCTCTGGACTGCACGGAGTTGCTTTCGCCCCCATCCTCACTCATTCCTGACTCATGCCAGGCCCTTCCAATTCCCTTCACCTCCATGCTGCCTGCCTGCCTCTGGTAACGCTCCTGCAGGGGAAAAGGCTGTCATGCTGTGTGCCAAGTGGAACCTCATGTCCAGCGTCTGAGCAGACCTGTTGGTTCTGGACACTCTCAGAACACCCTGGGCTAGAGGAGAGAACTGCAGAGTGCCCATTCTTCCCCTGGCAGTACCCTTGGAGCCCCCACAGCCTCAGGGCAGCCTCCCCCCGGGCCCCTTCCTCCTCGGCCAACTCTGGGGTGACATGATTAGCCACCGCCCAAGCACTGACCACCATGCACAACCTATTTCATGTCTGACCAATCCCAGGCTGGACTCTGAGCTCACAGAGAGAAACGCTTCACCGCGATATGACTCTGAGGGCAAGAGGAGTGTCTGCAACCACAGAATCCACACTGTCATGTATGTGTGGACCTCCTACTATGTGCAGGAGTGGTGCTAGGGGCTTTCCATGCACTGTCACAAGGCCACACACAACTTATTTTTCAGATAAGGAAATCGAGGCTCAGAAACTTGCCAGACTTTAACTATTCCACGTCACCAAATTCATCATTACCCTTGGGTCAGATAAACCCTGAAGCAGAGCTGCTCTTCCAGCTCTGCTCCTAGGCTTACCAGAGGGCATGCTGCCCCTTCCTTTACCCTCCACCTCGTCTAGAGTGGAGGCCTATTTGGGCCCACAGATACACTCAACTCTGCTCTAGGTACTAAAAGAGGCAAATGGAAAGAAACTGACATTTGTTAACAACTATTCTTGCTGAGTGCTGTCATGTATTATTTTCTCATTCAATCTTCTTGACTGCCCTATAAGGCAGGTACGACTATCCCCATTTTAGAGAAAAGAAAGTGAGGCTCAAGAACTGAGGTCACACAGTAAGGTATAGGTCTACCTGAATCTAAGACTCACACGAAACCACTTCTTAACTCTGTGTCACTCCCATTGTTGAACCTGGGGCACACACCATGTCTCCTCTGTCCATTACCACCCGCTCCAGCACCACCAATGCCCTGGCCCCATGGGGAGCAGGCCAGGAATGAGAGGGAAAGGGAGTCTGCTTCCTTCCCAAAGCCTGGAGGACCTTAGTGGGCCCAAGACACCTGCTACCCCAGCAACATGCACACTTCCTCCTTAGCCTGATGGTCATGATCCTGGCTTGGCCTCTGTAGACAGGGTCCTTCCCAAGTCCAGGTGTAGTCTGGAGTGATGATCCCCCAGCCAGCTTCCACCAATTCTCCTCCAAGAGGCTGGGCCTTGCTACCTATATTATACATTGGCCCTGTGTCCTCTCATCCCCTAGCATCCTGCTTCAACATGGAGAGGCCCCTGGGACTCCAAGACCTCCTTTGGTTGCACAAATCACTCTTCTGCTCCTACCAACAATATCTTTGAGTATCCATAACTGCTTATTTGTTCCCAAGTTTGCGGAGTCCTTTGATACCACGATTTAAATTGCTGACTTCAAATCCTATGCTAGTTCCTCCTGCCCCACCAGCCATGTCTGCCCTGACTTACTGTCCTCATCATCTGGCCTCTTTGCTCTGAGATCCCAGGAGGCCCTGTGGCCCTGTCTGCAACAGCCATGGCACCTAGTTTCTATCACTGGGTTTCATGCCCCTGACCCTCACTGTCTCTGCCTTGAGTTCCTGGTATCACTGAGGAGGCCCCTGTCATTATCTGAAGGCCACAGTCTTCGACCCCACTTACGTCAAAGTTCCCTAACAGTCTCCTTTTCCACAACTCCCCATGCTTAGACCTCAGCCAAGACATGAGGGCCCAGACCCCAGCAAATGTTACTGATCTTACCCAGCCAGGCCTCTCTAGCCACCATCAGAGCCCTGGTTTTACAGGTACTGGGTAAACTCTTGGTGCAGCTCCTGGATGCTCATTAGGATCAACAGGCAAGTGTACTACAAGCCCCAAATTTGGTTTATCCCTATGGCCACAGCCACAAGCATAACATGGTAATCTGTGTACCCAGAAGGTCACATCTGGGGTAAGAGGCTGTGCAGCCTGTCCAGTGGAGCTCAGGCACAGTCCATCAAGGTGGGGACAAGCATGGGGCCACGGGTTCTCCTTCTCCCCTTCATCTCAGTCTTCTCCCTGGGGCAAGTGATGCTGTTTTAAAACCATATTCATCGTTCAGCCTCAGAGCTTTGGAAACTATGGCCCTGACGTACATTCTGGCCTATTGGTGGGAGACTGAGAACTGAGTAAGTCTGAAAACTCAGAGCTATCCATTTTCCAGTCCTGATCCAGCTCTTAGACTCAGAACCGATCCTGCCATATCCCTGTGGGACAAATGACGCCTATGAGGTTCTCAAAGTCCTTCAGAGAATGTCCAATGTCACCAATCATTGAAACAACGGCATTAAAACAACTCGCCACACCACTCCTGACCAAAATCGCAAAATGAGAAAAAAGAAAGTAAATAAAACAGCTATAAATAAATAAAAATGATGAACCTTTATACTGGAGGGCTGTGGGGACAGCTATACATAATTGGTGTCACAGTAAACGGGCTCAATATTTCTGGAGAACCATCTAGTAATATGTGACAAGAACTATAAAATTGTTCATGCCCTTTAACCTAGTAGTTCCACTTGGGGAATGCCTCCCAGTAAAATACTAAGAAAGTAATTTGTACAGAGATATTCATAGCCATGATATTTATAATAGCAAGAAATTGGAAGGAGCCCAAAGGTTCAGCACTTGGGGATTGACTAAAGCAAACTGGGTCGAGTGAACACTCCCGGATGCTTTACAGCCAGGAGGTGTGGACATGTGCAGTCTGGGGCAAAATGAATGTGCATCCTTGGGCCGGCAAGACGGGAAATAAACCGAATCAGATGGCCTGACTCCAGCTTCAACCATGGAAGCAAACGTGCAGTCGGCTACTTCATGCTGCCTTCATGTTAATTCAGTTAAGTCAGTAAACTTCATGTCAATTATGAGGGTTTTAAAGGTCATTTATTTTACTTTCTTTTTCTAAAGGTCATTTTGAATTAACTGAATTCTTTTTTAAGAAGACATTTAAAATGCTCACAAGGAACTCCGTGGAGGAGATTTCATAACTGTCCTTGTGTGCGCTCATCTCCAGGGAGTCCTTTCTGACATCTCATCTCTCTTTCCTCGTGTCTATGCAGGAGGACCTGGGCTCACACACGTGGCTGGACAGGGGCTGCTGTGGACCGGAGGCGCTGGGCCCTGAGACAGATGTGAGGGTCCCCGGCCTCAGCAGGCCCAGACACTGTGATGGGGCAGTCCCTGGCCCTGATGCTCTGTCGCACCCCTTCCTGAGCCTTCCTTCCTCTGGGGCCCACTCTGTGCTCCATGCTTTCTCCTGTGCCTCAGGAAAAGGTTACCGAAGAGTATGTCGGCCTCTCCTTCCCACGAGAGTGCAGATGACCTGAACACCTTCCAGAGACAACGTCTGAGTGTCTAAGGTGGCCCTGTAGGCAGAGCCTGGGCTTCCTGGCCCCGGGTAGGTGTCCGCCAAGAGCAGTGGTTTCCTCCCCCAGCTGCAGCCTGTCAGAATCACCCAGGGAGCTTTCTAAAATAAAGATTCCTGGGCCCTGCCCTAGAGTCCCTGTGGGCAGAGCCTGGGAATGTGCATTTTAAAAATATTCCTAGGGCTTCTCATGATGCAAACCACTGTTCTAGAGCCTTTGATGCCTAAGAAAGAAGGTTGTGAGCCTGCCTTCCTGGGGTCTTGGGTTCAAAAGGCTCTTATCATGAGCCAGCAGCCATGGTAGAAACTGCAACCCCTCATGTGTACACACACACACACACACACACACGCACACAAACCTTCAGAGGAAGGCCCTGCCCAGTAGCCTAGAGCATCTGGGAGAGCCCTCCACAGGCCCCTGACAGCGCCTGGCTCCCTAGATCCCTAGAGGCCAAGAGCCAGCCTCCGCCTCAGCCCAAGCATGTGTATCTCCCCAGGACTGCAACCTCCCAAGCTTTCTGGTTCCCCACGTCCTGTGGCAGGGTCTCCTGCTGCAGGAGCTCTTGGTCCATGCCCGTGGTCCCAGGTGGGGCAGTGGGGGCCCGCGGCCCCCACCTGCCCAGGCCATACTTACGGAGTCATTTTATAAAGCTGCGTCCTCCTCTCAAACAGCGACCCTCCCCAGGCCCAGGTCCAAACCCCGGCCACTGGTGTGGCCTGGGCAGACTCCGTCTCACCGCCCCCTGTCTCCAGGACGCTCTTCAGCTTCACATTGGCGCTTGAGTCCCCCAGCCTGTTGTCAGGAAACACCGAGAGTCGTCACCCTGCCCCACCAACCACCCTGCCGAGTGAGAACGGGCTGAAGCCTCCATAGTCCTGGGGGAGCGAGAACAGAGGAGGAGGAGCAGGAAGGAACTCCAGGGGTGGGGTCTCTTCCCAGGAGTTTTGGAGCAACTTTCTGAGCCCTATCTGGGATGTTGAGTAGGTGACAGGGAGGGGGTCACTTCTACTGGGCCCCCCTCCAAACTGTTCCTGAAGTAGCAAGAGAGCTGGGGGACCTTGGAGTTCCCCAAAAGCACTGTCTCCAAGCCTGGGATCCTGGGGTCCAGTGTGGCTTTATTTGGGGATCTGGATCTCTTAGCGGGTAGGGGCAGCGGCAGGAGGCAGGACAACTTCCAGGCAATAGGAGGGTCCAGTGTATGCAGGGACATGAGTGTGGGCTAAAGGGGCACAGAGCAAACTAGCAAGATCTCTGTCCCCTCTGAGCCGACTGTCCTCGTCCTACTCTTGCACCCCAGGATCCCAGGGCAAGGGGTGTGCAAAGCTGCCCCTCCCCAACTCCTAGGCCCTGCTCTGAGGGACGGGGAGGGGAGGCCGGCATTGACTTATTTGGGATCTGAGGTCACACAGACTTGAAGGACCTGGTTTTCCCTGTAGAGGCACCGCAGGGTGTTTCCACCCCCATCCTGAGGCCAGCTCTCTCATCCTCCCTGCCCACAGCACACGCCCCCACACACTGGTCTAGGCCCAGGCTTGCCTCAGTTTACTGAGAGCGCCCAGCTGTCAGCAAGGTTTGAGGGAAGCTCTGTGGGGCTGAAGGGAAGCCAGGACACTACCCACTGAGTCCTCCCCCACACAGGTGGCATCGTCGCTGATGCCAGGCCCAAGGAAGGAGGAAATGTGCTTTGTCCTGTTCAGAGACTCTCTTTGTATTTGTAGAGACAATGGACAGAGAGCATCAAGGAACGAGGGGGCCGACCTGTGGCTTCACAGCCCTGGGGCAGCAGAGAAGGGCCAGGGCCACACAGGCCCCACCATGGGGCACCCTGATGCCTGGGGCTGGGGACGAGCCAGCCAGCAGGCAGGGGCAAACTGAGCGGCATCCACTGATGAAATCACCCGCAGCTAGGCAGAGCCCAGGCCTACATAAGCATGGACATAACCATGACTGTGCTGTGTGGGTGGCAGGCAGGGAGTTCACACAGTGTCTGTAATGATGATGCTTGGTTTTCTCAGTGTGTGTCATTCCTCAGACTCCATCAGCTTCTATGTTGGCAAGGATTCACAGACCCCAAATACGTACAACAGTATAAGGGATCCTCTGGCCCAGTAGTTATCAGTTGGAAAACATCCTTTCATGAAGAGGCTAACAGAAAACATAAATGCAAGTGGCTCTGGATGAAGCTGGGGACAGGGTGGGACTAGATTTCCACACTCTCAGTCTCTCCCTCCCCATCACCCTCAACTCCTGCTTCCTGGAGATGCTTCTGGGTGACCCTGGGGCTCCAAATGTCATTTGAAAATCACTGGTATGGTCCAGCTTTCTTATTTTCAGATGAAGAAGCTGAGGCCCAGAGTGGGTAGAGATCTGCCAAAGGTCACACAGCAAGTTGGTAGCAGAGCCAGGGCTGGAGCTAGAACTGAGGCCCCATGACTCCTAACCACTGTGGCCTCCAACTCCTAAGTCAGAGGTGGCCAGCAACCCGACCCATGGTTCTGACCTCCTCCAACCTTCTCCTGCCCACTCTCTGGTTTTCCTGTACGGAGGGACCTGGCATCTGGCACCCCTTCCAGAAACAAGGTCCAGGCAGGCCTGAGTTCTTGGCCCTTCAGCACTAGTTCTGGACCCTTGTGACTGTGTTCTCCGCAGGTGACCTCTTCACTCTCTTGGCTTTCCCACCTATCCATGGGGCTCCCAAATCTACTTCCTGATGGCTCCCCTGAGCCCCAAATGCCTCTGGGCCCCTCCAGGGATACCTCTAAGTCTCCAGGTTCAAAGCAACTCACCTTACTCCAGACCTGCTCTTCCTCCTGTTTTCTGGCAATGTGCATAGTCCTGCCATTCGCTCAGTCATCACCCCAGAAACCCAGGCCCCACCCTAACCCTCCTCATCTCGCCTGTGGCTCCACCCATGAAGCCCTCCTATCGGTCCCCTCCCCTGTCCCCAGTGCCTCTGCCCGGATCGAGGCCTCACATGTCCCCAGCCTCCTTCTGGTCTCCTTGACTGCAGTTCTGCCTGCTCCAGGAACATTACACTTTTAAAAGCCAACCCGAGCATGTCACTTGTCTGCTGACAAGGCTCTTTCCACTGCTCCTCGTTCCAAAGGATACAAACCAAGCTCTTCCATGAGGCTTACGAGGCTGCAGGACCTGCCCCCTGACCCCTCTCCTGCCTTGCTCTGCTGTCTCCCCTCCAGGCTGGCTTAGCTCCAGCCACTCCTAAACTCCCGGCAGATCTCCCCGCAGAACTTCTTTCTCATCTCCTGCCTCAGCACACACCCTCTCGTCTCCTCAGATCAAGGCTTTTCCCAGTGTGCCCTTGGGTACCTGCTTCACCATCCCCTAGCATACTCCCGGGCACCACCCTGCCCAGACCTGCCAAAAGAGAATCTCCGCATTTTTAACACAAATCTGTGGATGCTGCACACTAAATGTCGAGAGGCACTGTTCCGCTGAGCAGCTCCTCTTGTCCCAGCCTCGCTCCTGCCTCAGCTGGGCAATTTCTTCTTTTTTTGCCCCTGTACTCTCCAGGGTGTAACTAACTGCGACTGGATGTCTCCTCTGCTGGGCTGTGAGCTCCATACAGGCAGTGACCACGTCTTCTTCCTCTGACCTGTAAATCCCTGAGCCTGCTACAGAGAAGGGACCAATGAACGGGACCCCCACCTGAGCCCCAGTGCCCCCGGCCAGGAGGAGGTCAGGCTGATCTAGTGACAAGCCACAGCTTGTCTGGAAACCTAAGACACTGCTCCCAGGGTCTCTGCAAGTTACATCTGTCCCTCCACCCCACCCTACCTCACCGTCTGCACAGTAAGGAGACATGTTGGGACTATGTGTAATGGAGGGCCTACGGGGTGTTAACAGTGACATTTAACAACAAGCTCTCCAGAAAATGTCTGCATGCGTAGACTCAATAAGTTTATTATAAATTTTACTGACACAAAGGATGTATAGCACATAATTTACAAATACTAATGAAATATCCAATATTCTTTATTGTAAATTCCATATAGCCAGATGACTGTCCCAGAAATCAACCCATTCAATGAGTTTCGCCTAACTCTTTATCTGTAGCCAACCTACGGTTGCAATGACAAATTACTGTAGTTCCAGCTTAATGCTGCTTGATATTTTCATTTATGTTAACAAGTAAGTTGAAAGTGAAACAACAAAGACATGTCAGAACTTCACTCCTTCACTGGTGGTCGGAGTGACTTCTTTGCTGAATAGGTTAATAGTTTCTGAATACTGGAAAAATCTTTGTTTTCTGCTATTCACCATGGAGCAACTATAAACATGACACCCTTTAAAATGTAATCTGCATTAGTAGTATTTTTTCCCATCACTTTCTCAGGTCTAGACAATCAACAAAACAATAAACCAGGTCTTAATGTGCAGCACCTGTTGACTCCCCTGGTCTAGCCACCCTCGCCATGGCCAATCTGTGATGTGACTGAGCATCGAAGTGCGAGGAGATGCTCAGCAGTGCACGGTCACGTGGCAGTTCCACCCCGCAGACACAACAGACAAGCGCAGGGAAAGGCAGTAAAATGAATACGAAGTGGTGAGTTTTCAGTATATTACCTTTGTAAACATAACTTGTTTAATGTTAAATTTATACCGCTTCTTTTTTTTTTTTTTTTTAATTTTTGAGAGAGAGGATCTTGCTCTGTAGCCCAGGCTGGAGTGCAGTGGTGTGATCTCGGCTCACTGTGGCCTTGACCTCCTAGGCTCAAGTGATCCTCCCACCTCAGCCTCCTGAGTAGCTGGGACTACAGGCATGTACCACCATGCCTGGCTAATTTTTGTATTTTTTTGTAGAGATGGGGGTCTCACCATGTTGCCCAGGCTGGTCTCGAACTCCTGGCCTCAAGCAATCCTCCTGCCTCGGCCTCCCAAAGTGCTGGTGCGGCAGGCCAGGCATCACTAACACAGGCCTCCATAACAACTGTTTCAGTACTGACTGAGTGGTTAAGTCAAATATTAAAAGCTGACAGAACCAGTGCCCTTATACAAAGGCTGGGATGTAACAAAAGCCCACCAAGAGTTTTGCCTAGGCCTTTCCTGGGCCTTAAAGCATGACAAAATAATGAAGGAATTCTTAACAGGCCTCGTTTAAGGTTAAACAAGTTTTATTGGGGGTCTGAAGAAACTCCCCAGGCCTCCACAAATAAGTTTTATTGGAGGGCTGAAGGAACTCCCCAAACCTCCGTGACTTCGCAGGGGACAAGATAAGGAGGGTAATTACCCCTGGCACCTGGACCCATCTAGATTAAGTAAATTTACTGAGGCCCCAGAGGAAGGTCTTCAGGACTCGAATCTTAGTTATAGATTAAAAGAAGTTAATCACTTATGTCTTTAGACGAATGCACACTTACACATAGACATATAGTTTAGAAGATATATAAGCTCTGGAAAACTTTGTAATTTTGAGTTGGTCTGGCAATAATTTCCAGGCCTTCTCCCTGTGACCGGTTACAGAAATAAAAACTCCCCTCTCTCCCAGTTCATCTGCATCTCGTTACTGGGCCTTGAGAATAAGCAGCTGACCCTCGGTTTGGTCCAGGAACACTGGGATTACAGGCGCGAGTAACTGTGCCCGGCCAGTTTGATGCTTAATAACAGCTATGTTGAGCAAAGGGCTTACAAACATTTTCCTTTATTGCGCAATCGATTCTCATGAGCTGTCTGTGGGCCAGTTCCAGGAGAGTCACCCTAAAGAACTGAATGGGACCCTCCATTACTGCCATTACCCAGAGGGCCAGTCCCCTCCCCAGCCCTCCAGAGCCTAGCTTGTGAGCTGCCAGAGCTGGGATCCTGAGAGTCTAACAGACCCTGCTGTGTGATCCAGCCAGCTTGTTTCCACTCTGTGGGCCTCAGTTTCCTCAACTTTGAGGGGGAAAATGGTGCCTCCTAACTCGTGACGTGTGGAGAGAATGAAACGCCCACTTGCCCTTCCCCCACACACTTGGCCTACATACTGTAGTTCGTTCCCATCACTGCCCCCACACCTTACTTGAGACACACCATGTGCTTGTTTTGGGGACATGCCTGCACACCCCTCACCCTCCCAAACCACATCACACACAACAACATGTCACCCCATATACCACTCAGAGACAAGCTCACCTGTAGACAGCTGCCTCCCACACATCACCTCAGACACTCCACAGATAGATTTTCCTCCAGCTCTACCTCACACACAGCCTACCTGCATACCCAAACCACACCCCACAAAGGCTCCCATGCGCATATGTACCCAAAATTCCTTCGTGTGCTTTGTACCCACATGTACTGTGCCAAATACCTTTTCCCTCCCCCCAGGCATTTCACAGAAATGGATGCCTCACCCTGCCCACCACAACCCACTGACACTCCAGACGTCCCCCTGCCTTCCCCTGTCAGCACAAGCATGCGCACCACACACATGTGCCCATCATTTATTTATACTTCTCTCCAAACTCACACCTCACAGCACACACTCATGCCACCCCCACGCACAGGCATTCCCATATGGCCCTCACACACTCAAGGCATTCCCATATGGCCGCACATTCCAGGACAGGAGACCCCAGCCAGCCCTCTGAGCCCATGCCCTGGATTAAGGAGAGTGAGGGGCATCCTGGTAGCACGAGGTGGGAAAGCTAGGGTGCACTTCCTCGTGGTGACAGCTTGCTTCCCTGGAGGTCAGGCCCTGGCTTGAGGTGCAGGGAGGACTTCAGAGAGCTGAGAAGGGATAGGACAGAACTGTTGGCTAAACACCTCTGTGTCCTCCAGATCCAGCCTCAGGCGGCTCCAGCAGCCAGCTCCTTCCTGCTCTCCCCAGCACCCCCAACCCAAACAAGGACACCCATCTGCTTCTGGAAGCTCCTCCCATGCCCTGTGAGAGCGGGACTCTTGGGGGCTTAAGGGCCTTGCCCAGGCTGCAGTGAACGCTGAGCCCAGGCTCCCCTGTCACAGGGAGGGATCAGAAGTCACAGGGCCCTGAGCGAAGGGGCTAGTGGGAAGGTGAGCAGGGAGGCCAGGGCTCCTGCTTCCAACTCCACAGGTGCTGTCAGGACTCCAAGGGGGTGCTCCTTTCCTATGCCTTGCCAGACTGAGGCGGTGGCAGAGGCACACACTGTCATTGGCTGTCCCAGCCCTCAGCTCCACCTGAAGGTTGGACTCTATCCTGTCCCCCAGTCATCATCCTGTACTCTTGCCCTGTCCTTGCCCCCACCCCCAGCCCATCAGCAGCAGAGCTGAGTCCTGGGGTGAGGGGCCTCTGTCTGTCTGCTCCCATCACCCAGCATCTGTGCGGCCAGGGTAAGGGCCTGCCTCCTGGACCACCCCATCATCTGAGCAAGGAGGAGCCAGTGTGCAGCAGATGCTGGGTGGGCTCTGGGGCCCATGATGGGCAGATGCCAGCACATCTGTCTAGGTGGTCCCAGGACACTCTAAGAGCAGCCTCAGGCCAGACCGGGTCCTGATGGGCACAGGGAAGCCATCTCAGGGGTACACCCCTTCTTACAGCGCCACCCAGCGATAATCCAGAGTAATGGCTGAGGCCTTAGAGAGCAATGGTGAGGTATGCGCCACCCACTTCAGAAAGCTCACTCACTATCTTGCATTCTCCTCCCACCTCTCTCTCTCTCACACACGCACACACACAGGCCACTCCAGACTGATCCCACCAGGCTGATGCAGCCTGTCCTCTCTAGACTCTACATCCTGGTCCTTGCAGAAGATGCTGCCTTCAGATTTCCATGGCAACAGCAGACAGCTGCCCTGACTGATGAGTTACAGTAAACCCTCTCCTCTCTGTCTAGCTGAGGGGGTTTCCAGGGGACACAGGCTGAGCATCTAGGCCTGGGCTCCAGACTTGGGTTAGTCATGACAGAGTGACTCTAGGACGGGCCAGCCTCCACACCCCATCTTGCCCAAGCCCACCTCCTCTTCACCTTCTGGCCCTTTGAGAGATTGTTTAAAATGGCAGAGAATAAGCCATGTAAGCACCAAGGCTGTGCTGAGCTACTCTACCATCCCTTTAGCCAGATGTGCCATGTGCCTCCCAGTGACAGTAACACAGGAACATACACCCATGCACATGTATGAACACAGGTACAGTACACACAGGAACATGTACACAATATTCACACAAAGTGGAAATCTCCATGGCTGCAGAGACCATGTGTGCATGCATGCTGACACATATATGGAGGAACACATACACACATACATATGCCAGGACACACATCAAGGTGTATGCATAGATATGCCACAACAGACATTCGGGCTGGGAGATGACATGGCATGCAGGTGAGGACATGTCTACAGGCTCACACATATCCATTCCAATTGATGGAAATGGACATGGGCCCACAACTGTTCCCTACTCCCACTTGTGCTCTCTCTCTGTCTCTCTCTCTCTCTCTCTCTCCAGCCCTTGCCCCTGCCAGGCCCAAGGAGGGGCATGTGGAAAGTCAGAGGACCATAAAAGAATCAAACCCTTAAGAAAGGGCTGTAATCAAAGATACAGATGAGACTGTACACATCTGAATCTTACTATATTTCTAGACTAATAAATTAAAAATCTCAACACAATGAACTTTCTAGAAAATATAAATCTCTAAACTTAAAAAGAAGTAGAAAAGTTGATTAGATTAATAACCATAGAAGAAACTGGAAATGTTGCTAAACAGCTCCAGACAAGAAAGGTGCCAGACCAAGATGAATTTTGGGACAAGTATTTCAAACTTTTTTTTCTTTTTGAGACAGAGTCTCGCTCTGTCGCCCCGGCTGGAGTACAGTGGTGAGATCTCGGCTCACTGCAAGCTCCGCCTCCCGGGTTCACACCATTCTCCTGCCTCAGCCTCCCGAGTAGCTGGGACTACAGGGCCCGCCACCACGTCTGGCTAATATTTTTGTATTTTTAGTAGAGACGGGGTTTCACCGTGTTAGCCAGGATGGTCTCGATCTCCTGACCTCTTGATCTGCCTGCCTTGGCCTCCCAAAGTGCTGGGATTACAGGCGTGAGCCACTGCGCCCGGCCAAGTATTTCAAACTTTTAAAAACGACAATTATTGGCCGGGCACGGTGGCTCACGCCTGTAATCCCAGCACTTTGGGAGGCCAAGGCAGGCGGATCGCGAGGTCAGGAGATCGAGACCATCCTGGCTAACACGGTGAAACCCCGTCTCTATTAAAAATACAAAAAAATTCGCCGGGCGTCGTGGCGGGCGCCGGTAGTCCCAGCTACTCCGGAGACTGAGGCAGGAGAATGGCGTGAACTCAGGAGGCGGAGCTTGCAGTGAGCCGAGATCGTGCAACTGCACTCCAGCCTGGGCGACAGAGCGAGACTCTGTCTCAAAATAAATAGATAAATTAATAAATAAAGATAAATAAATAAAAACAGACAATTATTGAGTTAGAGGAATCACTCAGCAATACATAAAAAAAGATGAGATGCAACCAACTAATTCTGCAAGGTTAATCAAACCCTGATATAAAAATCTAACTCCCCAGAAACCTAAAACTCCAATACTTAATAGCCTTACTTATTAAAAATATATTTAGCATTCTCAATAAAAGATTAACAAATCAAACCTAGAAGTAAGTTGAATGAAAAATGTAACATGCACCATATAGAGCTCATTCCATTTCCGGAAATGGAAAGATGGTTTATATATGAGTAACCCTATTAATCTAATACATCACATTAATAAGCCTAATGATAAATGTCGTAAGTTTTAACAGATACCAAAGAGGTCTTGGATAAAACTCAGCACTCATTTTTGGTTAAAAGAAATTTATTAGTAAACTAGGAACAGAAGTATAGTTGACAGGATAAAGAATATAACTAAGCATTGTTTTATAAGTTCTAGCCAATGCAATAATTTATTTTTTCACATAATTATTAGAAAAGAAGATAAACTGATCATTATTTGCATATCCAACTGTCTACCTAGCAAAATCTAAGAAAATTAACTGAAAAACTATTAGAATTAATAAATAAGTCAGTGGCATTGATTAATACAGAATAACTACCTGTAAATAAATGGCTTTTCTACATATCAGAAACATCCAATTTAAAAATATAATTAAAAAGGTCCGGCCGGGCACAGTGGCTCACGCCTGTAATCCCAGCACTTTGTGAGGCCAAGGTGGCCGGATCACGAGGTCAGGAGATCGAGATCATCCTGGCTAACACGGTGAAACCTCATCTCTACTAAAAATACAAAAACAAAAAATTAGCAGGGCGTGGTGGTGGGCACCTGTAGTCCCGGCTACATGAGAGGCTGAGGCAGGAGAATGGCATGAACCCAGGAGGCAGAGCTTGCAGTGAGCCGAGATTGCACCACTGCACTCCAGCCTGGGAGACAGAGCGAGACTCCGTCTCAAAAAAAAAAAAAAAAAAAAAAGGTCCTATTCACACAAGCAATAGAAAAAATAACCTATCTAGGGAAGCTTCACAAGAAATGCCTTCGACATACATGAAAACAAACTACAATTCTATTAATAATAAAACAAACTATAAAATTTTACTTATATTAACATCCTTGATAAAAGGAGATGCATCCCCTGTTCCTGTATGGAACTGCAATTTTGTCAAATAAATTGACAGGTGTGATCCCATTCTAATCATAAATGCAGCAGAATTTTTTTTCAACTGGACAAATTTATTCCAAAATTCATCTGGAGAAATAAGCCAGTTTTCCAAGTTAGCCAAGACAATTTTGTAACCGTAAAAGAATGAGGAGGCATT
This sequence comes from Homo sapiens, assembly GCF_000001405.40. Lineage (NCBI taxonomy): Eukaryota > Metazoa > Chordata > Mammalia > Primates > Hominidae > Homo > Homo sapiens. Next base: position 8,052,121 of record NC_000011.10, on the reverse strand, counting down.
TGCCATGCCAGTTATCAAACTGTGCTATGAATCTCCAATAAATCATCTGTACTAGGAAACTGTACCAAAAACAGTGGTATCGACGTGAGAATGACCAATGGACCAATGCAGTACAGAAATAGTACCATGTATATAGAGGAAATTGGTTTACAATAAAGATGGCCTTTCAAAATACTGAAGAAACATTGGATTATTTAGTAAGTGGCTTAGAGATCAACTTGCTATCCATTTGGGGCAAATAAAGCTATATCCCTATTTCACATCACATACAAAAACAAATAACAGAGGATTAAAGGTTTATTACAAAAAAGAAAACTGTTAAGTAGAACATGTTAGAGAGTATTCTTCTAGTCATGTGCAGGGAGTGGGGGAGCTTTTCTAAGCATGTTCCTAAATCCAGAAGCCATAAAAGTTTATTAGGTAAAAATCACCGTCTTCTATATGGCAAGAGACACTGTAATTGAAGTGAGTGCAAAGCTGGCGAATATGCAGTGAGGGTGGCCCTTCAGATACTGTGCGGAGAGAGTGGATTGATAGCCTTTCTGGAAAGAAATGTGATAATATGAATGTATCAAAGAACTTTAAAGAGATTCATTCTTTTTGAGCCATTAATTTCATTTCTCTGAAGCTATTCTAAGAAAGTGATCACAAGAGTACAGAGATTTATGTACAAATATATTCATCATTGAGAATTTAGAAATTATGGAAATAACCAAAATAAAGGAATGATTAAATTTCAACAAATCCATAAAAGAGCTATTATATAGCCATTAAAAACAGTATTTTCCCGATAATATTTAACAATATGGGAAAGTATGTTACATGAAAAATTTAGATGACAAAACAGTTTACACAATGTCATTAGGATATAGGCACACACAAACATATGTAATTGCCACTTGTGAACAAACTCATACTGCACATTTTTTTCAGGTAACACCCGAGATCATTTTCAAAGTAGCACCTAAGAATTTAAGCCCATTTTTTTTTCAGTAACAAAGAGCAAAACACAAAGCAAATAAAAGAAACAACTTCATTTTCAGCATCCACTCTGAGATGCTCACTACTCCACTCCCCGGGCTCCCCTCCTGACGGTTCCCAGTGGAACAACTGGTCCTGGCCGTTAGCTACTTGAAAGCTTCCTGTCTCACCTTGACTTTAAGCTTTTCCTCTGTTTTAATGGTCCTACTAGTCTTTCTTTGGAGAATATGTGTGCAATTGTCTCATAAGATTACATCCCTCAAAAGGATGCAATTTTATTGTGGAACCAGTAAAAGTTAAAAGATTATTGAAAGCATAGGAAAAAAGAGCTAAGAGACAGAAGAGCAGAAAACACATTTTCTTTAATATCTTCTAGTTAGATGGCACTTATTTTTAAGATGACAGACTTCGCTGAAGGGAAAAATAAAATAGTACTTTAACCAGGCCGTTTTATTTATGGAAAGCTTTTTGGCCTTATTCACTTTTTTAAAAAAAATGAATTAAGGATTACCAGGAGTGGGTGAATAAGTAAAAGATTAAAAAGAAATACATGAATGAAAAGATGCTCAACTTCATTATTCACCAGGAAAATGTAAAGTAAAACCACAAGACCACATGCAACACACTCACCAGAACAGCTAAAATAAAAAGACAGAAAAGACCAAGTGTTGGTGGAGATATGGGACAGCTGGGATTCATATATTGCTGGTGAAAGTGTACTGGTACAACAATTCTGGAAAACTTTGGCAGCATCCACTAGAATGGAACATAAGATTCAGCAGTTCCACTCCTAGGTACGCACCTCATGGAAACACAGACGCATGCACCAAAAGATATGTACAAGAATGCTTATAGCAGCACTATTCGTAACTGCCAAATACTTTAAACTTTCCAAATGTCCATGAACGGTAGAATGCATATACAAACTACAACAGTCACACAATTGAATACTATACAGCAATAATAAATGAACTACCGTATAACTACATACCTGACATACATGCATCTTGCAAATTAATATTGAACAAAATAAACCAGCCTCAAAGAGTAGATAATAAATTATCCCACTTATATAAATGTCAAACACAGGCAAAATTAATCTATGATGTTAAAAGTCGGGATCACTACTTTGGGAGGGTGCATTTATCAGAAAAGGGCTCAACGTGGGCTTCTAGGGGGCTGGCAAATGTTGTGTTTCTTGGTCTGGGTAGTGTTAACATGACTGTCTGTGTTCAGCTGTGCAAATTCATCATAAGCTGTCCACTTATAATTTGTGTATTTCCATGTTACTATATATACTTCAATTAAAAATTTAAAGATGAAAATTAATCAAAATGTCAGTAGGAATTACCTCTGGGTGTTGGAACTATAGGTCATCTTATTTTTCTTCCTTATATTGTTTTATGTATTCCAAATTTACTACAATGAATATGTAGTGATTACATACATATGTTATTATGGTTATATAATAAAATTACATAATAAAATTACACAATAAAAGTAATGTGATTTTATTTTATATGTATGTGTGTGTGTATCTATCTATCTATCTATCTATCTATATATATATATATATATACCACATAATACCACCATGGTTCTAAAAGGTGCTGTGAAGGTGGCCTGGGCAATAAGCCACTACTTCTTTTCCTGAGGGGTATGCATTGTCTCTTTGCTGGGCCTCGGCCAGTGGTTCTCAAATCTGCCTGGACATCAGAATCACCTGGAGATCTATTTAAAATTCAGATTCTTGGGCCCTACTCTCAATGACTCTGATTTAGTTGGTCTAGGATGGCCTCCAATACGGCACCCTTCAAGTTCTAAAATAGCAGGATGACACACCATGGGGTCTGAGCTGTGGAAGCCTCAGCTCTTCCTACTGGATGGGGGTTGGGAAAACCTGCCTGGGGCACTGAAAGTCCCCTTGGGTTAGGCTGTGAAATGAAGACTATGCCATAGGGTTTGGTAGCTTCCTAGAAGGGCAAGGGTTTGGAAAGCACAAGGTAGCCCATGCTTTGGGCCGACTACAGAAGAGAGAGGATGGCAAAGCAGGTAAGAGCACGAATATGGAGTCAAATAGACTTGGGTTCAAATCCTGCCTTGCAGTAAGCTCTCTATGTTTGAGGTTAACCACTTTGAGCTTTAGCTGTACCATGGGAATTCATAGGGATTCTCATATCTCTTTGACAGAATTACGAATATTAAATATGATAATTTATGTAAAACAATACAGAGTCTGGCATGCAGTAATGTCAAATGATATATGCTATATGTAATATTATACTTAATTGCATATATTTAATCTTACATATAATTACATAACATTACAACATTACATATTATATAGAGAAATATATTAATTGATATTGAGTATGAATAGTCCAAATTATGGAAAGTCTGATGCTCTGATGATTGTTTTAAAAAATACAGCTTTCAGCCAGGCATAGTGGCTCATGCCTGTAATCCCAGCACTTTAGGAGGCCAAGTTGGGAGGATTGCTTGAGACCAGGAGTTCCAGACTGGCCTGGGCAACATAATGAGGCCCTGTCTCCACAAAAAAGAAAACAAAGATTTAGCTGGGTCTGGCAGCATATTCCTACAGTTCCAGGTCCTCAGTAGATTGAGGTGGGAGGATCACTTGAGCCCAGGACTTCTGGGCTGCAGTGAGCCATGATCGCATCACCATGTTCCAGCCTGAGTGACAGAACAAGACCTCATCTCATTAAAAAAATCTAAAAAAGAAAACAAACAAAACAAAAAGCACCTTCATCTATTGTAGTCCCTTTTTGTGGACACTCTAAATTAAAACATTCATTCACTTATTCATTCATTCATGAAGTCTTTGAAAGCTTTCCTCACCAGTTATTAACTATGTGACCTCAGGCAATTTACTTAACCACTATGTGTCTAATTTTTCTTCCACAAAATGAGAATGATAACAGTACTCACCTCATAGGGTTACTGTGACTATGAAATGAGTTAATGTGTGTAAATGGCCTAGACTCATGTGTGGTATAAGTCCTCAACAAATGTTAGCTATTATTATTCATTTGAAAATTATTTACTGAGTGCTCACTGTGTACATGCACTGTAGGCTGAGGACACAACAATGAAAAAAAAAAGATACAGCCCTGCCTTCATGGTGCTTGTAATCAAATGACAGTGAAGGATATAAATAATTATTAAAATGGATGAGCAAATGGGACCCTTTCTAGCAGAGTTATATTGCATGGTGGCACATCACAGTCATCAAAGACCTTCATCACATCCTATTCTAAAATCTCTTTTCAAGAAAAATGTCCTGTGATGCATCAGGCTCTTTGTGGCACAGTTTCTAAGTCACATGCAGGAGATGGCCCAGCCACCCCAAGGACCCTCCCTGGGGCTCAGGCTCCGTGCAGGTTTGGATGATTCATCAGGGATCCCTTTGAAACAAAAGGTATAAATGCAGCAATGGCAAGTTCCTTAAGTCTAGCCCCTGTGCAGTAGAGCAGGGAGGCAGCACAAACCCTCAAGCTCAATATTGCCTGAATCTAGGAGGAAGGCCCTGCTGCACAGAGCCCTTCTGCTATTGGGACTCCAGGCCACTCGAGGGCATCTGGCCTTGGATCTCATTTCCACCAGCCATGGCTCCACACCTCCATTCCTTCATCCAGTGCACTTATAATGAGTACCTATTCTGTGCATGGCTTTCCACTGAGGGTACTGAGCTAAGCAAGATACGTTCTTACCCTCAGAGAGATCACAGCCCAGTAGTAGATTTGGATGGAATCATGATTGATATAAATTTACTAAGACTTGTGATAGAGTTTAGCACTGCATGTGATTGAGGACATCTGAGTAGGCTTCCTGGAGGAGGTGATACCAAGTCTTGAAGGCTGGTGAGAAGTCTACCAGGTGAAGACAGGGAAGAGCACTACATATGGAAGGAGTCACAGGTGAAGCCCAGAAATGGAAAAGAGTACATGAGTTTGGGGGGCTGGTGCAGCTGGCAGTGGGGAGAGGCAGGAGAGGAGACGATGCTGGAGAATATAACAGGAACCAGATAGTAAACAGCCTTTTGTCTCCACTAAGAATGCAGTGCTCTGTGCTAAAGCTTTAGAGCAAGCTTGTCCACCCTGCAGCCTGCAGGCTGCACGTAGCCCAGGATGGCTTTGAGTGTGGCCCAACATAAATTTGTAAACTTTCTTAAAATATTATGAAAATTTTTTGCGAATTTTAAAAAAGTGAAGCAGCTGTCGTTAGTGCTAGTGTATTTTATGTGTGGCCCAAGACAATTTTTCTTCTTCCAATGTGGCCCAAGGAAGCCAAAAAATTGGACAGCCCTGCTTCAGAGAATCCACTGAAATACATTAAGTGGGGGATGATAGGATCCTATCTATGCTTTGGAAAACTGACTCTGGCTTCAGTGTGGCCCATGGCTTGGAGTAAGATAGGCTGGAGGCAAAGAGGCAGTTTGCAGGCTGCTATATAGTCACTTAGACTAAATACCGTGAGGACCTAGGTAATCTGGTGGTCAGAGAGAAAAGAAAGAGATGCACAGATTTGGGCCTAACAAAGAATATGAAATTGAAAGGATTTTATTTAATTAAATATCAGGGAATGGTGAAAAAGAGGTCACAGTGGCCTTTAAGATTTGGGGCTGGGTTTCCCCCAGGAGATAGGAAATAGAAGACGAGGGACAGGTTGGTGAGAGAAGATGTTAGTTTGGATGCATTGAGTTTGAGGGGTCTGTGTGATATCCAGTTGGGAATGTAGAGTAAGCACTTAAAATGGTGAGCCTAAAACTAAGGAGAGACTTCTGCCTTCAGTCACAATGGAGTAACAGGGCCTAGATTTACATTTCTGCCTTAACATTTAAAAACCGGTGAAATAGATGAAACGACAGTTCAGACATTGGACAAAAGGTGGTGCAAGGCAATGATCCTGAGGAAAGAGAACAAACAAAGTGAACCCTGCAAGTGCCCTGATTATTCCCTGGAAAGGGTTTCCAGAAGGAAGAGCTAGAGAGTGAGAGAGCAAGAGACTGAGAAAGAGAAGGAGGGATGGAGGGAGGGGAGGGAGATAACGCACAAATGTGCTTCGGAGGCCTGTAGAGGGCTTCCCTTATCTCTGGCTGAGTACTGATCTGCACATGCTTGTGAGAAAACGACCCAAGGCTGGGGAATGAACCACAGAGAGAAGTAAGCAGAGCAATCTCAGAAATTCACAGAAGGGTGGAAATACTCTGTGTTCCCACCAGTCCGAGCAGAAAGACCTCCTAATACACAGAACATCAGATCAGGGAGGGTCCTCAGAAGAGCACTCTTTAGTAGTGAGGCCAACTTAGCCCTCGGCCAAGGGCTGCTCTGGACCTGCCCTAACAAAGCCTAAAAGAAAACCCCAGAAGGATCCAACTGATTCCAAGTATAGGATGAATATCCCTTATCCAAAATGCCTGAGACCAGAAGTGTTTCAGATTTTGGATTTTTTCAAGTTTTGGAATATTTGTATTATACTTACTGGTTCAGCATCCCTAATCTGAAATGCTCCAATGAGCCCTTCCTTTGAGTGTCATTTGGCTCTCAAAAAGTTTCAGATTTTGGAGCGTTTCAGGTTTCGGATATTCCGGATACTCAACCTGTAACTTAATTGTTTGTCAGAACAAAGCCCACCATTAACTATTAAAGGATAAAACAAAGCCCAACATTGTAAAATCCAAAACATTTATCATCTAATCAAAAATTACCCAGGCATTCAAAAAAGGAGGAGGAGAAGATGCATAACTAGGAGAAAAATCAATCACCAGTGCACACAAGAAGAAATATATATTTGGTCTTTGTCCCCAGTTCTTGACACAGAGCTTCTAAAACCCTTGGAAATTCTTGCATGATAGGAACATCTTTTTTATTCTCAATAAGCCACTTTCAACCATACCTGAGTTTATTCTAATGAGGTGACTCTTGGTGGGCTCCTAGATAGCTTAATGATGGAGGCTGGCTGCCAAAGGAACCAACCATGTGATTAGAGGATTAGAACTTGCAGCTCACCCCTAAGCCACTGGGGAAAGGAGAAGGGCTAGAGATTGAGTTCACTCACCAATGGTCAATGATTTAATCAGTTGTACCTATGTAACAGGACCTCCATAAAACCCTAAATGACAGAGTTTGGAGAGTTCCTGGCAGGTAAACATATCGGGGTGCTGGGGAGGTGGCACACCTGGAGAAGTCATGGAAGCTCCACGCCATTGCATACCTTGCCCTAGGTGTCTCTTCCATTTGGCTGTTCCTGAGTTGTATCCTTTATAATAAATCAGTAAAGAGTAAATAAAGTGCTTTCCTGAGTTCTGTTAGCCATTCTAGCAAATGTTCATACCTGAGCAGGGGTCCTAGGAACCCCCAATTTATAGCTGGTTGGCCAGAAGTATAGGTGACAACCTGGGACTTATGAAATGGGGGAAGTCTTGCGGGACTGAGCCCTTAAACTGTGGGGTCTGCATTAACTTCAGTTATAATAATTAGTACCAGAATCAAATTAAATTGCAGGACCCTCAGTTGGCATCTAGAGAGTTGCCAAATTGGTTGTTGGTGTGGAAAGAAACCACACATTTAGTGTTAGAAGTGTTGTGGGTAAAAACAGTACAAGTAGGAAGACACAGATGACAGAATTAGCAGACATAAATGTTAAAAGAGCTATGATAAACTCACTCCACGTAAAAAAGATAGAGAAAAATATGACTATGATGAGGAGAGAAATGAAATACATAATTAAGATGCAAGTCAAGCTTCAAGAGATGAAAAACATAGTATCTAAAATAAAATATATACTTCATGGAATTAGACACTGCAAAGCAAAGATTCGTAAATTCAAAGGCATAGGTAGAAATATTTCAAAATAAAACACAGAAAAATACTGAAAAATGAAAAACTCTGGAACAATATTAAGCAAGCTAACATACACATAGTTGGAGTTTCAGGGGAAAAGTCAGAAAAAATATTAGAAGAAATAATGCCCAATGTTTCTTCAAATTTAATGAACACCATATACCCATATATCCAAGAAACTCAAAAGACATTCAGTGGAAGAAACGTGAAGAAAACTATACCAAGACATCACATAATCAATTGTTGAAAGCCAACGATAAAGAGAAAAATCTTAAGAGCAGCCAGAAGAAGGGGGGTGGGGTGGGGCAGATGCTCATTCTAGACAAATGTATTCAACATTGTACTGGAGGTTTTAGCCAAGATGATTAGGCAAGAAAATGAAACAAAAGGCATCCAGATTAGAAAGGAACAAATAAAACTATCTCTACTCATACAAGACATAATCTTGTGTAATAAAAATCTAAGTTATCCACTAAAAAATGATTGTAACTAATAAACAAGTTCAGCAAGTTTGCAGGATACAAGATCATTACACAAAATCAGTTATACATAGTTCTATACACTTGCATTAAGAAAGCAATTCAATTTACAAAAGCATCAAGAAGAATAAAACACTGAGGAATAAACTGCTAAAAATAAGTGCAATATTATACATTGAAAACTATAAACTTCTTTGAAAGAAATTAAAGAAGACCTAAATAATAAACAAGAAGACATCCTGTATTTATGGATCAAAAGACTATATACTATTAAGATGGCAATACTCTCCAAACTGATCTACAGATTCGGTCCAATCTCCATTAGAATACTGGCTGGCTTCTTTGTGGAAATTGACAAGCAGATTCTAAAATTTGTAAGAAAAAATTAAGGGATACAGAATAGCCAAACAACCTTGAAAAAGAACAAAGGTGGAGAACTCATCCTGATCTCAAAACTTACCACAAAGCTCCAGTAATCAAGGTAATGTGGTACTGGTATAAAGATAGACATATAGGTCAAAGCAGTGGAATTGAGAGCCCAGAAATAAACTTACATTTACAGTCAACTGATTTACAACAGGATAGCGAGACCATTCAATGGAGGTAAAATGGTTTTTTCACCAAATGGTGCTGGGACAACTGAATATCCATATTCAAATGAATGAGTTGGGACCCCTACCTCACACCAATAACAAAATTAACTCAAAATGATTCAAAGACCTAAATGAAAGAGCCAAAACTATAAAGCTCTTAGAAGAAAACATAGGCAAAAATCTTTGTAAAAAATCCTACAGTTTCTTACATGTGACACCAAAAGCACAAGCAACAAAAGGAAACTAGATAAATTAGACTTCATAAAAATGTAAAATATTGGTGTTGCAAAAGACACCATCAAGAAAGTGAAGACAACCACAGAATAGAATAAAATATCTGCAAACCATATATCTGATAAGGGTCTTGTTTTTACCTAGAATATATAAAGAATGCTTCAACTCAATAATAAAAAGGCAACCCAATTTAAAAAATGGATAAGAGATATGAATAGACATTTTTCCAAGGAAGATATACAAATGGTCCATAAGCACATTGTTAGTCATCATTAGTGATCAGGGAAATGTAAGCCAAACCACAATGAGATACTACTTCACACTTACTAGGATGACTATACTTAAAATTGCAGATAATAACATGTATTGGCAAGAATATGAAAAAACTGAGACCCTCATATACTACTGGTGGGGATGTAAAATGCAGCAACCACTTGGGAAAACACTCTGACAGTTCCTCAAAAGGTTGAACATAGATCCTAGGCATATACCCAAGGAGTGAAAACATATGTCCCTATAAAAACCTGGACACAAGAGTTTATATCAGCATTATTTATAATAGCTAAAATGTGGAAACACCCAAATGTTCATCAATTGATGAATAGATAAAGAAAATGTGGTATATCCATACAATTGAATATTATTCAGCAATAAAAAGAAATGAAGTATTGATAAATGCTATGACACAGATGAACCTAGAAAATATTATACTAAGGAAAGAAGCCAGTTACAAAAGACCACATATTATGTGATTCCATTTACATGAAATGTCCAGAATAGGCAAATCTATAAAGATAGAAAATAGATTAGTGGCTGCCTAAGGCTGGGGGGTGTAGGAAAAGGGGGAGACTGCAAATGGGTATGGGTTTTCATTGGGGGGAGTAATGAAAATGTTCTAAAATAAATTGTAGTGATGGTCATACAACTTAAAACCATTGAACTGTACACTATAAACAGGCAACTTGTATGGTATATGAATTATATCCCAATAAGTGGGTAATGTGAGAGCTTTGAAATAGTTGTGGAGGAATTGGAGCAGGCCCAGGTCACAGGACTGCTGGGCATTGCTGGGGGCTCGCTGGAGGCTGCGGGCCATGAATTTGGACCAATGTCAATTCACGAAGGAATTCCCCCCACACCTTTAAACCAGGACTAGAGAAAGCAGGCAGTGACCCTGCTCTAAGGTTGAGGTAGGAGACTAAGAGGCCAGGTGGTGAATGGTGGGCAGTTGAAGTGACAAGCAACAGAGCTCAGATAGAATAGGAACAAGAGTTGATTCAGAGTGAGGAGAAAAACTAGGGCTCAGGGGCCTGAGGTCTCTATGAACAGACATGGTGGAGATATGGGAGGCAGAATGCATACGAGGTACACAAAGATTAAGGTTTCACAGGTGGAACAGTTTCAAATGATCCCAAGATGCCAAGTAATGGGTGGATGAAATGGAGATGATATTCTTCAACAAGTTGAAGACAACAAGCCAAGATTCTCTTGCTTTGCTATATCCCTAAGTGGCTGGACCATTAACTTTGCCATTAATTATGACTATTCCAAACCTACGGAGATAAGTCAGCCCTATAAGTCAGCCCTCAATTCCAAAGATGCCTGGCTCCTCATCTCCCTACTTACAGCCCTGTGTCACCATGGGGGAAACATCATGCTTGCTGGCACCATCTTGAATTGTGCAGTTTTACCTGATATTAAGGGATACTGGCAGAGCCTTTCAACAGGGAAGAGCCATTCAACGTGAAGTAGAGAGATACCAAACACCAGAAATGAGCCAGCCCAGAAACCCAGTATGGCCAAGAGTCCCTGCCAGGCAGCCATCAGCTGTAGACATACAGTTCACACTATGCTCAGAACTTCCATTCACATAAGGCAAGGTCATGGCCAAAGGACTACTCACTCCTGAGAAGCCCCTTGACTCCCACACAGTGATGCTGGTTCCCTCTCCTGCAGTACAGAGAAAGAACCCTGAGCAGGTGGCCTGCGTTCTAATTCTGAGTCTACCACAAACTTGCAGTGTGACCTTGGTTCAGAACCTGAGGCCTGTTTTGCCTGTTACACAAGGGGTTGGATGTGGGATCTCAAAAATTTCTTGCAGCCTTGACAGTGGGTTCAGGAAGGAGGCTGTCATCAACTTATATCACTCAAAATACACCAGCTGCACATGACAAATGAGCTGAAGTCTCAAGCCTCATTAACAGTCATCACAGCAGAGTCATCCCTCTGGGGTTCACTACTTGCACCCCTCCTCCTCCTACTGCTCCTTCCCAAGAGCCTGTGAAGTAGGCTCAAGTGATACACCCTCCCCCACACCACTGTCTTTCTCTTCATGAGATTTTCTTTAGGCTAAAAAGTCAACCTGGTTTGAGGCCATGTGTAAAAAAGGAGAGCAATGGGGTCCCTGCCATGAAGGCCATACTCGAGACCCCTGGCTCTCCACAGAGCTTCCCTTTAGGGCGCCATCATCACAAACCCCATCAGAAACCCGGGACTGACATCCATGAGGAGGCAAAGCAGAGCCCCAGGTGCCCCCCATTTCTCTGGCCTGGTCCCTTGGAAGGACAGACAGACTTCCCAGGTGTTGGGGACGCCCAGCAGACACTCTGCAGCTGGGGACAGGATCCTGTCATTTTGCCTCATCTGTACACAAGACAGCACCCCCTCCTTCACAGGGCAGTTGTTTATGACCATTCTGTGGGCCAAGAAACATATCCTTGGGACCCCAACATGTGTAAACAACAAATGAGGTCCTGGTTAGGAGCCTTAGGCAAGACCCACCTCCTGATGTTAGAAAGCAGGCTTGGGACGGCACCCCGGGGCAGGGCATCTCCACATCTGGGTGTTTGGGCAATGGGAGGGCAGGGGGGCTGGAGGCTCTGCCACCATGATTCCCTCTGTGGTCCTAGGCTATGGTGTGACCACATGTAGAGGACACCTCCTTTCTGAGAAGGCTTGGCTGAGAGTCCCAGCACAGGCTAGTGAACAGAGCCCAGGCCTCTGGACCTGCTCATCAGCATCACCCGGTTAGAGTCAAGGCAAAAAGACCACAGGAGGATCCAAGAGGGACAAACCCAAGGCCACAATAGTCACACACAATAAGAGCAGGCTTTGTCCAGTGGTCACACCCTCCCCTAAACCCCATTTCACACACACACTCCCAGGCGCATATGGGGTTCATGGCCCCTGAGCCACCCACGTCTTCCGCCCACCTCCCTCACAGTCTCCTGTGGTTGGCCCTTTCCCAGGGCCGGCACGCCCTCCTCCCCTCCAGCTCACCGAGCGATCTCCCTTCCTTCCTTCCAGTACTTCCTCCTGGTTGTTCTCCTGAGGAGGAAAAGAAGGGGTGACTCTCCACATCCTTGCAGCCTCACCTCATCATCCCTGCCTGCTGCCTGGCCACACCTGGTCACTCAAGGCCTCCTTCAGTGCCCTGGTCTCAGCTGCCTCAGTAGGTGAGTTACGTGATGGATCAGGGTAGAGGGACTTCCATAGAGTGCTCACTCTGTGGGCCCCGGATGGCAGGCAGGCAGGCAGGCAGTCCAGATGAGGGCAGTGATGACCTGAGCCATGGGAATGAAGCACTGGGGGGTGGGGAGACAGGCAGAAGCTGGAAGGAGGAGCCCTCCAGAAGAGGCAGAGGGCCGGAGTGTGGAGCTGCCGGAGCCCTGGAGGCTGGGGGAGAGGCCCTTACTCCCATGGTGGGGGACCTCCCTGAGGTCCTGGGCAGCTCCTGGAGTAATGAAGCCTCCCTGATCACCTGTCTGGAGCAAGAGGGGTTTGCGGGGATATACCTGTGGGGCTCCACGTGGTGATAGGGGAGCAGCACCATCAGGAAGGGGAGGCCTTGGGACTGTAAAGGGTTGAGGTCAGTGAGGGTGGGTGGGTGGAGCTGACGCAATGGTTGGGCCCATGGGCTAAAGGCAGGATGTTGAAAGCTTACCGATCTCTTCGGTGGCCCCGTTTCAGGGGCCCAGGTTTCCTGTGCTGCTTTGAATGCTGAGATCCCATGGGCCAGGGAGTGCCTCCTGGGAACAAAATCCCTGTCTCGGCAAAGAAAGAAACCCAGAAAGAAGGCAAAGGTGTCCTGGCCCCCATCGTGGCCACAGGATGGAGTGGGTTTAAGGGATGGTCCCACTTCAGGCTGCATAGTAAGACCTGGAGCCTGTTGAAATTCCCTGTATTCGCCTCAGTACTGAAACCAGCACTTGGATGTCTCCCTTCATCACCGTGGCAACAGTCAGACTAACAACCACCATCACCCATTAATTAGGACATGGAAACATCTTCTGGTCGCAGTCTCCCCCCAAACCCTTCAGGACCAGACTGAATCCTCAAGGTCTCAGTGGCCATGCCACACAGGGACACCCAATTGCTGGTTTCCATGGCAACACGGAGGCCAAGTCTCTCTGCATCTGTGGGTTACTATAGCAACCCAGGCAGAGACAAGTGCACTGCGGACAAAGGCCCCATCTGGAGGAACCACCGAGGACACATTCACTGCTGCCCTCTCTGCGGCCAGCTCTGTGCTAGGGCTCAGGCTGTGTGCTGGGAGGGGCACACATCGTGCCTTCTAGGGACTGATGGAAGATCTAGGATTTGCTTGTCTGTGTCCTCAGCCTCTTGTCCCCTTGCTTCACCTGAAATGCACCTGGGTGTTCCCATCCACTCACAAGGCTTCATCTCCCACAACTCTTACATTGAGAACATCCAAGGCTGCATTGTGGACCCAGCCCTCTTCTAAACTCTACCTACCTGCTCTCTGGACCCTGCACCCCGGATGTCCCACAGCACCTCACGTTGGGGTATGTAGTTTTGGACTTCCTGTGAGTCTGAACATTCACTCTATACATTCTGTCTCTGTGAGTGACATCACTCAGCCCCTTGAGGCACCATCGTAGCTTTCTGCTTTTCCCTGTCCACCTTCCTCCACCAACCCAGACAATCATCAAGCACTGCTCATGCCATCTACTGAGCATCTCTCAATTCTATGCACCTCACCTTCCCTAGAGCCACTTCTGAGCTAGGGCCTTCCTGTCTGTTGCCCAGATCTTGGCATCATCATGGGCATCTACACCTAACTTGCTCCTCTCAAATCCATCCTGCAACTGACACCAGAGTGAGCTTCCTAAGATCATGTCCTCCCAGCCTACTTAAACCCTTCAGAAGACCCCCACTTCCTCTGGACAGAATCTAAGCTACTTTAGTCCGCCCGATGATCCTGCCAACTGTCCAGCCTTATCTACTACCAGGCCCTGGCTTTAACTCCTAATGACAACATCACCTTCTGTCTGTCCCTTCCCTCCCTCCAGCCCCACTACTTCCCCTCCATGTCCATCCTCAGCCATGCTCTTGTAAAAATTACACCCAGATTTTCAATGAGAACTTGGAACAATAATTAGGAATCTTCAGAATCCAATTTCAAGTATCAGAAGGAAAAGTGATACCCAGATGCAAAGCTGGACATTGCTGACCCCACCCCAAATGGACGCTGGAGACCCAGACCCCTCATCTGCTAAGCAGACAGACTGTAAGTGGTCATGGAAGAAGGGTGCAAAAGTGAACACATTCTGTTAACACTCATGGCCTCCAGAAAACAGAAGAATCACGGACATCAGCTGAGAAGCGCATCTCATCCTTCCCCTCCCATAACACTGTTGGGAAAATCAGGCTCAGAGAAAGGAAAGGTCAAAGCCAAGGCTCCCAATATGGAGTCTTCCATTCTCTCTGCTTGGACACATGCCCCAAAGCTGCACAGCCAGCCTCAAGGGAGTCAGTGCAAGGGGCACACGCACAGACATCCTGCATGCCGGCACCTGCCAGGTGGGGAAGTGGACGTGTGCATGCACCTGCAACTGGAGACCTCATCCTCCATCTCCCAGAAACTCTCTTTCAGGTGTCTTTAGTCTTGCTACAGGTGGAATGAGACCCTCCAGTCAGAGTAAAAGGACATCTCAAAGCCAATGCTCAGGCCAGCACTTTCTCAAGCACAACATCCTCCCTGGTTTCCTTCCTGCCAAAGCTCTCAGGTTTGGTCACAGGGTTAAACCAAGGAAAGTGGACCAGGAAAAAAGGTGAACTTATCAACTGTAGATGAAGCCAGCTTCCTCCAGGGAGGTCCATTCTTACCTTAAGGCTGGACCATGGGGCCCGTGCTACTGAGACTTGTGCCATGACCCCCTGGAGGACAACCGGGGAAAGATGGTCAAACAGAACCTCAGGGCTGGATAAACTGCATCTCTCAAGGGTCATAGCTCCCTGGGGCAGGCAGCCCTTTTGAGGCTAAGCTGCTGGATGGTGATTATGAAACCTCCTCATGCACACTCTGAGCATCAGGGTGTTTGCTCTTCCCAGAGCGGTCCCTCCATCTTTGTAGTTGGCCATTGCTGCTTCACCTAAAGCTCAAACACACCTCCCTTCAGTCCTAGTTCTGTCCTCCATGGCCCCACAGAACATGACTCTTCAGTCGGTCACAGTGCTTTGCATTAGTGCACTGAATGGTGAGCACAGCCTTCTAAGAAGGATGCTATCATTGATATTTCACAAAAGGGGAACCTAGGACTCAGAGAGGGGAATTTAAGTGGCAGAGTGCATAGGAGGAACAGGAACCATGTATTCCTATCTGCAGGAAAATAGAATGACTTACTACTGCCAGGCTAGATGACCAGCTGGCTCTGTGCTGCAGTAGGGGCTCAGAAGGGAGATTACAGAGTGGAACAGGCAGGGCAGAGGTGCTTCTGATACATGTCCCCTGAGACCCTCAGGCCTCCCACCGTGACAGGCATCTGGACACTGTGACCAGCTGGCCTAGGCCTGGACCTCGACATAACAGTGTCTCAAGTCCCAGATATAATTTGGCATCTTGGGTACCCCTTCAACACTGATCTTTCTAAAATGTCTGTTTACCTTTTAGGCTAGTGGAGCACAGCCAGGGGAGGACAGGAGGAGGGTATTCTCTGGAGACAGGTGTGCCCCCCTACTGACAGACCCTGCTCAGCAGAACAGAAGCCCTTCAGCGAATGAGACCTACCCTCTGCGGAAGGCTGGTTAGGAAGCATCCATGTCTACTTCAGCGTCTCACCTCCCTGTCACAAACAGATCACCACAGTTTTCCTCCAGCCTCATGCTGTCCTCCCCCTAGAGGAATGTGGGTACATGGAATGTTCTCCACCTCCATGCATGTCCAGTGACGTTTTGGATCAGCGTGTCAGGGACGCTGTCAGGCGTGCCTGCTTGCACTCATCCAGCCCTGGCTGGATGTGATTCTACGAGCAGAGCAAGACCAGCATGTTCTGTCCTCCAGTTATCACAGCAGTTACTCTGGCAACCTGCAGGCCCTCCCTGAGGTGTCTGACGGCTGAAGCAGGGTCCAGTGGGATGGAATGAAGGATGGGCACCCTGGAAGACAGCCCATGGAGGGGCCCTTTGGGTCCCCTGCTGCCCTGGGCACCTGCGAAGAGAGAAGCTGAGCCACCCTGCCTGAGGCAGTAGGCAGTAAGAGCTGAAGGGAGCAGGAGGTTAGGGCCCAGCGGGAAGTGAGAGCAGTGGGGCCAGCACCAGGGTAAGCTGAATAAAGCTCTCGCCTGAGGCGCAGAATTTAAAGATTTGCCAAAAAACTCAGCAGCCAAGAAATTTAATACTTCCAGCAAATCAAAGCAAAACTGTCCATGATAAACAAGACTGGAGTTAGGGTAAGGCAAGTGAGGCCAATACAAGGCCCGCAAATCCAGTGTTGTATCTTGTCTTTATTAAAGGTTTGATTTTGTTGTATGTGCTTTGCATTCATTTTGATTTAAAAAAATACTATATTGAAATATCATTTATCTTAATTACTGAGCTTGTTCGAGGTCCTTTGAATGTTGCACTTGAGGTCAATGTCTTTCTAGCCTCACCCTAGTCTCAGCCCTGGAGGGGAGGGACAGACTGAGTCAGGAGCAGGAAGGAGCACAGTGCCATTGAAAACGCATCATGCGACAAGGAGCCGGGAGACATGGGTTCCCATCTGTCCCCTTCACAGATTCTCCTCAGTTCTGATAGAATCAGATTCAGATTTCACAAGACTGCAACATGAATATTGCTGCTGGGGAGCACAGGTGCCTAGCATGCACATGGACCCCCTCCATACAGGGTGATAGTGAGTCATAAGGTGGCACCCACCTCCTGCCCTCCGTCAGGTTGTCTGCTAAGGGGAGGAGATGGGAGAAGAAGGGGAGAGGGGAATGGAGGGGGTGGGCAGGGAAGAAGCTGGCAAGTTTGCATGACTGGGAGCAGGAATGGCAGATGAGCTGTAATTGCCTGAAGCTGAGAGAGGCTGTTGATAAATGTTACTAATAATCAACCTTCAGATCTGACACCCAGCTCAGGCTGGGATTACTGTTTTGAATGGAAATTGAACCCAAACCAATAATTACCCTGGTGAGCGATGCCAGTCTTACTCTGGAGCCTGTTTTAGGCAGGGAAATCGCACCTGCATGTCAGTACCAGCCCATGAGGTAGATGATCCAGCAAAGGACTCCCTCCTGGGGTCACACCAAGAGCACAAACTGGCCTGGACTCTGCCAACACAATGGGCCACAGTATCAACAGGAATGCTCACCCTCTTCCTAGAGCTTACAGTGGGTGAGGGACTCCCACCCATCATTGTCAATCTTCAAGCAGAGTCCAGACCTCAGACCCCACTCCCACTGTCCTTCCCCCTTGGGCTTCATGGAAGTCCCTTGTTGACATCATCCCATGCTGTCAGAGCAGGTGCTTAGGGGGAGGGGTGGCTGTCCCCTAAACACAGGTGCAGCCCTCCAATCCTCTGTCTGGGACCCTTGGATAGCCACACGTTGCTGTTAGGCTGGGAGGCTCTTGGAATGGCCTGAGCTGGGGCCAGGTGAGAGGGATGAGGCCACAGTAGGCCCCAGAGCCCATCGCAGCCCTTGCCTCTGGTCCCTGATTGCTCCCAGACAAGGCCGGGTATGCCCCAAAATTCTACCTGGAAACAAACGCCTATTCTCCGGCCCTCCCTGTATCCCTGCGGTGCGTTTCAGCCCGTCTAGAGAACTCCTAGAATGCTGGCAACAGCCAGAACCAGGCCAGAGGGGGAAAGGCTGCAAGACAGCTTCTCTCTGTGAACCAATCCCTCTCCCCAGGATACATTCTGAGCTTGGGTCTTTATCCCTGGCTTCTCCTTCAGGCAGCTTGACACTAAAAATGCATTCACCAGACAAACTATGGTGGGATGAATGACGACAGCAGCACTCTGCTGTTTACACATTACACCCCACCAAACACCTCTGCCATCTCTGCCGTGCCAGGCCCTGGGTTGGGGCAGGTGGCCCCGAGGAGAATAAGACGGTCCCGCTCTCAGGAGTGCCTGGTGGGGAGGAGTATAAGCAGGCAGGTAATTACACTGCAGGCAGTTCCTGAGGGCCCCTTCAGAAGGGGTCAATATGTCCTGAACTACAGAGTCTGAAGAAGTCCATGAGCTGCCTCAGGGGGCAGGCAAAGCTAATCAAGCCTGGTGGGATTCAGAGTGTGTCTGACCACAATCTTCAGGCTGAAACTGGGCGAAAGGCCAGCAAGTGTCAGAAACTCCCGGAGTGCTCAAACTGGGGCGGACACCTAGAGAGTGCCATCTTGTGGCGGCACAGCAGGAATGCAGCTCTGTCTTCGGGCGCCGGAGTTTCCCGGAGTCTCCCGGAGTCCAGGCCCTGAAACGGACCCCTGAACTCAGACGTACAAAAGGGAACCAAGGAAACGGCTTTTGTTCTGTTTGCAAAGGCTTGGGGCTTGGAGGAAGTGGGGCACGATGGGCCCCAGGGTGTGGAAGCGACAGGGAAGCGGGCAGGCGAGGGGCGGTGCCTCTGGAGCTCCCTGTCTCCCAGGTTCCCCCCCAGATCATATTGGCACCCTCTAATTATCTGTTCGGCAGGGTCTCCCTACCACTCTATCGGGACCTCAGCACTGTCACCAGCCAACAGAGGGAGTGACAGAAAGCCCATGCCCAGAACTGGCCTGCTTAGTCTCTCGGGTGACAAAACAGATTTGGGGGCCCAGAGCAGCTGTGCTCATCGGCAGTTAACTCGCCTTGCTCCTGTAGCCTAGGGAGGGGCTCACTGACAACTTGGGGTCAGGCAAAGGTCCTCCCTCAGCCCTCGGCTGTCCTGTTAGATTCTGAAATTGTTGCCCCAGTCATTTCCTCTCTTGCCAGAGGAAGGAATAGTGACCAGATGTGAGGTGAATGGTCCCCAAAGAAATGTTCCCAGGTGTGGAGAGCCTGGCGTGAGCCAGATGTGCGGGAGGTGCAAAGGGAGGAGGGAGGATAGGTGCCCAGGTGTGAGGGAGAGGAAGAGAATGAACACGTGTAGGTTAAAGGGAAGTATGCCCTGGGAGAATATCTCAGGCATCGGCAAAATTTTTTCTTGAAGGGCCAGATCTGAGGTTGTAGTGTGAAAGCAGCCATAGACAACATTTAAGCCGATAGATGTGTCTGTTTTCCAATAAACAGTTTTTTAAAACAGGCTGCTGCCCACTCGCCATGGCTCACTGATCCAATCCAAACTTGCTGCCCACAGGAGTGTCCGTCCATGCTGATCATGGAGGCCACAGTGCAGTAATAACTTCATCCCAACATCTGCCAACAAGTACCAGGTGTTCACCGGCTACGAGCCTACTTCACTGCTGCCTTGTAGGGCGATACTTGGTGGTAGTTGGGGGTGGGGGCGGCACTTGTGGTGTCACAAGGCTATAAAGGGTCAGGACTGGAGTAGGAAAGTCCAGGGTGGGGAGAAGCTTGGCCACTGTGGACCCCCAATCTCACTCCTGCGCTCCCGGCCTTTCCCCAGGCCTTTCCCCAGGCGCTCCCGGCCTTTCCCCAGGCGGGACACTCACCTGCAGTGGGAGGCTCTGTGCAGTCGCGGCTGCTCCCCTTCCTTACCCCAGGGGGTCTCTCTCTGTCCAGCTGCTGCCCCTCCAGCCCCTTCCCGAGCAGGAAACTCCCAGAGCTAGGCAGGGGGATGGGACCGAACTGGCCCAAGGACACGCCGCCAGACAGATGACACCCCGCGGAAGGCGAAGTGGCCCGAGGGGGGCGGGGGAGTAACCCTGCACCGGGACCCAGGGCCCGAGCAGAGGCCAGACTGGAATCGACCCCTGCCCTGCGAGACTGGCCCTGTGGCCCCCAAGCTGTTCCAGGACACGCCGTGGGCCTGCGCCAGCCTCCCTACCCCAGCTCCTGTCCCCTCGCAGGTGCGGCCACTGCCAGCAGATCGCGCATGGCCAGCTCGGACTGGTCCCTGGGCTCTCCAGTTACACTAAAAGTGAGACCAAGGAAGATGGTATCGAGGAGGTGCAGGCTCATCCAACATTGATGCGGCCCCGGATTGCCCCACAGCCCCTCACCTCACGGCAGACCGAGGTCCCCGCTCTCAACTCCCATG
Source organism: Homo sapiens (assembly GCF_000001405.40). Classification (NCBI taxonomy): domain Eukaryota; kingdom Metazoa; phylum Chordata; class Mammalia; order Primates; family Hominidae; genus Homo; species Homo sapiens. Next base: position 8,031,545 of record NC_000011.10, on the reverse strand, counting down.
GGTTGGGCCTGGCAGGGAGGGAAGGGTCCTCTACCCCACCACAGCTCACTGCCCAGGGTCACACAGGGTCTCTTTGGCTCAGCGACCTAAGCGGAGCTCTAGGCACAGGGGCTCCTGCTTAATCCTTGAGTGCTTTTAGGGCTTTTAGAGCTCACCAGCCTCCCAGAAACTGCCCAGGCAAGGTGCCTGTGAAAGCAGGCCTGTGGCCCCCCATTAAGTGTAATCTTGGGCCCAGGAAAGGGCCAGTGTACCTGACCTCCTTCCACTTCCCAATCCTACCTCTTGACCCCACCAAATGCAGGGCAAAAGAGAGGATCCCCCCAGTCCCACCCCGTTCACACAGTCAATTCCACCATACATACCTGCTTCCATAGAAGCACACACAACTGGGACACATCTACATGGCTGCCCTTGGTGGCAGGCACACCCCTGTGCACACACCCCACCCAGATACACTCTTACTGATGCACACACTCAGATGTGCACACAGACGCCTTCTCTCAGAGCCCAACCCGTCATTGCCTCTGTTGTCTGAACACTTGGTGATGGAGAGGACGAAATAACACCCAAAATGTCAGACTGTGGAAAGAGGGGCTGGTGTCAGGAGACAGTGTCCTTTCGGGACACTGTGGTGTTCCTGGCATGGTATTTAGTTGGTCTGCAGTGTCTAAGGGGGCATGGAGGCAGAGCCAGGCTGGGATTGAATCTTTGTAGAGGAACGTGACCTTGCAAAGAGATAATCCTAGGCTGCTGTTATCCTGGTGCCAGCCCTCCCTGACTCCAAAGCCTCCCCAGATCCAGGGACCGCTTCCCCCGGACCTCAGCTCTGTGCTCCTCATTCTGACACTAGGGTCCCATCTGCTGGCACAGTTCTCTAGCATTGTTCACCTGCAGAAATCTGCCTCTCCCCAGGACAAAAGCATGGACAGGCTGTTCCCTAAGGCCTGCTGACTTCTGAACCCCACTCCCCAACACACATACATATCTAGGGTTGTCTTTGTTCATATTCAGATCAGAAGACCAGGACACCTGCCCAAGGCTGCAGAGGAACACACACCTGAGCCCAGAGATCTAACTGCTGCACCTTCAGGACAAACTACATGGCTTAGGATAGACAGCAAAGGTGTGAATCTCCCCCAAGCACATGCTGGGCCAGAATCTCCCAGCTGAGACTCAGGCTCAGGATTTTCCAGAGTGAAGGCAGTAAGTATCAACAGATACCCATGAGCCCCTACTTGGCAACTGTTCTCCAGACTGTAGGCATAGCTGGAGCTTCCTTCCACTTTTGGTCACAGATACAATGTCCCTGCCCAAGGTCTTTTTGCATTTGTTGGACTGCATCCAGTGACCCTATCTGGAAAACCACAGTGCCTGATGATGTCAAACTTCAGCGCGGGCAAGTCCCAAGGGATCTGAAAAGTCCATGCCCCACCTCCATACCCGACTCCCCTCTCCACCATAAATCACCCTGAGCCCCAGTTACACCAGCTGGATGGGAAACAGACCACCCCCCACTCACTGCCCTCTAACGCCATTCCTCATCGACCCTCTGTACACTGCCCTCATTTGCCCCATCCAGTCCAGCTGTCTTGGTACTGTACTGCTATAAATCCATCAAAAGAGAAGTAGCTGCACTCAAAAAGTTCTAAAACAAAGCAGAGCCTCCAGCCCCCTGCCTCTGGTAGCCACCCGACTCCTCTGGCCAGCAACCCCTAAGCTGGCACTGCCACGGCCAGGACCTCCAATCCCAGCTGTCCTGTTCTCATCCCTCCACCCTGGCCTTTCCTATCACAGAACACACACCGAGGCCATAGGTCATATACTCACAGAATGTCAGAACTAGAGAGTGCTCAGACAGGCTGGGTGTGGTGGCTCATACCTGTAATCCCAGCACTTTGGGAGGCTGAGGCGGGCAGATCACCTGAGGTCAGGAGTTTGAGACCAGCCTGACCAAATTGGTGAAAACTCGTCAATACCAAAAATACAAAGATTAGCCAGGCATTGTGGTGGGCACCTGTCATCCCAGCTACTCAGGAGGCTGAGGCAGGAGAATTACCTGAACCTGAGAGGCAGAGGTTGCAGTGAGCCGAGGTCGCACCACTGCACTCCAGCCTGGGAGAAAGAGCGAGACTCTGTCTCAAAAAAAAAAAAAAAAAAGAAAGAAAGAAAAAGAAAAGAACCTGAGGGCCCAAACTTTAAAAGTGGAAGAAGCACATATTTTGTTAAGTTCTCCTCGAAAGGTAAAGTCAGCTTAGTACGAAAGGCTACTTTTACAATAAGAATTTGGCTACTTCTTCAACTCAACAAAAACCTAACTGTGCAGAGAATATCACCAGCAACTGCATGCTTTGTTTGGGAACCCGGGGCCAGAAAAAAGCCACAAGAAGATATGTTGCAGAAGAGACCAGTGTGGGCCAGAATCCACCTTTGGTCACAGATATAGTGTAAAACAAGAGTCAAGAGTCCAGAAATAAACCCATACATTTATGGCTAATTTTGGGGTTTGTTTTTTGTTTTGTTTTGTTTTTGTTTCTTGAGACAGGTCTTGGTCTGTTGCCCAGGCTGGCATGCAGTGGTGTGATCACGGTTCACTGCAACCTCAACCTTCCAGGCTCAGGTGATCTTCTCACCTCAGCCTCCCAAGCAGCTGGTACTATAGGCATGTGCCACAACGCCCAGCTAATTAAAAAATAAATTTTATGGAGACAGGGTCTCACTACGTTGTCCAGGCTGGTCTCAAACTCCTAGACTCCAAGCAATCCTCCTACCCGAGCCTCCCAAAATGCTGGGATTACAGGCATGAGCCACTGTGCCCGACTCACCAGTTGATTTTTGACCAGGGTGCCAAGTCCATTCAGTGAGAGAAAAAGTAGAAACAAATAGTGCTGAGACAACTGGATTTTCTTTCATGCAAAAGAATGAAATTGGACCACAACTCATACTATATACAGAAATTAACTCAAAATGGATCACTGACATAGATACAAGCTCTAAAACTACAAAACACTGAAGAAAACAGGTAAATCTTCATGGTCCTGGATTTGGCAATGGATTCTTAGATATGACACTATAAGCATAACCAACAGAAAAAAGACAAATTGGACTTCATCAAAATTAAAGCTTGTGCTTCAAAGGACCTTATCAAGAAAGTGAGAAGACAACAATGGGGAAAAACATTTGCAAATCATACATCTGAGAAGAATTTAATATTGAAAATATGTAAAGAACTCCTATAACTCAACAACAAAAAGACAAACAACCTAATTAAAAATGATAAGAACTTAGACATTTCTCTAAGACATAAATGGTCAGATAAGCACAAGAAATAATACTAATCATTTGTCACTGAGGAAATGCAAATCAAAACCATGATAAGATACCACTTCCTAGACTATACTAGGATGGCTATAATAATAATTATAATAACAACCCAGAAATTAACAGGTTATTGGTGAGAAGGTGAAGAAATGGGAACCCTTGTACATTGCTGGTGGAAATGTAAAATGGTGCAGTCTTTGTAGAAAACAGTTTCACGGTTTCTCAAAAAGCTAAAGATAGAATTATCATTACCAAACAGCAATTCTACTCCTAGGTTTATACTACCCAAAAGAATCTAAGACGGACTCAAATAGATATGCGCGCACCAATGTTCACTGGAGCATTTTCACAATAGCCAAAAGGTAGAAACAATCCAAGTGTCCATCAACAGATGAATGTATAAACAAAATGCTGGCTGTGCACAGTGGCTCACGCCTGTAATCCCAGCACCTGGGGAGGCTGAGATGGGCGGATCACTTGAGGTCAGGAGTTCAAGACCAGCCTGGCCAACATGGAGAAACCCCGTCTCTACTAAAAATACAAAAAATAGCCAGGCGTTGTGGTGGGTACCTGTAATCCCAGCTACTGGGGAGGCTGAGGCAGGAGAATTGCTTGAACCCGAGAGGCAGAGGTTGCAGTGAGCTGAGGTCGCGCCACTGCCCTCCAGCCTGGGAGACAGAGCAAGACTCCATCTCAAAAATAAATAAATCAATAAAATTTAAATTTAAAAAATTTTAAAAATAAACAAAATGTGGTTTATGCAAACAATGGAATTATTCAGCCAAAAAATATATGCTACAACATGAATGAATCTTGAAAACATTATGCTAAGCAAAATAAGCCAGACACAAAAGGAAAAATACTGTATGATTTCGTTATACGAAATATCTAAAATAGGCAATTTATAGAGACAGAAAGTAGATTAGAGGTTACCAGGGGCCAGGATGGTGATGAATTAGAAATTATTTCTTAATGGGTAGAGAGTTTCAGTTTAGGATAATAAAAAGGCTCTGAAAATAGATAGTGGTGATGGTTGCACAATACTGTGAATGTAACTGATGCCACGGACTTGTATACTCAGAAATCATTGAAATAGCTCATTTTATGTCATACACATTTTACCACAATTAAGAATCCCAATACAGGCTATACACTAGGAATGAAAAATCAGAAACTGAATTTTATAAACCCTTTTATAATATCATTGAAAAATATGCAGAATTTAGGGATACATCTTACAAAAGAGGTTAAAGACCTATACACTGAAAGCTACAAATATGACTGAGAGAAATTAAGATGATCTATCCCCTCAACAGATATAAATATATAGATACCATGTTCATGAATTGGAAGGCCCGATGTTACTAAGATGTAACTCTCCCCAAATTGATCTATAAAGTCAACAAAATCCCAATCAAAATTCCAGCAGGTTTTTTGGGGGGATGGGGGTTAGAACTTGAAAAACTGATTGTTAAATTAATGTGAAATTGAAAAGGCCCTAGAATAGTCAAAACAACTTTGTAAAAGAAAGACAAGGCTGAAAGTCCTGAACTGCCAGATTTCAATACTTATAAGTATTTTTTGTTATTGGCATCAATAAAGACACATAGATCAAGATAACAGAGTAGAGAGTATAAACTTACAAACAATAATCAACTGATTTTCCATAAAGGTACAAAGGCAATTTAGCAGAAAAAAGAAAGGTTTTTTTCAATGAATGCTGCTGGAACAATTAGATACCCATTTTTTTTTTTAATGAATCTCATACCATATGCAAAAAGTTAACTCAAAATGTAGCAAAGATCTAAATTTAAAATGTAAAATTAGAAAATTCCTAGAAAAACCTTTGTCACCGCAAAGTAGGCAATGATTTCTTAGATACAACATCAGAAGAACAATCTATAAAAAAACTGATAAACTGGATTTCATCAAAAGCAAAAACTTCTCTTGAAAATACATAAGAAAATGAAAAGAAAGCCACAGACTTGGAGAAAATATTGCAAGTCATATATCTGATAAAGGAGATGCATCCACAGCATACAAAGAACTCTCAAAACTCAAAAAGAAAACAATCCAACTTAAAGATGGGGAAATATTTTAACAGAAACTTCTCCAAAGAAGAGATATGGATAGCAAATAAGCACATGAAAAGATGCTCGACATCATTAGTCATCAAGGCAATGCAAAATGAAACCACAATGGCATACCACTGCATAACTGTTAGAATGCTTAAATGAAAAAGACTGGCTGTGCCAACTGTCACAAAAACGCAGAGGAATTGGAACTCTCATACAATGCTCATGAGAATATAAAATGGTCCAACCTCTTTGGAAAAGTTGGGCAGTTTCTTAAAAGATTAAATGTAGACCTATTATATGATTCAGCCATTCCACTGCTTTGCTAGGTATTTGCCTAAGAGAAACAAAAGTATACGTCCATACAAAGACCTGTACATGAATATTCACAAAAGCTTTATTTGTAATAGCCAAAAAGTGGGAACATCAACAGGTGATGGGATAAACAAACTGTGATATATCCATGAATACTACTCAGCAATAAAAGGAAATGCTCTACTAATTTATGCAACAGTATTGAAGAATATCACAATAATTACACTGTCTGAAAACGGCCAAACAATAAAAGGTTCATACTGATTATTCCATTTATACAAAACTCTAGGAAACGAATCAGATCAGTGGTTCCCTGAGGATGGGTGGAGTGGGTGCGGGGAGTTGGGAGAAGAGCAATAAGGAAGTTTTACAAAGAGGCAGAGGACACACAGGTTTCCATGCTGTTCCCAAACACACTAGGCACACTCCTACCTCAGGACGTTGTCACTTGCTGCTCCTTTCCATGGAACATTCTTCCCATTAACCACATGACTCATTCCCTCGCCTCTTTCAGCTCTTGGATGAAATACCCCCTCCTCAGAGTTTCCCTGACCACACTATATGACACAGCACACACACCACCCCCAGCATGCCCATGCTGTCAGACTCTCTCCTCCAGACTCTGCTTTTTCTGCTTTGCACTTTATCATATTATATAAGCCTCTTAGCACTGATACATTAAATATATTTGTCCATATCTCCCCCAACTAGATGGTAAGAACTACGAGACCACAGACTTTGTTTCATTCTGTCTCCACTGCCTAAAATGTTGCCTGGCATTTAGAAGGTGTTCAGTAAATGCATATTGAGTGAATGGACCCACCTTAAGACGTAGCTACCATTATTATTGTCTATTTGCTGATGGAGGTTAAGTCACTTGTCTAAAGCCATATAAGCAATAATTTAAGGACCTGGGCTGCAAAGCCAGGTCACTTTGACCCCAAAATCCAAGTTCTGCGCAGTGATGCTACTTTGTCTCAGAGTCTGAGAGGTCACACTCACACACACAAACATAATTGCAAAACAATGCAGTCAGTGACTGCCTGTGGAAAAAGAAATCAATTCACCCCTCCTGGAGGACAATCTGACAGTAGCCAACATTGGAAACTAACAATCCTTCTTCAGAAGTTTGTTTTAATTGAATAATCAAACATGAGGGGAGAATGTCATATATACAAGATGTTCAACACAAAATTATTTATAATAGCAAAGAACTGGGAAGAACAACAAAGTCCCCACAAGGGAGTGATTGAAGTAGAGTGGAAATGAAGTGGAGTCAGGACGTGACAGAAGATGATGCCTGATGTGATCAATTTTTCTCCAAGGAGCAGGAGGCAGGGCCATTTACATAACACACGGGGTGCAGATAAGGGTCAAGCAGAGAGGGGTCTTGAGAGTGCGGAAGGTTTGGAAGGGCTGTTGTGGGCAATGGGAGTGAAGTTCATCAGGGAGAAGCAGAAAGACTGAGAGATGGCATTGGTGGCCCGGCCGAAGATGAAGACCATGAAAGTGGTGACATCCTGCACAGGCAAGTCATTTTTGTTGTAGGATTCTAGTGTTATAAGAAGAAAGGGGATAGAGATTTTAACATTGATCCACGCCGGGCTAGAGTCGTGCTGAGCATACGTGAGGGAATAAAAAGTGCTGGAGTGAGTGACTGAAATAATCTACCATGTAATACAAGCTGGGAAGAGAAGAGAGGCCGGGAAAAGGCTGGTAGGCCATGAAGGCAGACACCTTCGTGTTATGGCAGGAGTAATGTATAAGGAACATGCCTGAGGTCAGAGAGCTGGCAATTCATGTGTATGAGATTAGAAGTGAAGCAATTCCAGCTGTCATCATCTAGGAATTTATCCTGTGAATAACTGAAGAGAAGGGTCTAGAATGGGAAGGTCCAGAAATTGGGAGTGAAGAGTGCTAGTTTGGTCACTGATATGGGCACTGAAGCCTTTGAGGATAACGACTGAAGCTTGAGTGGAGACAAAATGGTTAATGGGGTGCCAAGCTGTGGAAAAAAATGGACTTCATGATACCCACTTTGTGCCAGTCATTTTACATAGATCTTTTCCTTTTATCTTCATCACAATCAGTGGTATAGATAAGGAGATTTGGAGAGGTCAAGGTCAATGTCCAAGTTTTGAGGAGTCCGTTTGGCTTGTGGATGCTGACTAGAGAATACAGTTATCAGTGAAAGGTCTGATTTTAAACCTATTGCGTTAAAGCTGTTGGCTGAATGTCTAGATGGAGACGTCTACAGGCATTTAGAGATGTGGGACTAAGTCTTGGCAAAAAGGCTGGAGTTGAAGATATAGATTTCTGTGTTAGAAGCATTGCGTTGATAACTGAGACCAGGGTGTAGCCTGAGAATAGAATGGAATAGAGTGAACTGGAAAAGAGGAGCACTTTGGCATGTGCTCAGATGTGGACAGTGGGGACCTAAGAGGAGCCAGAAATTGTAAAAATGTAGGCATCATATTTTGGTAGGTTGGAAAAATGGCCATAGATTTTCAGCTCCTGCCTCCAAGAGGTAAGGCCTGTTTCCCCACCCCTGAAATGTGGGCTGGCATTTTGACTGACTTTGACTAATACAAGGCAGCAGAGTGATGTGCAAGTTCTAAACCTAGGCCTCAAGAGACCCTGCAGCTTCTGCTGTCTCACTGGAATCCCTTCCACCACCATGTGTGCCAACCTGAGTGAGACTGCTGCAAGATGAGAAGGCACGTGGAGAGAAGGCCCAGCTGCTCTAGCCTTCCCAGCCGGAGCACCAGATATGTGAGCAAGCCCAACCCAGAAAAGCTGAGCCTGGCCCAGACCACAAAACTGCCCAGCTAAGCCCAGCCCAAATTGCTGATCCACAGAATCTTGTGCTAACTCAAACAGTTGTTTTGTTGTTGTTGTTTTGTTTTTGTTTGTGTGTTTTTTGTTTTGTTTTGTTTTGTTTTTGAGACACAGTCTTGCTCTGTCGGCCAGGCTGGAGTGCAGTGGCACGATCTCCACTGCACTGACTGCAACCTCCGTCTCCCGGGTTCAAGCAATTCTCCTGCCTCAGCCTCCCGAGTAGCTAGGATTACAGGTATGTGCCACCACACCTGGCTAATTTTTGTATTTTTAGTAGAGACAGGGTTTCACCATGTTGGCCAGGCTGGTTTTGAACTCCTGACTTCAGGTAATCCGCCCGCCTTGGCCTCATAAAGTGCTGGGATTACAGGCCTGAGCCACCGCGCCTGGCCAAAACAGTTGTTATTTTAAGTCACTAAATTTAGGAGTCACTTGTTAACATGGCAATAGATAACTGACATGCACATGGCCCAGAAGCAAGGCGGACAACAGCTTACATAAACACACGGAGGAGAGGTCAACTTGGGTGAGGACTTGAAGGAAAGGTGTTTGCCAGGTTCAAAGATGTGATGGGGGCAGCAACCAGAGAACAGTGCTGGAAAGTGAAAGTTAACTATTAACAATGGTTCCTTATAGAGTTAGGATGGGGATGAGGTCAGCAGAACACAGATTTTCACTTTTAATGCTATGTACCCAATGTATGTGTTGCTTGTGTAATGGTTTTAACAGCTTGATTGAGTATTGTGTAATTTTTGAATAATTCAATATTTATGTCTTAAAAAACAAGTACTGATGAGAACATAGAGGAGGTGGTGTGGACTAGTGCTTTTGGAGAGTAGACAAACCAGCTGCAGCACAATCAACTGCGAAGTTTTAAACAAACATTGAGCCCAGGTCCTACCCCTGGATATTCTGATTCAGTTAGTTTGGTCAAGGGCCAGGTGAGTTGTTTTCTTCACATAGCTCCCCAGGTACTGAGATTGTCAGGGTGAGAAGAAAAGAGTTCTGAAGACAGAAACCCAGTAAATGTCTTTATGTAGGGGTCTGAAAGCAGAAAAATAATTTTCTTTTTTTTTTTTTTTTTGAGCTGGAGTCTCGCTCTGTTGCCCAGGCTAGAGTCCAGTGGCGTGATCTCGGCTCACTGCAAGCTCCACCTGCCGGGTTCACGCCATTCTCCTGCCTCAGCCTCCTGAGTAGCTGGGACTACAGGCGCCCGACACCACGCCCAGCTAATTTTTTTGTATTTTTATTAGAGACGGGGTTTCACCGTGTTAGCCAGGAGGATCTCGATCTCCTGACCTCGTGATCTGCTTGCCTCAGCCTCCCAAAGTGTTGGGATTACAGGCGTGAGCCACCACGCCTGGCCAAGATTTTCAAACCAAGCTTCTGTGGAAGACTAGAGTTCCAGAAACGTTTACAATATGCATTAATAAAACAGCAATTTATACCACTTGTTGCATGATTACTAAGTCCCAGGCAATATGATAGGCCCTTTATATTTATTACCTCATTTATTTATTTTTATTTTTTGAGACAGAGTCTAGCTCTGTCGTCCAGGCTGGAGTGCAGTGACACAATCTCGGCTCACTGCAAGCTCCGCCTCCCCGGCTCAAGCAATCCTCCAGCCTCAGCCTCCCAAGTAGCTGGGATTACAGGCGTGCACCTCCATGCCCAGCTAATGGTTTTTGTTTTTTGTATTTGTAGTACAGACGGGGTTTCACCATGTTGGCCAGGCTGGTCTCAAACTGATCTCAAGTGATCTGCCCACCTCAGCTTCCCAAAGTACTGGGATTACAGGTGTGAGCCACTGCGCCAGGCCTATTACCTCATTTAATACTCACAACACTTCCCCAAGAAACTGTGGCCCAGGGAGAAGTAATTTGTCCAAAGTTAGCTAGGTGGAGTCAGGATTTGAATGCAGGTTATCTAATTCCAAAGTCTTTCTGCTTTTATAGGTTTGCTTTTGCAGGGAAAAATTATTTACTATATGGAATTAGCTCAACTTTAAGTTTTTCTCCCAGAATATGTCACTGCTTATTTCTAATATAATCTAGACTGTGAGCTCATCTCCCGGAGGAAATTCTATCTTTTTATCGCCTTATTTCCAGGGCCCAGGATATAGTTCGCACTCAATACATGTTTGTTGAATAAATGAATGAATGTGTGAATTTGGGATCTGAACCAAAGTTTGTAGGTTTTGTTATTTTAAGTTTAATACTCCAATAATAGAGTTCTTCTCCGTGGAGAGCACCACTTTTCAAAAAGGCAGGTGCACTGGAATCATGAGGTGGACAGGAGATTTGCTGGGGCTGTGCAAGGAAGGGCTGATGAAGAAACAGAATTAACCAATTCAGACGATATATTTCCCCAAAGAAGGCAATGAAAGGAAAAAAACAGACGTGGATCAGTTGCGCCCATCTCGAGGAGGTAAACAAGACACAGGTGAATAAGTTTACAGGCTGAAGAGAGATCACTAGTAAAGAGGCGAAGGTGCAGATGGAGGAGACAGATGGGATTAATACGGGGCGAGACTCAGGGAAGGTGAGGAGGGGTCCTAGGCAAACTAGCCTTAGGCAGGAGGGACACCTGTTCCTCTGAATCTAGGCAAACAAGGGCTGTCGAAGATGCAGGGAGGTTTTTGGCAGAGTTAAGGGAAGGAGAGCACAGGAAGCAGGACTTCACGGAGATGAGAGCAGCCCAGTAAATGAAGTTTGTCTTCCAGCCCTCACCATCTAGGGTCATGGGTCAGGAAATTTAACTCCAGAATTCTGCAGATGGACTTGGGGTTACGAAACTTAAAAACAACAAACAAACAAACTACTATCTACTATCATCATGGTTTCATTTTAAATACAAGGGTGGCATTTAACACACCAACAAAAGGTAGAACAGGCATAACCTAGGAATAAATGTACTCGGCTTTATGACCAACTCACTCCGTTCTTATTTTTTTCATTTCGCCTGGGAGGATGACTCCTTCCTCCAGGACGAGTGCGTGGGGAGCGCAGCTCCAAACCGCCCACGCCGGCAGCCGCTCGCCATCCCCGCGGGGCGGGCGCGGAGCCTGGCAACTCGAGAGCGCCGCTCCTGCGCCCAGACAGCCGGCCCAGGCTGCCATCTCGCCCCGCGGAACAGGCAGCGACTCGCGGGTCCCCGGCAGCCAGCGGGACACTCCGCCCGGGGCCAGCCTCGGTCCCTGCGGAGGGCCGGCGGGGCGCAGACGCCGGCGGGCGCATCCCAGAGCCGAAGGCGCCCCCTCCTCGCCCCGCCCGCCAGGGGCCCACCCCGGCCCCTGCCCCGCCCCTCCCGGCGCCCCCTCCGCGCCCTTTCTCGGGGTCCCCCGGCGGAGCGACCCTGGCGGGGCAGCTGGGGTGGGGGCAGAGGTGCCAGCTCGCTAGTCCCAGTGGCCGCGTGCCCTCCTCCGACAGCTCTGCCCCGTGGGTGTGGGGACACTACCCTCGCTGGAGCTCCGCTGCGCCGTACCCGAGGCTCTGGGTCCCGGATGCCCGAGGGTCCGGGTGCCCAAGCCCACCCTGGGGGTCGGGCGCTCGCGCCAGTCCTAGCCCCCGGAGGCCCGCTTCTCCCGCAGGAGATCGAGGGTCAGCAGGCGCTCACGCAGGGCCACCCTTCGGGCGCCCTACCTGTCATAGCTCCAGCGGCTGTAAGACAGGGTCCGGTGGCTGCTGACTCCCTCCATCGCCGCCTCCGGCTCCGCTCGGGGCTCCGCGGGCGGCGGCGGCGCTGGGCTTGGGGCTGGCTCGCAGGCTGCGGGCCCGGCCGAGGCGCGGGCGGAGGACTGTACCATTCGCCCCCCGGGGGGTGACCCCCTCCGGCTCTGCCAATGGCGGGGACGCGCGACTGCGGGGACCCGGGCCCGTGAGGCCCCCTCCCCCTCGCTCGGGTCCCGCGGGGGCGCGGCTGCGGCAGCCTGGGCGCTTATTTATTTATTTCCGAGGTGTGCTCCGCGTCGCCATGACAACCGCTCCATCTTTTCCGGCGTCACTAGGGCACCGCTGCTTTCAAACCTTCCCGGGACAGGGGTTGCTAAGAGGCTGCTCCGGCTCCTGCTTGCTTGGGAGTCCCGGATCCGCTGTCGCCACTCGGGGCCCTTCCGCAGAGGCGCCCTCCTTTCCGGCGTGGGAGTCTTCAGCCAACCTCCCACAATCAAGTTCCCCCCTTCTCAGGAATGGAAATAGCCATCCCCCAATTTCCTAGATTCCCGCCGTCTCCCCGTCCCTTCTTCCCCAGGGTGGAAGTCTTGAAACCACCGTCCCCTCCTCTCTTCCAACTGCCTCCCTCCTTACTGAGAATGGAAATCCACTACTCCCTCCCTCTCTCCCGGGTGGATTCCCTCGGCCCTGCTATCTGGTCTATTACGGCCCTCTTGGGTTCCGAAGACCAAGCTCTGTAAACACTCCCATTTCTAGGCCACCTTGTTCTGTTTATGTCCCTTGTGCTTTCTCTTCATTACTACTAAAAATCCTTTGGAAAAAGTCCAAGTGTCTTGGCTCAGCCAGGGAAGAGCTTGTCTGACAGTGACCCAGGGAAGGCTATGGCGAGAAAGCCCGCCTGGGTGGGGCGGGGTGGGGAGGGGTGGGGCAGGGAGAGCCAGCTCGCGCCTTCTTGTCTGCCCCGGGCCCCCAGTCCCTTCCCATCCCCCATCTTAGGCTGATGGCTTTAGGGATTTACAGGTATAATCTTCTTGCAGAGGTCACAAGAGCCTAAGAAGGACCTTTCGGGCAGTTGCTGTGGGGTGGCTGGCTAACTTCACGCCAGGGTCAGGGTGGGGTGGAGGTGCCAGGAGGCTGGAGCGCGAGGAGGGGGAGGTAGGGTTTGCGCTACGCTAATCCAAGGATCCTGACAACTCCTGTGAACTAGAGCTAACCCTATGGGTTACAGAGGTTGCAACTGGCAGTGCACCTGTTGCATCCAGCCCACAATCACAGGGAAAAAATGCTTTTCACTGAATAAATGGACAACACTTAAAAATTGGGAGATTTAATAGATCTAGCTTTTTATCCTCTCTTGAAAACTAAGAATGTCTGCCAGTGCTGGGCCTGTCTTCAGCATGGCAGGCATAGAGCGCAGTAGTGGCTGTCCTCTGCACCGGGAGCAGGGAATATGTTGTTCTATAAGCCTCTGGCCCTAGCTGGCCAGCTTTTCTCTTACATGACTTGCTTGGTCCTTATAGCTTTTAAGTTTACCATTTCTGTGCAATACAGCCATCTCTATAACCACTGAAGTACCCAACTTGCTCATAGAGCTACCCAAACGCATCATTAACCAATATTTACCAAGGGCCAGGTACTGAGCAAAATGCTTTATGTACCAGGTAGACACTGTTACTGTCTCTCGTGGAGTTTACAGACTGGTGTGCAAGGACTGACTCCCCCAAAAAGCCAGTATTCCTGAACCACATCTTGATAGTGAGGCTCTTGGCATACCCATGACCTCAGCAGTAGTGGATTGGAACTCCAGAATCAACTTGTTGCAACTGTTTGAACACAGTTATTTCATTGTTTAGGGGTAGGGGTCAGAGGTGAGCTTCCCCCTCTGGAGAATGTGTGGGAGTTTGTGGGGTCCCCCACAGAAACTGCAGGACCAGAGGCTACTGCTCCTGATCCATATGTCATAAGACAAGTCCTAAGGATGTCCCTTCTCCAAAGGACTGGCTACCCCATCCCAATCCATGCTGGCTCAGAACCAGCAGTCACAGAGGCCTCCTGAGGCTGACATTTAGGCACTGGCTGCCAGCCCCCTGCAGCCTGCCTTGGTGAGGCCACTGTAGCTACAAAAGCCAGTAAACCTGCTATTGGCTCTTATAGCCCCCGCTTCCGAATCCTGATACCCTCTAGAAGTACAAACAAGAAGCCCAAGGCCAGGTGTCCTGAACCAAGGCTGAAAGCTGTAGAGAAGCTACACCCCAGACATCCTTAGGAGAACTCTGGGCTAAGCAGATGGAGAAGCCCAACGAAGCTGTAGAGGTAGGACCTTTTGAGCCTTATCAATGCCAGGAGCGGTGCGTCAGCAATCTGTAGGAGGAGGACGTTTGGCAATATGAAAGCATGGCCACAAAATCTTTCCATTCCTCTCGTTGAGAAACAAGTTCTATGTTACCTCCCCTTTAATCTGGATGCTATGTAACTTCTGAGGTTAAGTAATGAAAGGCCCTTCAACATCCCCTGTTCACTGGACCCCTGGGCTGACATGTTAGAAGTCTGACTACTGTGATGCTGCCATGCTGTGAGAAAGCCCAAGCTACAAGGAAAGGTCATATGTGGGTGCTTCAATTGACAGTCCCAGCTGAGCCCAGCCTTCAAGTCCCCACAGCCAGGCACCAGACATAGGACTGAAGAAGCCTTCAGATGATTACAGCCCCTAGCCCTTTAAGTCATCCCCAACTGCTTGAGCCTTCCAGCTGAGCCCTATACATCACAAAGGAGAGACAAGTCATCCTTGCTCCGCCCTGACCTGACCCAGAGAATCTGTGAACACTGTGAAACGGTTGTTGTTTTACACCGTAGATAACCAGGCAGGCAGAATTCATCTCCGAGGAACTGGTTCTTTTTCCTTGAAAGCTGATTCATGGCCCTTTGGTTATGGCAGGAAGGGTCCCAGTTCATCTGCAGAGATGAGCTGCTCTGCACAGAGGAGCGATAGGAATTCAGGAGTTGTCTTCTTGTAGCTAAATGATGAGTTGTAGGGGTAAGATTGGAACTGGGAGAAGAGAGGATACAGGAGAAAAGCTTGAGTAAAAAGAAGGTGAAATGGTAGAAAGCTGGACTCTAAGAAGGAAAGTAACTGGTGAGAAATTCTGACGGATGGCCAAGGAACTCGAGGAATGGAGATGTCTAATGTTCTATTTTAAGTTGGTTCCTGCTCCTTGGTGCTGCTCTATTACCTCGAAACTTTCAGAAAAAGTCTGGTATGTATATACCACCACCTCCTATGAATGATGCTTAGGGAATGCAGAAGGTGGGGCACTGTCCACAGTGGGACACTTTGTGGGATAAAGTGTAGTGGGAGGACGGCAACCCTGGCAGCTTGTTGGAGACTGAGAAGTTAGGAGCAGGAATGCACATGCAGAGGAGACCAGGAGGGCATGCCCCTTCCCAAGAATCCCTGGGCATGTCAGTGAGCATACTAGACTTCCCCAGATGAAAGGTGACAGACTAGAGATAGTCTATCTGGATTTTAAAGGAAATTGTAACCTTAGAAGGCTGGAAGCTTCAGACTGTGAAGATGTGTGGCCAGTGGTCCTGGAACTAGGGGTCTGGCTACTCTGCAGTAAGCAAGCAAGCAATGAAGAAACCCAAAACCAGGACCTAGGACCAAGGGCTTACCATGGCAAAACGGGGAACAGGGACCTGGGAATGTATGTCCTCAGAGAATAAAACCTGGAAGGAAAGATCCCTTGTTGCAGCAGAGATGGAGAGTTATAAAGAGAAACCACTTCCCAGGCTAAAACATGGTCCATTATCTCCAGAGTAAAACTCTGGAAAAAAAATTCTGCTAGCTAGAACCAATGTGCTCCTAAGACCCACCCTTTCCCTTTAGTTTCCATTCCCACTGCCACCACATTTTACCCCAAGCAGCAATGGTTTCCCTTTAACATTCTGTGTTTAACATTCCCATTAGCACAATCCCTGTGATCCTCTACTGCAGCTAGGAAGGACTAGCTTCATTAATTTTAGAGGAAAGATTCAGGAAAATAAAGAGTTATCACATGCAATGTATAAATGCAGGGCCCGGGACCCTGCACCATTCCACTGGCCATCTGCAGATATCTATACTCTGATTCCAAAAGGTGGACTTGCTACCGGATTTCTTTCCTAGACATCCTGACAATCCCCAAAGTCAAGAGGTGAAGAAGCTCATTTCTGTTCTGAGAGACAGGCTTCACGTCCAGATGACTAGCACCTTGAATAACCTCACCAACCAATGGTCCGTCCCTACTCTCACACTCACAGAGCGTGGCTTCATCTTCAGAAGCCCAGCTGAATAACCACATTGCAATCAAATCACTCCTGCTATGGACTGAATGTTTGTGTCTCCTCCGGAGTGACATGTTGAAACCTAAATCCCAAAGCGATGGTATTAGGAGGTGGGGCCTGTGGGAGGTGATTAGGTCATGAGGGTGGAAATGGGATTAGTCCCCTTTATAAAAGAGGCCTGAGAATCCCCTTCCACCAAGTGAGGATACAGTGAGAAGATCAACATCTATGAACCAGGAAGCAGGCCTTCACCAGACACTGAATGGTGCTGGCACCTTGATCTTGGACTTCCCAGCCTCTACACTGTGAGAAGTCAATTTCTGGTTTTTTGAGTTTTTTGTTGTTGTTGAGACAGAGTTTCGCCCTTGTCACCCAGGCTGGAGTGCAATGGCGCGATCTCAGTTCACTGCAACCTCCACCTCCTGGGTTCAAGCAATTCTCCTGCCTCAGCCTCCCAAGTAGCTGGGATTACAGATGCCCGCCACCACGCCCAGCTAATTTTTGTATTATTAGTAGAGACAAGGTTTCACCATGTTGGCCAGGCTGGTCTCGAACTCCTGAGCTCAGGTGATCCACCTGCCTTGGCCTCCCAAAGTGCTGGGATTACAGCCGTTTCTGTTGTTTTTAAGCCAACCAGTTTATGGTATTTTTGTTATAGCAGCCTAACTAGACTAAGACAACCCCCACTCCTATCTCTGCCTGCCAAACACACAGTGGCAGGAGATTCTTCACATAGAGCACCCTCTCAGCCCTTCTATGAGTCCTCAAGTCTTTCTGCAAGTGAAGAAAGGAGTACAGATAGGGATCTGAGAAGTTCTGAGAAGTGACAGGTAACTTTTCTTAACATCCCTCACTCTGCTGCCAGAGGAAGGAGCAGGCCTTCATATATCGTAGATAGGTATGTAGCACCACACTCGATAGCTCCAGCTCTCAGTGAATGGTGGAGATGCCTGCTGTGGGCTATTTGGAAGTCTGAGCAAGGGGCGGGGGGAGCTGGAAGCTGCGTGGGCAAAGATAGTCATCAGTGTGAATGTTCAGCCATTTGTTCCTAAGATGGGGTGGGGTGGGGGAAGCTCTTAAAATTCATGGTAGAATCAACCATTTTTGAAAGCCATAGATTTTAAGGACAATCGCAAGAGTGGGACTGTTTATGCAGTGAAAAGGTTTATTGAGTATCAGGAGTTAAGGTTCTGGCGTTTAAAAAATTTGGAAAAAGATTTACTTATATGCTTTTTGTTGTTGTTGTTCTGTGTTTTTTTTTTTTTCCTACTGTAGACAGAAGAGACAGAAACTATAAACTATAATTTGGTTTCAGTTCAGGTCACTAAATGCCATTTCTGGCATCCCTGAACTTGTGAATGACCAATGATCATATGATCATGTGAGTTACTATCATCTCTAACCTGTGTACAACTGCCACAGCATGAATTAGGTATGTTATTTAAATTTATTATTAATATTTGAATATTTGCTCTCAAATATAGGCAACCTTTTTTTTTTTTTTTTTTTTTGAGATGGAGTTTTGCTCTTGTTGCCCAGGCTGGAGTGCAATGGCGCAATCTCTGCTCACCACAACCTCTGCCTCCCGGGTTCAAGCGATTCTCCTGCCTCAGCCTCCCGAGTAGGTGGAATTACAGGCATGCACCACCACCCCTGGCTAATTTTGTATTTTCAGTAGAGATGGGATTTCTCCATGTTGGTCAGGCTGGTCTTGAACTCCTGACCTCAGGTGATCCGCCTGCCTTGGCCTCCCAAAGTGCTGGGATTACAGGCGTGAGCCACCATGCCAGGCCAAGCAAGCATATTTTAGGTAGAATTTGGAGGAAAAAAAATGCCTTTTGTGCTTTGCAAGTTGAAATTCTACCATATCTATTTATAGTTGCATGACTGTATGCTGCAGTCTGTATAATTGTGAGTTTTTAATTTAATGTATTATTAAGAATTTTCAAACAGTTAAATCTGAAAATAGATGGGCAGTTAATTCAAGTAAGTATTAAGAGAGAGTTACCCAGGTAACTTTAGAAAGAACATCACATTCTTTCTGAAGCCACAAATATTTATAATGATGTAAATAATAAAAGGCAGCAAATAGGAAGAGCTGGGATAATAGAAGCCCGAGGGAAGTCAGTGGGCATCCCTGCTTGGAGCCAGAAGTGGGCCAGTCAACCAATGCTAATGGTCCTGAAGGCAGGGTCCTCACAGTGTTTCATTTCCTTAGCTTGGTGTCAGAAAATGCCATAGAAAGTTCTGGGCTCCCCTTGAGGCCGATTAAAGGGCTAAGAGGACAGATGGACCCAAATGGGCTTCAATGTTTGGGTGAGGAAGATGCAAAGCACATGAGCCAGGTGAGTAGAGAGATGATGCCGGGATGGCAAACATGAGTAGAGGTATATGGCATGCCAACGAGGACCAGGTGAGACAAGGTAGTTCTTATGGAGAAGATGATCAGGGATCAGATACTTTCCTTTCTCTAGGTAGCAGGATGACACAGAAATCCCTCTTTATCAGGAGTTTAGGAAATGAAGTGTCAGGGGTCCCCCAAACCATCCCTAGATTTGATGATTCACTAGGAGGACTCGCAGGGCTCAGCACAGAATTGTATTCATGACTGTGATTTATTATGGTGAAAGGATTCTGTGTCAGTGTCTCCAAGATCCAGCTCAGGCTCCATGATTCACTAGAATAACTCATAGGTCTCAGAAGCGGCTGTTATACTCACCATTATCTCTTATTACAGTGAAAGGATACAGAGTAAAGTCAGCAAAGAAGAAAGGCTTTGGAGCAAAGCCAGGAGAAACCACAGGCTTCCAAGTGAACCCTCCCGGTGGAGTTGCATGAGGACTCACTTCATTCTCCCAGCAACAGTGTGTGACAACCCATGGTGGTGTTGCCAATTGGAAAAGCTCACCCAAGCCTTGTTGTCCAAAGCTCTTAATGAGGAGTCAGTCATGGAGACATACAAAGCCTGTGTAACTGGCCTCGCTGCCCCAATAACTCCCTCTCCCCCACCCCCAGAGCCAAACTAAGAGTTCATCTTAAGTCATTTTATTAGGATAAACTTATTGGGTCAAACTGATATAGCCTCTCCCAAGGCCCCAGGGATACAAAAACATTCATCAGTCAGAATATTCCAAGGGCCCCCAAAACTCAAGCACCTGCACCTCTTCTCCAAGGACTGCCTTCACACAGCTGGAACCACTTTGCTCACCTTTAAAAAGAGCCATAGGTACCTAGGATCTGCCTCCATGCTGGGATGGCCCTTGCCTAAGCCTGACAGGTGCAGGAGTGAAAGAGCGAAGCAACCTTGCCTTGTGTGTAGACAACGTTGAGGTGTAGCTTGTATTCCAGGGTTTCCCTGTAGGATAGTGTTAACTCTGACCTCTATGAGACTTTGCCTGAAATCACTCTCTTGCTTGACTTCCTTTTTTTTTCTTGTCCTCCTACACCCACTCTTTTACTGGTCTCCCTAGCAGCATTCAGTGATGTGCTGACACTGGCTAGTTCCAAAAGCTGATTGTTAGCAACTCTTCCCAACTCCATATTCAGAGATATCCTGTTGGTAGCTTTAAACTGGTCATGGTGGAAGTACTCACTATAGAGTATTTGTGGAAATTGTTGAATGCTTGATTTATTTATCAAGCTTATTTATTTTCTTTCCATAAAGCCAGTTGTTACTCATTTACTATCACACCACTGAGCACTTCCTTAATAAATCACTTGAATATGAATGTTTGTTTCAGTGTCTACTTCTGCAAACCCAACCTAAGAAAGAAACTACCTTGGCAGTTTTTTGAGAGTCAGGAGGCTCAGAGACGTAGGTTGAAATATATTTATTATATGAGGCCAGATGATCCACTATTTATTTGATTTCTAAGTGGACTAAGGCAAGAAAGGCACCTTCAATGGATTGAAGCTGAGGTGCCGGCTGCTCTGACTCTTGGGCTTGATGACCTGCAAGTCCAATAGTGCCAGACGTATCTGTGTTAGATAACAGCCCTGTGCTGAGTCTCTGGAAGGTCATGTGGAGCTTTTAGGTTTGGAGCTGGACCCTGCCTTCTGCAGCAGAGAACTACTCATATTTGCAAAGAGAGAGCTTCTAGTGTGCTCCTGGGCCCTAATAGAGCTTGAATACCTGATGTGGGACATCAAGACACTATGTGACTAGATCTGCACATAGTAATCTGGGACACCAGTCATAAATTCACCCAGGCATGAACTGGGTGTTTTATGTTTACCAGTTCACCAGTCAGAAACTAGCAATTCATTGTATGATTGTATGATGACAATGATTTGGTGTTGGATCCAGACAGGTGCCGAAGGCACAAGTAAACTATATGAAGACACGATTCAAACTCTGTCATCTATCCCTGTTGCTCCAACCTCCTTCCTGTGGGAGTGTCCCATACCACCACTGCTGTAGGAGGAAAAACTCTGAGCCTGATGTATGGAGGGGTTGGCTGGATACGGTAGTGTGAAACAAAAATGAATTCCAGCTGTACCACACACCCACTCAGGAGAGGTTCTTAAGCTGAGTGGAGAGGGACATCCTCCTGGGGGAAGAGACTTGGGCAGTACACTTGGCCATCCACTTTGTATGTAGGGAGGCATGGCCTGAGGCAATAGTACACATGGACTTCTAGGCACTGGAGAACAACTCACTTGGGAGGTCACAGGCCTGTACGAAGCAAGACTGGAATATTGGAGAAGGAGGTATAGGGGAGATGCAAGTGGATGGACTAATGGGAGTGGGACAAGACTGTGCAGAGCTTTATGCCTCCTGTCAATGCCCATCAGAGAGCATCGGCTGTGCAGGGGGCACTCAATGAGCAGGTAGGAAGAAGGATTTGTCTGGTGATTATCAGTCAGTTTCAATTCTCAACCAACTAAGAGCTTGGGCCCATGAACGCAGCGGGAACAAGGCAGAGATGAAAGCTCTGTACAGGCCCAGCCACAGGGACTCCCTCTTACCAAGGCTTATTTACCTGCCATTGCTGCTGAATGCAGCAGAGAGACTGGATCCTGGTTATGGTGTCATTCCTTGATGGGACTGCCCCAGCACTTGGTGATAAGTTAATGACATCAGATTCCTTCCACCCTGAGGGGGCACAGTTTGTCCTTATTGACAAAGAAAAGATGGACACCTTTTCTGATTTATCTTCCTTTCTTGTTGTGCTTCACTAGTGGTTTATAGAGTGTCTAATTTTTTTTTTTTTTTTTTTTGAGACGGAGTCTCACTCTGTCGCCCAGGCTGAAGTGCAGTGGCACCGTCTCGGCTCACTGCAAGCTCCGCCTCCCGGGTTCATGCCATTCTCCTGCCTCAGCCTCCTGAGTAGCTGGGACTACAGGCGCCCGCCACCACGCCCGGCTAATTTTTTGTATTTTTAGTAAAGACGGGGTTTCACCGTGTTAGCCAGGATGGTCTCGATCTTCCGACCTCGTGATTCACCCGCCTCGGCCTCCCAAAGTGCTGGGATTACAGGCGTGAGCCACTGCGCCCGGCTATAGAGTATCTAATTTATCGGCATGGGATCCTGCATAATGAAGTCTCAGCTCAAGTGTCTATTTTATGATAAAGGATCATGAAAATGGTCTTGTAAAAAAAAAATGAGTCTTCTAATATATTGGATTATTTGTAAACAAGGGGTAGAAAGTGGGAGTGGCTTATTAAAGCCCAGGGAAGGAGCCAGCTTTGGGATGACACCCTGTGGGTTGGGTCACTGTCCTCCAAGTTGTAGTATATGCACTAAACTATCAGATGATATACAGTGCTGTGTTGGAACACACAGGGCCAGAGTAACCAACAGGTAGAAATAGTACTGGCCCCTTTCATCATCACCCCAGCCAGCTCCTTGCAGAAACTGTGCTTCCCATTTCTGCAGCAGGCTTCATTGCAACAGAGGTCCTGATTCTCAGGAAGAAATCTTCCACTGGTTAACATGAGAAGTTTTCCATTGACTCTATTGCTGGGTCACTTTGGGCTCCTCCTGCGAGTGGACCATCAGATAAGAAAAGTTACCATATTGGAGCTGGCAATCAACCCCCATTCTGAGAAGCTAAAGTGGCTGTTGCATAATGAGGCAGGGAGGATTCATCTGAAACTTGGTCGCTGGAGTGTCTTTTGGTGCCTTCATGCTGAGGGATAATGGTGCATAGCCAACCACAGCCAACAAAGTAGGGTAGTGGCAAGACAGTCAAGGGCCCAGGCCCTCAGGAAGAGCAGCCCAGACCAACTTTAGTGTTGACCAGGCATGAAAGAAATCTGGAATTGGTGGGTTGGAGGGGGAGCGGGGAGATGATGAATATTAATTGTGGCTGAGGACCAGCTGCCACAGGCGACTATAGTTTATTCCACTAATTCTACTCCTGAAAGTCCCTTTTCTTTTTTTAAGAGCTTGCATACTCGTAAAGAGTCCACACTCTAAAAGAGTCAGTGATAGTGTGGACTTGCTGTGGGGGAGGAGCAGATCTGAGCAGTGTAAGGGGGGTACCCTCTCTAACACTGGGGGTGCCTCCTTGATTTCAGCACTGTGGCGGTGGACAGCCCCACACGCAGGGCTCACATCGCACCTCAATCTCTCTTAATTAGCTAGGGAAGGATGCAGCCCTACTGTAGTTGTAGCCTCTAAATATGAGGAAGTTAGCCAGCCTCCCAGGAGAATTCTTCAGCCAGTGGGGTAACAGGCTAAATTCCCCAGCCTTCCAGTCCCTCAGTGGGAGAATTCTGAGGGGTATGTCACATGGCTCCTTGGAGGTTCCTCAGTGGGACTGAGTCCCTGTTGCTGCAGAAATAACCAGCTTGATACCTTCAGTTGCATTAAGTTCTTCCCATCCTAGTCTCCATTTGCTTTTACTTCTAAGATCATATTATGGGTTAGTTTTGTCCCCCTTAAAAGATATGTTGAAGTCCTGGCTGGGCGCGGTGGCTCATGCCTATAATCCCAGCACTTTGGGAGGCTGAGGCGGGCGGATCACCTGAGGTTGGGAGTTTGAGACCAGCCTGACCAACATGGAGAAACCCCATCCCTACTAAAAACACAAGAAATTAGCCAGGCATGGTGACACATGCCTGTAATCCCAGCTACTCAGGAGGCTGAGCCAGGAGAATCGCTTGAACCCAGGAGGCAGAGGTTGTGGTGAGCTGAGATTGTGCCATTGCACTCCAGCCTGGGCAACAAGAGTGAAACTCCATCTCAAAAAAATAAATAGATAAAATAAAAAAAAATAAAGGCTTTGGGGGCAGTATCAAAGACCGTTCCTTGATCTCAGACTTCTAGCCTCCAAGACTGAAAAAATAGATTTCTGTTGTCTTAAGCCACCAAATTTATGATACAACAGCCCCCTCTTATTCATGGTTTTATCCATGGTTTTGCTTTCTGCAGTTTCAGTTACATGCAGTACAGTACAGTTATTTTGAGAGGCTGGGGGGGGGGGAGAAAGAGAGACACTACATCCACATAACTTTTATTACAGTATATTGTTATAATTGTTCTGTTTTATATTAGTTATTGTTGTTAATGTCTTACTGTGCCTAATTTATAAATTAAACTTTATCATAGGTATGTATGTTTATGAAAAAACACAGTATATATAGAGTTCGATACCATCCATGGCTTCAGGTATCCACTGGGGGTCTTGGAATGTATCCCGCATGGATAAGGGTGAACTGTTGTACTTATTATGGTAACCATAGGAATCAAATGCAGATCACCTCACACGTAAACTATTTTTCCCCAAGTCTTTGCCACATGTTCTGTTGCAAGGGGACCCAAACTATGTCCTCCCTCCAGCTGAATTTTTATATCTAAATCTGGGGCTCCCATTGTCAGCTAACCATTACCTCTGTCTATCCCTTGCACTTCCAATCAACAAAGCAATTTTACTGGGACCATTGGACAGGATCCTATCTTGTACCTCTCACTTCTCTAACCTCCAGAATTTGGCAAGAGTCCCTCACTTTCCTGTCCAGAACTCTAGTACCATGTGGAAAGTCCAGGTTCTCTTATAAGCATCACCCTTTCCCTGGAAGGAAAGCTCCAGGAACCTCATTTTGGTTGTCAGGTCCTGAGCTAGGGTTTCTCCTGGGCAACAGCAGCTCCAGAATTTCTGTATAGAGGGGTTTGCAGATTATAATCTGATTGGAAGGGGAGTGGGCCATAGATTTACTTGAAACTGTGTTATCAAACCAAGTTTAGAAATACTATGTGTTTATTTGGAGTGATTTTGGGGGTGGGGATAGAGGAAGATGGTTTGGTTTCATCACTCTGTGGCTCAAAGGTGGCCAAGGGAAGCAGCTCCAAAAGCTTTGGTCACTTTTTTGGCACCATCCTGACCTCTCCAAAGCAGAAGGTGCTTTCTCTGGGCAGGCCCTCAGAAAACAGCTCAGGAACTAAGGGAATGCCACTGGCAACCTTTGGCCTTTAAGTGGTGTAAGGGTGTCCTCTAGTGGCCATGACTCAGAAAGCCTCTGGCATAGAGCAATGCTCCTGAGACTGGTGGCCTGTTATAGTTGGGACCAACATTGTGGGACAGAGACCATTATAAAATTGATGACCATCATCATGGGACAAAACTTAAGCAAAGTACTGGAAGACCCTAATGAGACAGAAAATACCTTCACAGGACTGACAGACAAGATGGATCAGACAAACTATTGTGGGACAAACATCTAATTCACAGCTTAGATCATCGCCATAGGCAACTGCTTGCCTTCTGGGAGACTTCGCTGGTGATAAGGGGAATAAGGGGGACAAACAAATGGAATTTTGTCAGCTTGCAAGTACTTGCATTACTGAGCATGCATGGATTCCTAGACTCTGCAACGAGAAGCAAGTCAGTGCTGGCAATTAGATTTCTATCTTAAACAACCTGGGTTCTCTTTGAACACTCCTGGAAATGCTGACTATATCTAGTATGTGGGGAAAATGCTAATTTCTTCATCAGATATGCTCAGAACCTGAAGTCACAGTTATAGGCTGCACCAAGTAAACTTTCAGTAAGAACTGATTCCTCGATGTTCTAAGGAGAGTGGAGTGAAGCTTGTTGGGGTTGAGTCTGGCTGTTGTTGGCAGCTCTGTGGGTGCTGGGAGGGGAAATAGTCTATCTGGGATGGATGGGGCAGAACCAGGTAAGACACCAGTGCCCTGCTGAAGCCCTTGTCTCATTACACTGTCCTGTGTCAGGGCAGGGAAGACTCAGTTTACCTGTTCAATCCTTCTTGCCAGAGCAAGAATCCAGCAAGACCCCCACACTTGCTTCCCTTCATGGGTCCAAAGATCTCTGTGGGCCACATTCTTCCCAGCTTTATAGCTTTCTGGTCCTTGCTAGAAACCCTCTGTACTGGCCTCCCAGGACTCTCCTGACCCATGAGACTCTAAATAATTCTCTCTCTTAGGATTCCAGCAGAGGTCAAGGCCTCACTTGCCTTCAAGCAGCCCACAGGCTCAGGAGTGGCCATAGATTGTGGGTGGGAAAAAGGAAGTGCGATCAGGTTCCCACGTCCCTAGAATCTCGTTTACTCTTCAAAAGTTAATTTGATTGAGTTCATTTTCATGAGGGCTCTGGCTTGGGCAATGGAGGAGTTGGGGAGGTTTATGGTATGGGCCTTGGAGGGCAAAAAGTGGAATAATATTGTCTCTGGTCCCTTCTCAGTTTCCCATGCCCTCCGTCCGTAGTGTCTGAATCCTGTGGAAAGGGGGCATGCAGAGCCACAGGTGCATTTTCCTGATGGTCTCCTTCAAACCCAGAAGTTGAGCAGCACGACATGGGCTTCCCAGGACACAAAGTATGACACACAGCAGGGAAGAGAGATTGACCTAAAGAAGCAGAAACTCAGACATTTATGTCTGCACACAGTTGTCGACCATGGAAGATATCTATTAGCACAAAATCAGAAAGAACCCATATGCCCAACACTAAAAAATCACTTAAGTAAATCATAGTTTACCCGTATAACAGGAACCTATAAAACTATTTAAAATAAGGTTTTTGAAGATTTAATGACCTGGATAATAATCATTCTAAAATGTTTAGTTTAAAAAAAGCCAAAATAGAAAATTCAAAACACTGTTTTAAAAAAAGTTGTTTGTAGAGAAAAGGGATTGGCACAACATGTTAACAATAATGATCGTTGAGGGCAAATTTGAATTATTTCTATTTTTTTCTTTCTCTTTTTTCTATATTTTCCAATCCTTAAAGATAAATGTTACTCATAACAATAAAAATATCATTGTTCAAAAAAGGAGACTGAGATTTTTGTGAGCTGGTTTGCCCTCCCTGTCTGGCCCTAATAGAGAGCACACCAAAGTCATTGTAAGGTCATACATATCCCTTGTCCCTTACAGAGGTGGTCAGAATATAGTGCAGTCCTCCAGCAGACCAATTTAGCAACAGGAACAGAGGGATCCTGTGCCCACCCCTGCAGAGAGCAAAAAGACAGTCTCACTGTGTGTGCTTCACCTGATCCAGATGGAAGCACAGATCCTGGGATCCCTCCTGAGCTGCCGCTAAGAGGAAAGGGGCCTCAATCCCTCCCTCCGCCCACCAGCTGGAGATAGACACAGCCTCCAAAACTGCCTGTTTCCCCTTCTCCTCTACCCCCCAGTTATCATAAAGTGTATATTTCTTCATTCAATGCTAACATAATATTTGGCAAATAATAGAAGCCCAGTGAATGCTAAATGAATGAATGATGCCTATGGAGCAAATGCTGTTAGTGTACCTGGGGTCAGCGGGCCAGTGAGATGCTTTAGGGACTCATTGCCACCTGAGATTAATCTGCTTGCTGGGTCAGGGGGCCCACAGAGACAGAGTTCTTACACAGCCAGTATGCACAGAGAGTCAGTGTTCCTGGGGATGATGTGTTCCCTCGGGGTTGCCATGTTCCCTTCTGAGTCAAGTGATCAAGGTGCCCTTGAGGTTGGGGTTCCATAGGATCAGTGCATCCATGGGTTTGGTGTCAGGTTGTCCACTGGATAAAGATTCCCCTAAGGTAAAAATGCTCATGATCTCAGTGTAAATTGAAGCCCATCTGAGAAGGTACAGGAACATACAATTTATGCCTATGAAGCTAATGTTCTCTGTCAAAGCAACCATCAAAACCAAGTTCACTACCACTGGGTAACTGGTGCTGAACAGATTCTCAGGGGAATAGAGAGTAAGTGAGAAATGGTGGGGTGGTGGGCCCATGGCTTAGTAGGGCAGGGTGGTTGGCATGGTATGTGGGACTGGTTGAAAGGATCAGTTAATTTAGGTGGCTCTGGTCAGTAGAATGATGTGATATAATTTTAGGAATAAAATGGATTAGTAATTTGAGGGTTCTAGTCAGGAAAATGATCGGCTAGGGAGTTCTTGGGAAGCTGTTTGAAGGGCTGGGTAGAAAGAGATTTGGGTAAAATTGTCGACAGCCTCAAAAAGGGAAATTACTGTGGTAGGGTGGGCAGGCAGCTGGGGGCGGGGAACTTTGAAACGATACCTTAGTTATAGGTGTTGTGGGCTTGTTCTAATTTTCCATATACTGTGGAAATTCCATCTCAGCCGTAACTTCCTAAGCGCTGTCAATGGTCACTGCTTCCACTTCACTTCCTGCTCAGCCTGTACTCCAGGTCGGGCAGGTGGTGGGACAGCCTGTCTCAGGAGCACTGGGCCAGTTTCTCTTGTGTGTTTCTGCCTCTCCATTTCCTGGGCCTCATCCCGCCCTAGGACACCTTTACTGCTCATTTGGACGACTCCAATCCATCTTTCAGACTGCCAGTGGTGTGATCACCCTGAAAGGCACCCCTGCCCTCTCTTCTGAAGCTTCTGGATGCTCCTTCAGCTATCTTGGTACCAACATGTCTTCACAGACCATTCTCTTGGTCTCTTCATTGTGTCTGGGCCACAGCTTACCTCTGCCTTGTTCAGCCTAGTCTCACTTCCAGGTATACCTCTTGGGCATCCTGTAAGCTCTATTCCAGGGCTCTGGTTCCATTTCCTCAGTGAAATGCCTTCTCTAGGCTCTTATAGCAGTTTACAATCTCAGTTCCAGAAAAGACGTCCTGCTTTTGGCTTTGACTTGAACAAGTTAAGCTTCCTGAGAGGTGGTCAGGGTCTCAGTTCTTCTGTCCTTCACTTCTCAGAAGAGGGTCAAAGCCTCCAGGCTCTGAGCAGCCTCTAAGGAAAGAAGGCAGGGTTGGATTTTGCACTGGGGCCCTGAAGTGTTACTCAGGAGGTTGAACAGGGAGTGGAGGAGGCAGGGTAAAGAGCTGTGAAGTGGAGGGGTTGAGGCCTGGGAGCAGCCCCATGATGGAGCATGGGGCACTCTGGAAGCAGATAAATTGGGTGACTCCTAGTTCTTGTTCATTTCTGAGCCATTTCATATACAAATGAAAACCCATGTGGAGGCCTAATTTTCTGGGCACATGGTAAATTAGTATGTACATCTTCCCAAGATAAAGGTCTACCCTCTAATTTTTAATGAAATATTATATATGCTTACAGAAAATTATAAATAATAACAAGTACTTATGTACTTAATATTACGTCATATTTACTTCATATCTTATTTTTTATAGACAGGGTCTTGCTAAGTGGCCTAGGTTGGAGTGCAGTGGCTATTCACAGGCGTAAACATTGTGCACCACAGCCTTGAACTCCTGGGCTCAAAGGATCCTCCGTCCTCAGCCTCCCCAGTCTCTGGGACTACAGGTGTGCACCACTGCTCCTGGCCATATCTTATTTTTTAAAGGAAAGCCATTACAGATATAATTGAAACCACGTCTGCATCCCTTGCCAATACTGTTCCCTCTCTTCCTCTTTTACTCTCCAGAAGTAGTATCTTAAATTTGATTTTATCATTTTTCGCATGTTTCCTACTTTTTTTTTGAGACGGAGTTTTGCCCTTGTTGCCCAGGCTGGAGTGCAGTGGCGTGATCTTGGCTCACCGCAACCTCCACCTCCTGGGTTCAAACGATTCTCCTGCCTCAGCCTCCCAAGTAGCTGAGAGTACAGGCATGCGCCACCACACCTGGCTAATTTTTGTATTTTTAGTAGAGATGGGGTTTCTCCATGTTGGTCAGGCTGGTCTCAAACTCCTGACCTCAGGTGATCTGCCCACCTCGGCCTCCCAATATTTCCTACTTTTTATAGTATATGTAAAAATATAAGGTATTGTTTCATGTTTTTCATGTTTTTATATTTTTATATATTTTTTTGAAAAATTACATTAACAGCATAAAATTCAAAAGTTATACAGAAGAAACAATAAGAAGTAAATCTTTCGTCCTGTCCTGTGCCCCATCTAGTACCTTAAGACAATCAGTGATAGTAGTTTCTTGGCTGTACCTTCACAAATATTCTAGGTATTTATATTATTTATTTTCCCGTACACAACAACAGCATATTATAGACAACATTCTCTCCTGGCTTTTTTCACTTACTCTTTATCCATATTGATATATAGAGGACTGTCTCATTCTGCTTAACAGCTGCATAGTATTGTGTTTTATGGATATATCATACTTTGTTTAATTTCTATTCTGGTAATAGTCATTTGGGTTGATTACCATCTTTACGCTATGATAACCAAGTATTTCAGTACTTATCTATGTATTCATTACATTGTGTCATAACGAGACCAGTTTATTTGTAGGATATATAATGAGGAGTGGAATTCCTGGGTTAAGGGCATGCATATTTGTAATTTTGACAAACACAAAATTACATAGAGAGGGCTGTACCAACTTATATGTCTACCAGCAATCTGTGCCTGTGTCACGTTTCCTCTTACTCTGGCCATTCCAGTGTTAGCAACTTTTAAAATTTGCGAATCTGATTTTTAAAAATGACATCGTTTTAATTTATGCTTTATCAGTGAGATCAAGCATCTTTTCACATTTGTGTGTCTGTGTGTGAGCTGTCTGGTCATATCCTTTACACACTAATGTATCAAATTACTGGCCTTAAAAAACTGTAGGAATTCTGGGACAAGAATATTAGCCCTTTTTTTGATATGAACTGCAAATATTTTCCCAGTTTTATATTTGTATTGACTATTTGTGTATGTGTGTAATTTGACACTCAGATTTTAAAAATGTTGCTAAATTTGTCAGTCTTTTAAAATAACTCCTGGATTCTCAGTTCTTAGAAAGTTCTTCCTCACTCATAAATCATTAAAAACACATTGCTGTGTTTTTTCCCTCATATTTATGGTTTTTTTTTCAGACAAGTTTTTATTCCATGAGCAACTTATTTTGGTGCAGGTAACGAAGTAGGAATCCAACATTGTTTCCAAATTACCACTCATTCGCTCTTAAGTAATCTATCTTTACTTGCTTGAAAACACAACTTTATCATATTCTAGAATTCTGATATCTTTAAATTGACAAAAACTGTATGTATTTTGTACAATGTGATGTTTTGATATATGTACACATTGCGAAATTGATTACCACAATCAAGCTAGTTACATCCATCACCTCACATATTCATTTCTCCTGGTGAGATCTACTCCTAGCAATTTTCAAGTATACATTAACTAGTCACCCTGCTGCACAACAGGTCTCCGGAACGTACTACTCCTGTTTAACTGAAACTTTGTACCCTTGACCAACATCTCCCCATTTATCCCCTCCCTCCAGTCCATGAAACCACCTTTCTACACTCTGCTTGTGAGTTCAATTTTGTGATTCCATATCCAAGTGAGATCATGGCTTATTTCACTAGCATAGTGTCCTCCAGGTCCATCCATGTTGTTGTAAATCAGTTATTTCCTTCTTTTAAGGTTAATAATATTCCATTGTGTAGATGTACCTTTTTTTTTTTTGAGATGAAGTCTCACTCTTCTCACTCTTGTCGCTCAGGCTGGACTGCAGTGGCGGAATCTCAGCTCACTGAAATCTCCACTTCCTGGGTTCAAGCCATTCTCACTTCAGCCCGAGTAGGTGGGATTACAGGCGCCCTCCAAGATGCCTGGCTAATTTTTGTATCTTTTGTAGAGACGGGGTTTCATCATGTTGGCCAGGCTGGTCAAGAACTTCTGACCTCAAATGATCCACCTGCCTTGGCCTCCCAAAGTGCTGGGATTACAGGCGTGGGCCACCGCGCTCAGCCCTATCTATCTTCTGTTGATGGACACTTAGGTTGATGTCTTGGCGATTGTGAACAATGCTTCAGTGAACGTGGAAGTATCTCTTCAACATACTGATTTCATTTCCTTTGGATATATACCCAGTAGTGGGATTGCTGGATCATATGTGTTTTTATTGAGGAAGCTCTACAAACTGTTTTCCACAATGTCTGTACTAATTTACATTCACACCAAGTGTAAAAGGGTTCCCTTTTCTCCATACCCTCACCAACGCTTGCATTTTGAGTCTACTGAACTATTTGGTTTTATGTTCTTTTATGGACCAGTACCATATTGCTTTAATTACACAGTTCTATAATATATTTTATATCTGGAAGGGCTAGTTTCCCTCTGCAGGGATTTTTTGGAGACATTTTTATTTTTCCATATACATTTAGAAACAGCTTGCCCAGTTCCAAAATAGCTCTTTGTATTTTATTGTAATTATGACAAATATGTAGTTTAACAGGGAAAATTAACACCTGTTAAAATAATGTTGAGTCTTCTTATTCAAGAACATGATATGCCTTCAAGTGATTACATCTCATGTTTCTCATTAGCATTTTCAAGTTTTCTTCCACCGTATCAACTGGGTAGTACTAATTTTTTAAAAACCCTCCTCCTTTTCACTTTTTTTCTTGAGAAAGGATCTTGCTGTCACCCAGGCTGGGGTGCAGTGGTGCGATCTCAGCTCACTGCAACCCCTACCTCCTGGGTTCGAGATTCTCCTGCCTCAGCTTCCCAAGTAGCTGGGACTACAGGTGCGTGCCACCACGCCTGGCTAATTTTTGTATTTTTTGTTTTTTTTTAGTAGAGACGGGGTTTTGCCATGTTGGCCACGCTGGTCTTGAACTTCTGGTCTTGATTAACCCATCTCAGCCTGCCAAAGTGCTGGGATTACAGGCATGAGCCACTGTGCCTGGCTCCACTTTATCTTCAATGTCTCTATTTCCTCTTGTTTAAATACAATGGCTAATAAGTCTAGAATAACGCTAAGTAATAACACCACACTATGGTCATGAGTTCAGGTTGGGCTATTTATAATATAATCAATACCTATGATGAAACCACTGTCCAACCTCAAACTAGATAATTGCTGATAACAATACAGACTTATTTTACTTGCCATCCTCTTCTCACCACCAAAGTAAACATTATTGGGAATTTTTATCATTCTTTTGTTTTTTATCATATATATAATATACACACACATAATAGTCAATTCTCATTTTTTGCAGACTCCGTATGTGTGAATTTACCTCTTGCTAAAATTTATTTCTAACTCCAGTATCAGTACTTGCTGGGCTTTTGCAGCCATTTGCGGACATGCAGCATGTGAAAAAATTTGAATTGCCTGCTCTCCATGTTCCCAGCTGAGGTGGAACAAGGCCTTCTTGTTTCAGTTCTTATAAACAAGTATCCTTTTCAGTCTATTTAGTGCCATGTCTTTTGCATTTTTGTGGATTTTGCTGCTTAAAGTGACCCCCACGCACAGTGCCAAGTGTTCCTAAGTGCAAGAAGACTGTGATGTGCCGCCTGGAGAAACTGAGGTAAGCTTCATTCAGGAATAAGTGTCGTGGGCTAAGTTCAGTGTTAATGGGTCAACCATATATACTAAGGTGTCTTCAAACAGAAACACATGTAACAAGTTTATGTACTGATGGGTTGATGAAACTGTGCCCAGAGGTTCATAGGAACCCAACCCTGTATTTCCCTTGGGAATAATGGTTCAGTACTCTCTAATTCAGTGTTCATGGTGACTTTATAAAACATAACTACTATAGATAATGAGAACAGACTATACATATATATATACACACACAGTCACCGTTTAGTATCCGTGGAGGATTGGTTCCAGAACCTTCCTTGGATATAAAAATCCTCTGATGCTCAAGTCCCTAATATGAAGTATTTGGATATAACCTGTGCATACCTTCTCATATACTTTTAAGTCATCTCTAGATTACTTATAATACCGAATACAGTATAAACACCATCTAATACTTTGTATTGTTTAGGGAAAAATGACAAGGAAAAATGTCTGTACAGGTTTAGTCCAGACACAATTTTCCCCCTCAATATTTTCAACCTGTAGTTGGTTGAGTCCATAGATGTGGAACCCACATATACAGACAGCCAACCGCATGTCTAAACAAGTTTCACTTGTTTTTGAACTTCTGGAGTATCATAATGTACATGTCTTCTGACACCAGCTTTTTTCATTCAACATTATTATTAACATTCACCTATATTGTTACTCACAGCTGCAGGACAACTTTATGTCCTTGTTTTAGATGTGTCTCCTGTAAACAGCATATGATTGGGGTTTGTTTTAATATTCAATTTTTCCTTGGGCTAGTTTAATACTTATACATTTATTGTAATTACTGATCTATTTGGACTTGTTTTGCCATCTTTTGTTTTATCCACCTTTTCTATGCTTATTTCTCAAATTTAAAATTTTGTTTCTTCCCTATTATCCCACCATCTCTCATCACTATTCATTGAGAGATTATATATACTTCTAGCAATTAACCTCGGAATTTTATCATGCATACTTAAAAAGACTAAGTTGATATTAACTGGCTACTCCCAAAAATGTAAGAACACTGAAACATTTTGACTCTGATTAACCTTCCCACCATGCTGTCTACTTTTAACCTACCTTTAACAATTTGGCCTGTCATTATCATTTTGCCGATAAGATCTGTTTACATTTCCCTACCTGTAAGAAATTATCTATCATTACTATCCACACTTTATGACTCCCATAACTTATATTTCCTGAGGTACATATCTCAGAACTGAGTTCCAGGCTGGGGTTCATGTTGCTTATTACTTTCAAACTATTCACCTTTAGGCATCATAGTATCTACCACTTATCTGTGCTTACTACATACCAGGTGATATTCTCCACAAGTGTTGATTAACCTGACAT
This sequence comes from Homo sapiens, assembly GCF_000001405.40. Lineage (NCBI taxonomy): Eukaryota > Metazoa > Chordata > Mammalia > Primates > Hominidae > Homo > Homo sapiens. The sequence goes on along the minus strand of NC_000011.10, from coordinate 7,996,967 downwards.
TTATTAATTCATGGAATCCTCATAATACCCTAATGGACTATGTATGTTTATGATCCATATCTTATGACTCTTATAATTTATCTTTCCTAAGGCTACACATACCTCAGAACTAGGATCCAGGCCTTTTTGATTCCCCATTGCCTTCACTCACCTTTTCACTCCAACGTATAATTTCCTGAGTTCTTGAATAATGACTTATTTCTAAGACACACAGTGGCGAGGCGGAACTCCAGGATACCAGAGGAAATGGATGTCTGAAGTTACACAGGCAAGTACTCTAGCCTACAAGGCCTCTGGGAAATGCCATCTAGTCTTTGCTTAAATTGAGCCACTGGCAGACCTCAGTATAACTCAAGGCTCTATCCTCGAGTTACAGATAGCACCTAAGAATTTTCTGAAGTTTTGGGGAAACCTCTTTAATCTTTAACCCACAGATCTTAATTCTGCCTCCCCGAACCAAAGTGGCAAAGAGCTCCATCTTACTATTAATGTATTTTAAGATAGTGACTACACACTCTACTCTTTTAGTTCAGATTAAGCATCCAATTTTCTTAGCTATTTTTTCTCCATGGATTCTTATTTTCATTTCCTGTAGAAATCACATGAATCCTCAAGAAAAGGTTGTTTTGCCAATGGACACCTTTCCATATTGAAAACCAAAAGAACAGTTTGGTAAAACAGTAACATGCCAAACACATAACCAACTTCTCTACCTACAATATTCACTTCCTAGTTTCTGTGTGATCTAAAACATTTTCCTCCCTTCCACCCGGCAATAAACTCACATAAGATGAAATTAATTTACAAAAGGTAGGCTCCGTTTATTAGAGTCACACACAACTGACTATCTCAGTGTGACTCAAGACCACAAAAAACCCATTTCTCCTTCACTTCTGAGTCCTGGGGTTAATACCTAGACCAGCAAGTGTACTGCTTGGGGTCCATTCACAGGTTTACAAGTTTTTCATTGAGTGCAATCTGTGACTGTGTGAGGTTGGCCAGGTAGGTCACCATCAAAAGGTCCTGGAAGACAAAGAATACACAATGAGTGGGGGGTTGGGTGGAAAGGGAGCAAAAAGGCTGGCTTTGGCCAGCTCTATGGTAGACACTGGGTATGAGGACAGCTGTGGATAAATGACAGCTAGGAGAGACTGAATAAAAGTCAAAAAGGTAGAAGACAGAAAGGAAATGCTTGAGAAGGCTTTCTTATCTCTACTGATACACTTATAGACTAGGGGTGCCTTAGCTGAAACCCATGGATGGAATATAGGGGGTCTGTGAACTCAGATGGGGGAAATAAGTAATTGCATTTTCATTAACCTCTGAATTTTAGTGTTTCTTTCCATCACGAATTTAGACAGTAAGTCACAGTAGTATCAGCAGTAAATGAGACAATGGAATCATGGGAGAAGGAAGGAAGTCTCCAACCACGCATAACACACCTCTTCCTTCCTCCCAACCTGGACTTCAGTGGGGCTATAGGTGAAGCCCTGTCTCTATCCTACTCCAGGTCACCTCACCCAACTCTTTTCACATTTGAGTGTATGTGCTGAGGTGGGGGAAGAAACCAGGCAAGAAGGGGCTCAGGAAGGGCACTCACATTGATGTTGCTGTTGAGCATGGTCTCAAAGTCATCGGGAACTATTTTCGGTACTTGGTTAACCAGGCTCATCAGGAAGCGGCCCACAGTATTGTCAGCTGACACCTTTCCAGACTGAGTACCAAAACAAAGACTCGATGAGGCAGTTAATTATAACCACTGAGCCCTACCATTTCATCAGCACATGCCTCAGTGATCCCAGGATAGAGAACTATGTCCTCCCCCTTTGTTTTTTCTTTCCCCTCTCACCAGTACATCCTCTGCATATTGCAACACTGTACTCAGGGCATCCTGGATGCGAGCTGATGCCCCTCCTACTTGCTGCAAGTCACTTGAGAGTCCAATCACTCTGTTGGGGCTAAAGCAGGTCTTCATGATCAGGTCAACTATGGAAGTTGGTTGGCAGGGTGGCAGCGGCAGTGGTGGGCAGTAAGAGAGAGAATTCAGTCATCCCACCAGGAAAGAGATGGTCTTAACGTCCTACTAACTCTGTTTCCCAACTCCCCTTAGACTCAGTCTGCTCAGTCACACTTCCTGCTGTGCCCTTATCAGCTTTTCTTCCTCCTAATAGAGCTCAACTCCTTTTACCTGGTATGCTCATCACCGGTTTTGATCTCATGTGAATGGTATGTGGCCTCTGGTGCTGATCATTTCCCACCTTTAACAGTTTCTCAAATAACTCCTTAAATCCCATTTATACAAGAGATGACTGTGACTTCTAGTCTTCACAAACCTTAGATCAATAGTCCCTTTTCAAACCACCCAAGGCCTCCGTCCATGTTGCAGACTAGCAGCCCCCTTCCCTGAAAATGCCTATGGCCTCTCGCGAGTGTATGGAAAGGTTACTCACCTCCGATGCGTTCAGTGTCGTAGTACGCGTATTTCACTGTCAGAGGCGTGAACATCACTCCCATGGTCCTCCCAGGGACTCCCATTAAAGTGCTGCGGAAGGAGAAGCCAAAGTAAACAGATGGCCTTGGGAGAGGGTTTCCATGTCTATTCTGGGCTGAGAAAGCAGATACAGCAGGAATATGGCTCTCAAGGTTCTGATAGAAAGGGTGGGACCAAATGAACCCCAGAGGTCTCATGGGAGCAAAAGTTACTTTCTCCCCTTAGCTTTTCCCACATACCAAACCCTTGATCTGTAAGGGGGGCCTTTGCATTTGGCCTGGTCCCTTTAGAGGATTACTTCACACACGGTGCAGTGTCAGTGACGAGAGGACAGGACTCAATTACCCCGTAGAGCTGGCTGTCTAGACAGCTACCTACCATGGAAAGGAGACAGAGACAAATCTTTTCGGGGACTACGCCCTTCATCAGCATTGAAAAAGGAAACCAACTCCTGCCCACCAAATTACATTGGGTGCTATAAGTCATCTCACTAAAGGTATTCTTTTTACTATGTCAATTATATACCTGGATCTATACTTTACTATGTCAACTATATATATCTTTCTCTATCTACATATATATACATATATATAGTTGGATCTTATATATATATTGTATATACTGGATCCATATATATATATATACTGGATCTTGAGGAGTCTGAAATACCTGGGAAGGTTAAGAAGTCAGGCAATGGCTAGTGCTTAGTGGTATGCCAACTGGCTCATAAAGACTTGGCATCCACCATCTTTGTCTTACTGTGTACTGTGTAAGAGTTAACTGGCTATGTCAGTGTCAGACACAGAACCAGCACAAAATCAACAGCCTGACAGATGCACTAACAGCTGCCTTCCCTTTGACCATGGTCTTTCCAACTACCACAGCTGCTTCCTCAGCATGCCACCAGGGCCTTTCCCAACATCCCCCATAACTGGCATTTTAACCACCTGCAAGCTCAACGTGTTCACTGTAATGTCATTGTCATTAAAACTGCACTCAATCCTGGGTTAATAAATGTGTTCAAAATAAGGACAGTCATCCTTATAATCTGTATTACCCTGAGCGCTGTGCTGAGTTCTAGAGATAATGACAAACTAATGGGTAATTCAGAAAAGTAATGAATGTGGTGAAGGATCATGACAAGAATACCATGTGATGATTGGCTGTAGGAACTATGGAATAGTTAGGTCCTACAAAAGATGACTTGACAGCTTGCTCAAATACTTAAAAGGGCAATGAGTAGAAACTGGAGTACAACTAGGATCAGCGGTAGAAATTACAGGAACAGATTTTGTTTCAGAGTGAAACCTTTAGAATAACTGTTGAGAGAGAGGAACAGGCTTCCTAAGGACACAGCAAGTTACACATGGAAGGAATTAACCTTGCTTGGGGTGGGGGAGGGATGGCATCTGGGCATGGTTTTATGCCCTTGTAGCCCAAGACTGTGGTCACCTGACGTAGGCTTTGATGCTCATGCGGCCGTTCTGGAGACTTGTGTCCACAGTGAGGTGGATGGGGTTGGGGGCCTCTCGGCTGTAGTACTCGTGGATCAGCACAGAGTGCTCTGTGATGTCATGGCCCGTAGCGTACCTGTGAAATGGAACACAGTGGTGGACTCCTGTCTATATGTGGCGTCAATATCAAACACAACAGTGGCATGGGTGTCTTCAGGGTACCGGACACTTCTACGGTAGGACACCTAGTGACACCAACTGCCAAGAGCAATACACACACCGAAAACTATGTCAAATAAAATCAAAGGCTGACTTAGTGCTGATGAAAAATTCCAAGTCACTTACAAGGTAATTCGAAATATCCTGGCCCCACAGGATCAGAACCACCAGCAAAACCCACTGAATTCACAGTTCCTACAGGTAACACACTTTCCTTTTGTTTTTTAGAGACAGGGTCGCACTCTGTCACTCAGGCTGGAATGCAGTGGCAAGGCATGATCATAGCTCACTGCAACTTCAAATTCCTGGCCTCAAGTGATCCTCTAGCCTCAGCCTCCTGAATAGCTAGGACTATAGGTGTGTGTCATCATGCCTGGCTAAGTTTTTAAAAAATGTTTTTGTAGAGACAGGGTCTCACTATTTTGTTCAGGCTGATCTTGAACTACTGGGCTCAAGTGATCCTCCTGCCTCAGCCTCCCAGCTGGGATTACAGGCATTGAGCCACTGCTCACAGTCAGTAATACACTTGCAATACTCTTGCCTCCAAAAGGAAGAGTATAAGATCCAGTCCAGTAGCAAAAGACACCGGCAATCACGAAGAGACCTTCCATTAACCCCAGCCCCCACCTCCCCAACTTACCAGCCCAGGATGAGCTCATTTGGAGAAACTTTTTTATGCAGTTCATACATATTCTTAGCAAATTCCATGTCAACAGCCACCTAAGAGGGAAGGCAGGAAAGCAAGCTAAGAAGCCAGAAGTCCAAAGAAAAATTGGTTAAAAAGGACAAGAGGCCACCCCCAATAAACAGAAGAGGCCCAGGAAGTACGTACAAATGGGAAGAAGCTCCTTGGCTACAGGAGCTCTAGTTATGAGTGTGGGAGGGACCGTGAGGGGAGCCGAGCAAATGAACAGCTAAAAACTGCAGAGGGACAGCTTGGATTCCCACTCACTTCATCTTCTGACTCATTGTGCGGCACTGAAAAGCAATTGGTGACCTCCACTGAGTGTTTGTCGACAGTTCCTGTGAAAGAGAGAATCGTCCATGTGTTATATAATCCTAGGGCTCCCAACAACCTCTGACTACTTTTGAAATGCTTTTGATGATCTCTTCAATGTCAATGAACACCTAACTGAACTCATTAGCTCCAAGTTTAGTCCGGTGCATCGATGGGACCAGAATTCTCCAGGGAACTGAAACTGTGGTGTGATCGCCAACTTCTCCCTCTAATCATCACCAAATAGGGTTTATTCTTCCTTTACAAGGTCTCCTTTTGCCTGTTACTCTCCACTACTAGCCTATTCCAGACCTTCACTCTACGGCCTTTTTTTTCAGCCTCTACACTTTCTCCCTGTAATTTAATCTGCAGAGCTACCTGGAATATTTTAATGGTTACATAGACTGCTAATATAGTGGCCAAGTTTCAGACACTGAGACGTCAGGAGCTTCATCTGTACCTCCCTTTAGCCATCTGGTCCCATGGTCAGTCTTAACCTTATCATCATCCAGAAATCTATCTGCGAACCTTAGAAGTCAGTCTTTTACCACAAACTTTTGTTCTAGTTCTGATACCTTTACTTCCATATTTCTTTTTTTCTTTTTTTTTTTTCTGAGACGAAATCTTGCTGTCGCCCAGGCTAGAGTGCAGTGGTGCAATCTCGGCTCACTGCAACCTCTGCCTCCAGGGTTCAAGTGATTCTCCTGCCTCAGCTTCCCGAGTAGCTGAGACTACAGGTGCGCATCACCACGCCCAGCTAATTTTTGTATTTTTACTAGAGACGGGGTTTCACCATGTTGGCCAGGCTGGTCTTGAACTACTGACCTCAAGTGATCTGCCTGCCTCAGCCTCCCAAAGTGCTGGGATTACAAGTGTGAGCCATGGTGCCCAGGCTGTATTTCTTTTATTTATTTATTTATTTATTTATTTATTTATTTATTCCCACTACATTTGTTTCTTGACCTAAGACCACTACGTTGAGTTTTCCATTCTCTTCTAATCTATTGGAACCTCCTACCCCAGGATTTAAAAGTTTCCCTCTCCACCAGAAACCACAGTGTTGTCTATATCTACCAGTGTTTATCTAATTCCAACTCACTATGGTTTCTGCTCCCTTCACTGAAACTATGTCCCTAAACCAAATGCACATATATCCTTTATCTTATTTGACCTCTCATCAGCGTTGAACAGACTTGACCACTTACTTCCCATCTTAAAACTTTCCTTCTAGTTTTCTTCCTACCTTTCTAATCTTGTTGGCTACTTCTTCCTGACTTTTTAGGTTTTTAGGGTTTTGTCTCTGTTCTCTTGTCTTTTTATTCAATGTTCCTTTTCTAGGCCAGGCCCTGATCTAGAAATGTTTTTTGTGAATAAAGTTTACACGCCAATTTTTTTATGGCTGCTTTCTTGCTACAAAGGCAGAATTAAGTAGTTGTGATAGAGACTGCACACAAAGCCTAAAATATTTACCGTCTGGACCTTTATAGAAAGTTTGCCAACCCCTGCTTTAGGTGATCTCATCCAATTTTATGGGTTCAATTACCTTCTATATTCCAATGACATAATTCCTAACCTGACATACTTGCCCACATCTCTTTTGCACTCCAGACCTTTAGTCAACCCCTACCTTCCCTTTCTTCTTTCACACTTAACCAAAGATGTAGAAGTCATCCCTGATATTTTCTTCTAATCCCTCACTTCTGATCACACCATGTCCTGTCAACTTTATTTCCTATCTCTCAACTCACTCATTCCAGAGTGATTTTTAATTCCTATTCAGTGTTAGCTGAAATGCTCAGGAGCTTCCCCAAAGAGCTTCAAATGAGGTTAGACTTTCATTTTGTCTTCTCAGGGATCCAGGTAATTCCCTTCACAGCACTTTACATTTGTAATTATTTAATACTTCTTAGGGCTCTGCCCTCTGCTAGCTTCATTTCCTGCTCTACCTCCTGTCACCTACATTCCTGTAATACTGAATGTTTCAGACAGTGGATTTACCAGGCTTTTTTATACTTCTTGTAGTTGCTTTAATGCCCAGCTCAAACGTCATCTTTTTTGTGAACTTTTCCCCAACCTTCTGAAATAGTTAAGTCTTCTGCATTTCCATGCCACCATGACACCCTTCTATTGGAACATTTATCATATTACATTCTAATTATTTGCATTTAAGAGTACACTTCTATCTTGAGTTTAAGGTTACAGGAGAGCTCACTTTATTACACTTTGAATTCTAAATACCTTAACAGTTTTATGGTACAAAAAAAGCACCAATGACTTCATTTAGACAAATGAAATGTTTTGTGTATATCTAAGGAAATAAGTTCATAGCAAGCAGAATCTATTCTTTATTCTTCTGTAAGTATTGCCTCTATAACACCTATAGCACTGTACCATGATTCCAGTCTGGAAGAGGATCTGAGGATGTAGATTAGATTATACCTGGTCTGACTGGATCACTGGAATATTTGGGGCGCTAAAGCATAAATCATGGGTAATGAATTAGTTTCTTTAAATAGCTTTAGCGAGCTTGGAAAATTAGAAAGTGCAGCCAAAAGAGTAAGTATTTGCTGAGTGTCAAGTCAGTGATGCAAAAATAATTTATTACAGAAGCTCAGAGCAGGGCACAGTTACAGAACACCATCATGCTGTGGAAGGTTAAGAATGGAGTGAGGGTCCGGGTATGGGATGGAGGACCGGCACTTAATGCTGTTGCTGGGAACGTGGAAGGTAGGTAGAGCTTAAACAAATGAAGGACAGCAGGAAAAGCACTTGTGGCAAAGAGAACGCAAAAGCTTGGTCTGAGAAAAGACAAGCAATGTTCAGAAGATATGAATTTAAGTTTCTGTAAAATGCTATACCGTCAAAGATAGATAAAGGAGAGAAAATGTGTGTCTGTATGCATTGGGGTGGTCCAGGCCTGATGTGAATGGCAACTAACAGCTGTACCTAATGTGTGCCAGCATAGTCAGAAGTTTTTAATTTAGCTCTCACAAAGACTAAGTCTAAAGTAGCTCCTGACAGAACAGATTTTAGGTAATCTGCCCCAAGTCACATGGCAAATGTTTTGTGAGGTCTGCTTACAAATCTTGTCTGCTTTGCAATATACCAACTGTCTTCTATGGTGTAAGAACTAGTAGATGTTCAAGAGTATGAAAGAGAAAGAATGCTTGTAAATAAAGTGGATTCACAAAGCTATTTAAAATCTGGCACTAAGATGGAATGGAAACGAATTTCATGGGACCAGCATAGTCTCCAGAAAGGAATTTATTATCAACAATCCCTCTTTAGTGCTTTTCCATTTTACAAACTACTTTAACATAAAATATCTATTCCCCAAATTTGGAACACAGGCAGAGAATGGGTCATTTTTCGACCTGAAGGTTAAGGGCAGAAATATAAACAGATAATACAACTGTTTGCGTCCAAATGCAAAATGGGGGAACAGGGTTTCTCACATTAGGTACTAATATTAGGGGACACTGAGGGACACAGATCAGGCTCAGACGTTTAGGACAGCAGAACACTATAAAATCCCAAGCGGGTTCCAACCAAACCGGTTTACTTGTTGGGAGGAATGTTTTTTTACAAACGTCCCCACTCCTTTGACAACTGGTTAGAAAACTTTGTCAATACCTGGAAAACGATGACATTTAGTCAGTGGATAAGGGAGAAATATGTGGTCACTGGTATAGGGAGTCAAGGGTTCCTGACTTCCCACTCGGCGTGTGAACTCATTTTTGGTAGATGCAGCCCATCATACTTGCCATAAACTGCTGTTTATGTAAAATGTAAACCACTGGCATAAATGTAAACCACTGGCATAAAATATTCAGTAAATGACACAACTACTCCTTGTGTATTTTATGTCGCTTAAAGTGACAGCAATCCGGCAGGAGAGAGAGGAGAGATGCAAGTGCTTGAGAAGATAAGTCACAGCAAAAGGTAGGATGCAGATATAGATTAAGAGGTCATTGGGGATGGGAGGAAAGGACGGTAGGACACCAGGAATTAAAGAATTAATGAGTTAGGGGAGTGAGATAAATGAGAAGTGGGAGGAAGAAAAGAATGTTAACTTTCTCTGACCACTCACCCAACAGGGTCCCGATAACTCGGGCAGCACCCTCGTTGCGTCTCTCGTAGCTGTCCACAATGGAGGCCAAAATGACTGGGTGCAGCCTGACCACGCGGCCGCCGGGGAAGGGCCCTGGAAGAGCAGGACCAGGCAGAGCGGGCGCTGGGGTCTGCGCTGGAGCTTGCGCTGAGGCCGGGGTCTGGCCAGGAGCCGCAGTTGCAGCCGCTGCTGCCGCAGGGTCTGAGGATGAGGCTGGAGCCGCAGCGGGAACCGGAGCCGCAGCCGGTGCTGGCGTTGGCGCTGGAACTGAGGCTGGGGCCGCCGCCGGGACTGGGGTTGGCGTGGCCGGAGGAGCACTTACTGGTACCGCCGGTGTGGCCATCTTGTCGAGAAAGAAGGAGGCGGAAGCGGAAATGACAGCATTCATGAATATCAGGAGCTTGATAGGCTGAATATACACCACGTGAGCTAGAGCTTTTTGCTGATTGGTTACTGGTGATACTTCTCGGAGCACTGAAATAGTCCCGCCGTTGGTAATTTCTTCTGGAATTTGTGCGCTCTGCTTTTGGCCCGAGGAGCACTCAGGAAACCCTGGGCTAAGTAGTTCCGGGTAAAACTTGGGACGGCGTTCGAAGAGAAACACTTTGTGCAGCTGCCGCCAGGTGGAACCAGAAAGCAGCGCGGAGGTCGAAATTCGTGTTTTAGACTTAAATGAGATAATGGATGTCAAAGTGCCTTTAAAAAGGATTTTAAGGCCAGGCGCGGTGGCTCACGCCTGTAATCTCAGCACTTCGGGAGACCGAGGCGGAAGGATCGTTTGAGCCCAGAAGCTCGAGGCTGCAATGGGCGAGAAGGAGAACTTAGCTGGATTTCTCCTGCTGCTTTGAGAAGAGACTGGAGGGTGAGGGGAGGTGAGGAGAGGGAGGCGAGAGAGGGAAAAGCAGGGAGACCTGCTGGGAGGCCACTAGGTAATCTAAGTGAGAGATGATGGTGGCTGGGACCAGGCTGGTAGCAGTAGAAGTTCTGAGAAGTGGGAAGATTATGGATATATTTTGAAGGTAGTTTCAATAGGGTTTCCTGAGAAATTGTATATGAGGTGTGAAAGAGAGGAGTCAAGGAGGACTGCAATTTTTTTTTTTTTTTTTTGTACTGAGCGATTAGTAGGATGAAGTCACCATCAATTGAGATAGCAAAAGCTGTAGGTAGAGCAGGTTTTGGGGAAAAGATCCTGATTTCATTTCTGAATGTGTCACCTTTGAGATGTCCATTACACATTCAAGTGGAGTTGTAATAAGGTGTATAAACTAGTCTGTACTTTAGGAGAGGATTATATGAGGTATTGCCTTGTAAAGCTCTTAGCACATGCCTGATATACAGTAGTTATTAAGTCATAGCTATTATCACTATGTGATGGAGGGAGCTCTGACCATAACCCACTGTGTAACTTGGGGCAATCTACAAGTTTTTTCTGAGCCTCAATTTCCTTCTTGGTATAATGGGGTGATAACATCTGCTTGTAAAGACAAAACAAAACACCAAAAAAACTGTCAACTCCCTTAATTAGGTCAAGTCCTAGTGTCCAGCTGGCAAGTGGATAGGTGAGGTTGAACTTCTTATCCCTGATTCTGTGCCCAAGAGTTGATTTCTCCTTGGAGAAATCTTCCATTATTAGAATTCACATGACGCTGCTCCCCTGTAAATGCTCTGTGTAGACATGCATTCTTTCTTTCACCAAAACAAAGGTGAACAGCCAAACAGAAGAAGATTGAAAAGTAACTCTTGGATTTGATGACCTGGAGTCTTTAGCAACCCTAGTAGAGCAACGTCAGTGGGACTGAGGGTGGGGTGGGCACAGAAACTAGAAATCTGGTGTGAGAGAATGGCCAGTCTGAACTGAAAGCAGCAAGTGCCAGCTTTTCTTTCAGGAAGTTTTCTGGGAAGGAAAGGAGACATTTAAGGAAATAGCCAGGGAAACAGCAGGATTGAGAGGCAGCCAATTTAGGATGGCAGTGTTTCAAGTATATTTTAAACTGAGGATAAGAATATAGACGAGAGAGAAATATTAAATATACAAGTGTGAAAAAATATCTAATGAAACGGGCAAAAGGTGGACCCACACTGAGAAGCCTAGATGGTCTTGCACAGGCTGAGAGGCATGCTGGAGAGACTGCCCAGGGCCCTGGCCTCCCTTTTGGGTGCTTAGTAGGGGTCTGCCTGAGTCAAGGTCAGTCCATTGAGATCATCTCATGGGAAAAAGGCCAGAGGACAGAACCCAGTTGAAGAAGTGTTGCTGCCCCCAACTGACCATGCACACCTTTGAGACCTCCTATCTATGTGTTAATCTGGGTTGGTGTGGACACTTTGCCTTCAATAACTTTGCCTTTATATTGATGTCTTAAAGACATTTCTCTCTGGGAGAAAAGAGAAGGGGATGGATGAAGAAGCAGAGATGAATTGGGGAGAGAGGGAAGTTGCAGGACCTCCTGCAAATGACATTTTTCTCAGGTAAGTTGAGGCAAGGTGATCTGCTGTGAATGGCAATGCAAGGGCAGGGATAAGCCTCGGGGGAATGGACAGTGTTTGGAGGAGGGTCTGAGAGTGAGCTATTGAAGGCATTGATCAATTATGGGAGCACCCCCTGAGCCTGGAGAGCTCGAGAATCTGGCCAACTCTTGTGGTTTTTCTCTAGCAACATAGCCCAGGAGCAGGAGAGTACAGATGGTTGGTGTGGTCTTTCTGGGAGGCTGACTGGCCAGGATGAGAGTGTGTATATCCCAAATGCTGGCTTTTCAGTGGCTGTCTGAGAGATATCTGGGGCCTGGGTTCATCAGGGAAAGGGCAGAGGTATGGGAAGAGAGAAAATAGACTGTACCCATGTAGATGGGCAATGTATTGTACGAGTGTATTAGGGTTCTACAGAAAAACAGAACCAACAGGATATATATAGAAAGAGATTTATTATAAGGAATTGGCTTTTGTAATTATGGAAGAAGTCTCAAGATCTGCAGTGAACAATCTGGAGACCCAGGAGAGCCAGTGGTGTAAGTTCCAGACTGAAAGCTGACAGGCTTGAGACCCCAAGAAGAGCTGATGTTTCCATTCAAGTCAAAAGGCTGGAAAAGGCCTATGTCCCAGTTCGAAGCAGTTAGGCAAGAAGAGGTCCCTGTTATTCACAGGAGGGTCAGCCTTTTTGTTCTATTCAGGTTCTCAACTGATTGGATGAGGCCACTCTTAGGGAAGGCAATCACTTTACCCAGTTTACTCATTCAAATGTTAATCTCATCTCCAAATACCCTCACAATCCCAGAATAATGTTTGACCAAATGTCTGGGCACCCTGTGGCCCAGTCAAGTTGACCCATAGGATTAACCTTCACATGTGGGTTCCTGGCTGTCCTGGCAACATGCTTGACAGTCCTGCCTGAAAAGACCAGGGCCACATATGCCAGGGTCATATTAAAGTTGAGACCTGCAGTTTGATGTATCCATCCCACCTCCTCGGTGATCAGCTGGCATGAGGGTAGCTCAGCTACAGCTTAAACTGTGGGGGGACCACCAAGGGGAGCCCACACTACCATAACTCTGCAGCAAGTGTGACTTGGAACTTACTAAGGCTTCCCTCATGGGGCAGAGCTGCCGCATGCACTGTGATGCTGCCGCCCACCCTCTGATGCTGCCGCCCCATCCTTCTGCAGATGGCCTGGCATGGGCAGGCTTGTGGGCTGCCTCCCACAGTTTTTCTCTGGCAATGTCAGCTGTTTTCAGGAAGCCGAGCACCTTACTTAGGCTTTATGAGTCTCACTCCTTTTCTACGTGGAATTTAGCACAATTAAGGCCCCTCTGCCTGGAGGCTCTTTCAGACCAGGGTGGTAAGGAACGGCTGCCACACAACTTGAAAGCAACAGTGTCACAGACCTCAAGCTTCAGACCTGCTTTCTGCGTGGTATATGTTATCAAGGGAACCTGGCCCCACCAACTAGTTGGCCACCCTGTCCGATGCCCCTTTTGAGGGAGCCAACCTGACCAGGCTACCTGTCACATGTAGCATCTGTCCGTCTCCAGGGCTGCCAAGAGCCAGGGTCCCCGAGACCACTCTCATTCTGGCTGACTTGGCATGAGATTCCCTTCTCTCAGCTCTCTGATTTCTGACCTCCATATGTTCGTTTCTACACCCACTTCTAGCCTTTCCTCCCTTCCCCTTGTTTTGCTAGTCACTGCTGCTTCTTTCTCTGGCTTGCTAACTTTAGTCTATCCCTAACTGTTTCCCCTTCAGGTTCCTTCGATTCTAACAGCAGAGGGCCTGGCCAGCCTCCTTGACGTTATGGCAAGGTGGGGTGGAAAACAACGTGAGTTACTGGTGTTAGCTTCCCCTCTTGCCTGAGCTACTTTAGAGGCTGGACCCAGTTTGGCTCAAGAACCATGACCACATTGTGGGTGCTGATAGTGTGGCCCCAGCTCCTTCTGTGACTGTCGCATGGGTTATACCATCTAGTTTTTCTGGCCTAGAGCCTGATCATTGAGAGGCTTGCTTGGTGAGGGAACTAGGGAGACTCACCTCCATGGGACTGGATGGGCCCATCCTCTCATTCCTGGAAGCCTGTGTGTTGCTCTCAGAGAGTGGGATAGTACCTTCCAGGTATATATTGACCTCATTTATTAGTAGAGATTCTTTTGACACTTGATATGCCCAGATGGAGGGAACTTAATGCTTTTTTTGTTTTTTTCCTACTGTAGGTGCACACAGTTGTAACAATCATACACCTTGGTTCGTGATATGCTGACTTTTTGGGTCCAGTCATGAACCTCTTTGTTTACATTCATTCATTCTTTTTAAATAATATAATGAGCAGACATTACTACCTAAACTAAGAACCTTGTTCATTTAAAAAATAATGAACAGAACTTACTACTCAAACCAAGAACTGGAACACTAGCAACAGCTTACATTCAGTGGTATACTGGTAAATGTTTAACAACCAGCCTCTTGGTTTCAGTATTTGCCAGTTTCCATGGTGTAAATACTCCCACCATGGCTGATTTCAGGCTACCAGTGGTTTGACAAGGGGCTCTTGAAAGTCCTAAAAAATTTAACAATTGGCTTTTGAGACACTATGAGTTATATCCATCAATATTTCACTGCCTTACTGCCCCACCCCTAGAAATAACTACTCACCTGAATTTTGTATCCATCATTTGCATAAAAATGATAGTTTTATTTCAAATATATATGCATGACTAAACAATACATTGTTGAATTTTGCTAGTTTTTGAGCTCAATAAAAAGTGTATCATACTGAAAGTAGTAATTTTTTGAACTTTCTTTTTTCTTTTCAACCTTAGTTTACTGATGTGTATTCATGTTGTTGCATAGAACTGCAGCTCATTCTTCATTTTCACTGATGTATAATAGTATTTTGTATAAATATACCACAATTTATTTTCCATTTTATTGTTGGTGGACATGTGGCTTGCTTAAATTTGTTGATATTATGAAAATTGGTGCTTTAAACATCCTTTTATATATGTATTCTTGGGCACCTGGGAGTTAGTGGTATGGGCTGAATTTTGTCTCCTCAAAATTCTGTGTTGAGTTCTAACCCCCAATATGACTGTATCTGAGATAGGGTCTTTAGGAGGTAATTAAGGTTAAATGAGGTTGTTAAGAGTGGGGCCCTAATCCAATAAGCCTGTGGCCTTATAAGAAGAGTCTTTCTGTGTGTCTCATGTGAGGACACGATGAGAAGGTGGCCATGTGCAAGGCAGGAACAGAGCCCTCACTGAACCTGACCATGCTGTCAACTGCTGCCAGACTTCCACCTTCCAGAACTGTGGGAAAATAAACTTCTGTTGTTTAAATCACCCAGTCAGTGATATTTTGTGTCTCATTTCAATGTGTCAGTCTGAACAGACTAAGACAACTGGGTTGTAAGATATGTGAATATTCATACTTACAAGATAATGCAGACTTGTTTTCCAAAGAGGCTGTTCCAATTTACATGCCTTCTAACAGTATATAAAAGTTCCCATTGATGAATAAACTCTGTCATGTTTTAGTTTTTCCCTCAACTGTAAAAAATGGATGGATAGTTAATGGTATCTATTTGTGTGCTTAATTTGCATTTTCCTGATTACTAATGAGGTTGAAATCACTTCATATGTTTAGTGGCCATATGTATTTGAATCCTGTTAAAAAAAATCTCTCCATATGCTTTACTATTAGGTTGTTTTCTACTAGGTTCTATAGGTTGTTTTCTATTTATTATTTATTTTTGAGAGGGACTTTTTTTTTTAAAGACTTCAGTACATATTTTTATACCAATCCTTTATCAGTCATAAATGTTACAAATATATGCTCTAACTTTTCAGCTTTTCCTTTCACTTTCCTTAAGGTGTATTTTGAAGAACAGATCTTAATTTTAATGTAGTTAAATTTACCAATCCTTTATCTTATGGCTAGGACTTTTATGGGTCTTGTTTAAGAAATTCTTCCTATATGAATACCAGAGACAGGCATTTTATCTACGTATTTTTGATGTTTTTTAAAGTATTGTTTTTATCCTTCAATCTATGTGGGATTTTTAAATTCTATTTTTTGAATTGTCCTTCCTTTCCCTATTCATCTACCGTGCCATTAAAAGAAAAATACAATTGTTCACCACATAGTGATGTTTAGGTCAATGATGGACTGGGCGTGGTGGCTCATGCCTGTAATCCCAGCACTTTGGGAGGCCGAGGTGGGCGGATCATGAGGCCAGGAGATTGAGGCCATCCTGGCTAACATGGTAAAACCCCGTCTCTACTAAAAATACAAAAAAATTAGCCGGGCGTGGTGGTGGGCACCTCTAGTCCCAGCTACTCGGGAGGCCGAGGCAGGAGAATGGCGTGAACCCAGGAGGCGGAGCTTGCAGTGAGCCGAGATCGAGCCACTGCACTCCAGCCTGGACGACAGAGCAAGACTCTGTCTCAAAAAAAAAAAAAGTCTTGGTTATTCTTGGCCCTTTGCTCTTTCCTGTAACATGCTGTACAGGTTTGTAGCGTGGGAGCAATAGGCTATGCCATAAAGTCTAGGTGTGTGGTAGGCTATACCATCTAGGTCTGCGAAAGTACTCTATGATGTTCACACAACAACAAAATTACCTAATAATGAATATCTCAGAATGTATCACCATCATTAGGCAATGCATGACAGTGTATCACAGTTTCATAGTGTCTGGTAGTGTTTCTGGCTCTTGTTTCTATTTTGTCCACTCTGAACCATTGCTGTGCCATATTAATGGCTACATCTCTAGTTTAATTTTAATTTTTTTTTTTTTTTTGAGACAGAGTCTTGCTCTGTCACCCAGGCTGGAGTGCAGTGGCTCGATCTCAGCTCACTGCAAGCTCCGCCTCTCAGATTCGCGCCATTCTCCTGCCTCAGCCTCCCGAGTACCTGGGACTACAGGCGCCCACCACCACGCCTGGCTAAGTTTTTTTTTTTTTTTGTATTTTTAGTAGAGATGGGGTTTCACTGTGTTAGCCAGGAGGGTCTCCATCTCCTGACCTCGTGATCCGCCCACATCTCTAGTTTTAGAATTAGTTTTGAAACGTGGTAGAGCAGGTGCAATATTATGTTGTCTTAATTACCTTAGTTTTAGAATATATCCAGGGCAGCCTCTCCCTCTTGTCTACCATCTTTTTCTTCAAAAGTGTCTTGGTTAGGCCAGGCGGTGGCTCATGCCTGTAATCCCAGCACTCTGGGAGGCTGAGGAGGGTGGATCACGAGGTCAGGAAATCAGACCATCCTGGCTAACACGGTGAAACCCGGTCTCCACTAAAAATACAAAAAATTAGCCGGGCGTGGTGGCGGGCGCCTGTAGTCCCAGCTACTTGGGAGACTGAGGCAGGGGAATGGCGTGAACCTGGGAGGCAGAGCTTGCAGTGAGCCGAGATCGCGCCACTGCACTCCAGGCTGGGCGACAGAGCAAGACTCCGTCTCAAAAAAAAAAAAAAAAAAAAAGTCTTGGTTATTCTTGGCCCTTTGCTCTTTCCTGTACATTTTAGAATAAGTTTGTGAAACCTGATGGATTAGGTTGCATTGATTCTAAAGACGTACTGAGCTGAACTGATATTTTTGTGATATTCAGTTTTCCTATTCATAAACAAAAGCTATAATTCATCTTTCTTTATCTTTTTATTAATAACTTCCAATTTAATTTTGTTTTTTTCCAGAGAATATATCTATACAATACCTATTTTAAAAAATTAATTGTCTTACTTTATAGCCAAGTATGTTATCAAGTGGTCCAGGTGTACCTTAGAAGAATGTTTATCATTTAAATTTAGGACACAGAACTCTATAAGTCTGTTATGTAAAGCTTGCTAATTCTGATCTTTAACCTATATATAATTGATCTTTTTTTATTTGTTTGACCTAGCAACAATTGAGAGAGGAAGTTTAGTATCTTCTCAATGTAATGATGGAGTTGTTAGTTTCTCTCTGTAACTTTGTCAGTTTTTGTTTTACCACATACTGAGTTATTTTGAATCTAATTAGGTTATTACATGCTTAGAACTGTTAAAATTTTCTAGTGAATTGGACCTTTACCATTGTGTGTTGACTGTCTTCAACTCTAATGATGCTTTTGTCTTTTTTTTTTTTGAGGGAGTCTCACTCCGTCACCCAGGCTGGAGTGCAGCGGTACGATCTCGGCTCACTGCAACGTCTGCCTCTCGGGTTCAAGCAATTCTCCTGCCTCAGCCTCCCGAGTAGCTAGGATTACGGGCACGTGCCACCACGCCCAGCTAATTTTTTGTATTTTTAGTAGAGATGGGGTTTCACCGTGTTAGCCAGGATAGTCTCGATCTCCTGACCTCGTGATCCGCCCGCCTTGGCCTCCCAAAATGCTGGGATTACAGGCATGAGCCATTGTGCCCGGCCGATGCTTTTGTCTTAAAATCTATTTTGCTGAAATTAGTATAGCTACATCATAGTCACGTGTAGTGGTGTGTACCTGTAGACCCAGCTACTCACAGGCTGAGGTGGAAGGAGGGCTTGAGCCTAGGTGTTTGAGGCTGCAGTGAGCTATGATTGCACCACTGCACTCCAGCCTGGGCAACAGGGTTACCCTGTCTTGAAAAATAAATAAAAATAGACTGGTTATATTTCAGGACTATACATTCTTCCTAAAATGTGAATTTCCTCTTTTGTCTGGTTCTAAAGTGGAATAAATGATCCATTTCTTTGTTTGTTATCCTTACTAAACTCTACATCTTTTCAGGCATGGATCACGTTGTTTTCATATTTGACCTTCTAGTACCTACCTCATAGTTTATTTATTTAAAAGTAAATAAATAAAAATATATATAGCTACACTAGATTTCCCTTGATTAGCATTTTCTCACATATATTTTCCTCATATTTTTTTTTACTTTCAACCATTCCATATCTTTATGCTTGAGGTGTAACTCTTATAAACACATATAGCTAAATATTTAAACAATTTGATCTGTTTCTCTCTTTGCATTGGCAAGTCTAGTCCATTAGCATTTTCTATGTTGAGTATTTGGACTAATTTCTTACATTTAATTTTTGATTTTTATTTGGTTCACTTTTCTGTGTTCTTTTTAATTTTTAATTTTTGTATTTTTAGTGGAGATGTGGTTTCACCATGTTGTCCAGGCTGGTCTCAAACTCCTGACCTCAAGTGATCCACCCAACTTGGCCTCCCAAAATGCTGGGATTACAGATGTGAGCCACTGTGCCCAGCCCCTGTGTTGTCTCCATTCCTTATATTTGGCCTTTAAATGGGGTTATTGATTGATTGCATGTTCTTATTTTTCCTGTTTCTCTACTACTTAGGAAGCACATATTCCAATTTTAGTGTTTTAATTATAGCTCTTGATTTTATCATGCATTTTTTTCATATTTGTTAATCTATCAAAACAAACTATTCCTTTGCCCACATATTCATGTTTCACAGTTCAGGAACGTAGGCCAGTGACAAACTTCCATGGAACACAATCCCCAGAAATTCTTTACATTCCAATATCACTTTGCATTCCAAAAGATACCAACCTTTTTCATCTCTTCAAAATCATTTGTAGAATTATAATTTCTGCAGAAATCTATATATGCCTTATTTCATGGTTTAGCCACAACAAACTTATAGATAGTTGCAACTCCTAGGACACAACAAATGCTGCAACAGTATGAAATGGCAGATGCTTGGCCAAAAGGCCAAAAACCTTGAGGTTTCATCAAGGCACTGGAAGCTATGATAGTCATGGTATTGCATCATCCTCTGCAAGTTCCTTCCAGATGGACAGAGAAATAGGCATTGCTATTGCACCAGCTGCATGCAGGTGCAGAAGTTATTATGCATTTTTAATGCATTAACTCTGTTTAAAGAACGGCACCGATGATGTTAAAAGGACTTTAAAATGCTTTCACTTTGGTATTTCCCGTTCTGATTTATACACTGTTGTTCATTATTTCCCGTGGGTGGAGGAACTAGCCACATGATGTAAACACTATTAGTATTATATTTATAAGGCTAACACCCAGTATGTTTCAATTTGCTTACCTGTTTACCACTTTCTCTGTACACTATTTCTTCTTGTCTTTCTAGGACAAGACTTTATTCTAAGACCTTTTTTTTTTTTTTTTTTTTGAGATGGAGTCTCACTCTGTCACTAGGCTGGAGTGCAGTGGGGCGATCTTGGCTCACTGCAACCTCAGCCTCCTGGGTTCAAGCCATTCTCATGCCTCAGCCTCCTGAGTAGCTGGGACTACAGGTACACACCATGCCCAGCTAATTTTTTTTATTTTTTATTTTAGTAGAGACAGGGTTTCACCATGTTGACCAGGATGGTCTTGATCTCCTGACCTCATGATCCGCCCACCTCAGCCTCCCAAAGTGCTGGGATTACAGGCGTGAGCCACCATGCACAGCCTGTTCTAAGACTTTCTTCTGAAATCTTTTCACCTACTTGAAGTAAAGCTTTTTCTCTCTTTTTTTTTTAGAGCAGTTCCCTTGGTAGTCCACATTTTTAAAAACTGTGAAAGTGGTTTGCTTTCATTCATTCATTCATTTTTTTTTTTTTTTTAAGGGACAAGTTTTCGCTGTATTGCCTGGGCTCAAGGGAACCTCCCGCCCCAGCCTCCTGAGTAGCTGGAATTACATGCACATGCCACTGTGCCTGGCTTGATTTCATTTTTGAAAAACAGTTTTCCTGGATGTACAATTCTAAATTAGCAGTTATAATATCTTAGTACTTTCAAAACATTCTGCCATCTCTGGCTTCTTTTTTGCTTTGTTGTTTCTTTGTGGTCCTTTCTTTCTGGATGCTTCAAGATCTGTTTGTCTTTAGAGTCTGCTGTTCCATTGTGATGTATTTTAAGGTGGCTTTCTTTTTATGTATTCTGCTTGGGATAAATTGTTCTTCTTGGATCTATAGATTCGTGGTTTTGTTTTTTTTTTTTGGTTCGGGAAATTTACAGCCATTTGCTTTTTTTTTTTTTTTTTTGAGACAGAGTTTCTGTTGCCAGGCTGGAGTGCAGTGGTGTGATCTCAGCTCACTGCAACCTCTGCTCCCTGGGTTCAAGCAAGTCTCCCACCTCAGTCTCCTGAATAGCTGGGATTACAGACATGCACCACCATGCCTGGCTAATTTTTGTACTTTTAGTAGAGACAGGGTTTAGCCATGTTGGCCAAGCTGCTCTCGAACTCCTGACCTCGAGTGATCCACCTGCCTTGACCTCCCAGAGTGCTAGGATTACAGGCATCAGCCATTGCGCCCGGCCCATTTGCTCTTAATATTGCCTCTCCTGACCTTATTCTCCATGTCTCTTAAGCTTTCATATTTTCAATCTGCTATCCGTTTATGCTGCTGTCTGGATAAATTCTTTGGCCATAGCTTCAGCTCTCTAATTCTGACTTCAGCTGCTATCTGTTCTGTATATTGAATTTTAGATTTCAATAATTATATTCTTCATCTGTAGAAGTTCTATTTTATTTTCTTTCTTTTTCATATAAAAGGATTTTTAAAACAAATCTATTTTTTCTTATTTCTTATAAGCTTATTTTTGTAATTACATCCTTAAATTTTAAAAACATTTTCATACGAAGCTGATAAATGTAACATCTATAATTCTTAGTGGTCTGAATCTGTGTCTCTTCTTTCTTTCTTTCTTTTCTTTTCTTTTTTTTTTTTTTTTGAGACAGGGTTTCACTCTTGCCGAGGCTGGAGCGCAGTGGCATGATCTCGGCTCACTGTAGCCTGGACCTCCCAGGCTCAAGTGATCATCTCACCTCAGCCTCCTGAGTAGCTGAGACTACAGGCATGTGTCATCACGCCTGGCTAATTTTTGTAGAGATGAGCCTTCACCATGTTGCCCAGGTTGGTCTTGAACTCCTGAGCTTAAGTGATCCACCTGCCTTGGCCTCCCAAAGTGCTGGGATTACAGGCGTGAGCCACCTTGCCTGGCCTGAATCTATGTTTCTTGTTTTTATTTATTCTTATTCAGACTTTCAAGGCTATGAGTTCATTTCTTGGTTTTTGAGCGATAGTTGTTGAGGCCTAAATTGGGGAGGCTTTCCCCCAGAGACAGTTTGCTTCTCTTTCTTCTCTTGGATGGAGTCACTTTAGACTTTTTAGAAGACTTTGACTAAGAAAGGGTGGTCATGCTTAGCTTTACGACTTCTCTGCAGTTCTGAAGTTCTGATACCCACATCAGTGTTGCTAGAGAACTCTGGCCTCAGGGGCACCTCTCCTCTCCCTTCTTCCCTCCCTGCAAAGCTGGCTGCCTGCTACCCTGTTTTCAGCCCCCAGGTTCCCCCTCTCTGCAGGCTCAGCTCCTGGCCACCTCACCCTGGCAAGGACATTCCTTCCCAGGCTCCTGTGTGGTCCCTCCCTGATTCCTATCCATGAAGAGGTGTGTCTCCTCTCTACTGGCCTTGCACATTCCAGGACTAGCTCACAATTATCTGTTTGGTTGCGGGAGTAAGTGGTCCTTGCAGACTTCTCTTAGGTTTGTAAGATTAACAGTTTAGTTATCAGAGCTCATTCTTTTTTTAATTAATCAACATTACTGAGGTATAATTTATTTATTTTTTTAAGCATAAATATTTTTATTGTAAACTGAAACAATATGCAGTATAGAGTAGAATTAGGTTTGAGTTCTAGCTCAATCACTGACTAATATATATATTTTAAATTTTATTATTATTATACTTTAAGTTTTAGGGTACATGTGCACAACGTGCAGGTTTGTTACATATGTATACATGTGCCATGTTGGTGTGCTGCACCCATTAACTCGTCATTTAGCATTAGGTATATCTCCTAATGCTATCCCTCTCCCCTTCCCCCCACCCCACAACAGTCCCCAGTGTGTAATGTTCCCCTTCCTGTGTCCATGTATTCTCATTGTTCACTTCCCACTTATGAGTGAGAACATGCAGTGTTTGGTTTTTTTGTCCTTGCGATAGTTGGCTGAGAATCATGGTTTCCAGCTTCATCCATGTCCTTACAAAGGACATGAACTCACCATTTTTTATGGCTGCATAGTATTCCATGGGGTATATGTGCCACATTTTCTTAATCCAGTCTATCATTGTTGGACATTTGGGTTAGTTCCAAGTCTTTGCTATTGTGAATAGTGCCGCAATAAACATACTTGTGCATGTGTCTTTATAGCAGCATGATTTATAATCCTTTGGATATATACTGAGGTATAATTTATAATACAACAAACTGCCTCCATTTAAAGTGTATAGTTCAGGCTGGGCGTGGTGGTTTACACCTGTAATCCCAGCAATTTGGGAGGCCGAGACAGGCGGATTACCTGAGGTCAGGAGTTCAAGATCAGCCTGGCCAACATGGTGAAACCCCGTCTCCACTAAAAATACAAAAATTACTCAGGTGTGGTGGCACATGCCTATAATCCTAGCTACTTAGGAGATTGAGGCAGGAGAATCACTTGAACCCGGGAGGCGGAGGTTGCAGTGAGCTGAGATCGTGCTATTGCACTCCAGCTTGGGTGACAGAGTGAGACTCTGTCTCAAAAAAAAAAAAAAGTGTAGAGTTTAGTGAGTGTCGAGAAAGTCTTGGCCTATGTATCCACCACCACAGTCAAGACATGGAACATTTCCTCACTCCAAAAGTGCCATGGGCTCCTTTGTAGTACCCCATGTCATACCTGGCCATGGGCAACCACTGCTCTGCATTATGACAGACTAGTTTTCCTATTGTAGAATTTCATATAAATGGAATAATAAAATTTGAATTCTTTTTTTTTTTTACAACCAGCAGCTAGGAAACAACTTGAATTCTTTGTGTCTGCTCCTTTCACACAATACAATTGTAAAATTTATCAATGCATTGTGTCTATCAAATGGTTCATCGCTGAGTAATATTTTATTGTATGAATGTACTATAACTTGTTTTTCCACTCACTTGTTGATGAATACTTGATTTGTTTCAGATTTTCAACTGTTATGAATAACGCTCTTTGGAACGTTTGTGTAGAATTCTTTGTGAAGACGTATGTTTTCTTTCTTCTGGGGTAAATACCTAGGCATGGAATGGCTAAGTCATAGGACAGGGAGTGCTTAACTTTACAAGAAACTGTCAGATCAATGAGTTCAGTGTGATGGTGCGTGCCTGTAGTTTCAGCTACTTGGGAAGCTGAAACAGTAATATGGCTTGAGCTCTGGAGTTGGAAGCTGCAGTGAGCTATGATGGCACCACTGCACTCCACCCCGGGGCAACAGAACAAGACTCTGTCTCTAAAATAATACTAATAATAAACTGGTTGTAATATTTTACATTCTCACCAAAAGTGCATGAGAGTTTTGTACAGAACTCATTCTTGAGATTGAAAGGCATGGGCATCTGAACACGCCACACCAAAATATGCCACTTAAGCATGTTCATTATTTTGATCTGAAGGGAACTGAAAAACAGCAGATTCAGAAAGGGCTGTCTGCTCTTCCCATTTCTACCTAAAAGCAGGGCATAAATTTCCCATGAGAAAGGTTTTCCTAGGAAGGAGAGAACATTCTTATCACTGGAGATGGGAGGTCAATGCTGAGATATGTTTGCCAAGCAAAACTTCCTAAAGTAACCCTTATTTTTCATTAGTTTTCCCCATATACCCCCTAGTTACTTTCCCAGAACTTGCTACCCCTAGAATTCCATATCCTTTTCCTTTGCCTTGTCACTTCTCCAAAAATTTACAGCCCTTGGTTAAAATGGTATACAAGCCTTTGGGTCTAACTGCTTCTTTGGGGTTTTCACTTCTTGTCTGTGAGGTCCCTGATGCTATGTAAAATTGTTGACATCAAATAAAATTTGTATGATTTCTCCCGTTAATCATAATTTTTTTTTTGTCAATTTAATCTGTAGGTCTCAGTTTAAGAACCTAAGAGGGTAGAGGAGAAGTTTTCCTTTCCCTACAAGGTAAAAAATTAAAAAAAGTTTAGAGAATGATGGCTTTTGCCATGATTGTCACAAGGAGATTGCTGGGCTGGAGAGATGATATGGTGTCTGGAATCACAGTGTTGTATAGTATTCCTTTCTCTCTCTCTCCTGCTGGGCCAGACCCCAAGATTTGATTACCATGGGGCTTCTTGCTCATGTGTACTGTGCACTTGGATGCAACAAACCATTCACTTACAACCTTACATCACAATGTGGCTCTGATGGATCCTGGCCAGCACTTCCTAATCTCTGCTTTCTATCCCTGGGGAAACTGACTTCCTCCAACTTCAATTCCATTTCTCATTTATAGATGTTGCCTTTCATGTCAGAATCTTGCTCTAACTTCCAGCTTCTCTGACCAGATTTCATGCTCCTCTTCCTTTATTTGGCTTCTTTGGGTAATCCCTCCCTGGTTTCATCTCACCATAGGCCCTTTTATTGCAGTGCAGGCTGCACCCTCATCAAATTTCCCTCAGTCCTGTGATCAAGCCCCAGAAAAGCAGTCCCGAGCAGGCCACAGCACCACCCTCCAGCCTGAACACCGAGATGTATTCGAGGGCCTAGGCCTTATCTTTCACCCTAGAGACTTAGGAACATGCTATAGAAAGCAGCCATCAGAGTTGTCCAGATGACCACTGTAATTTTATCATGTGCTTTGCCAGCCTGCCTGTACTCCTTACTGCCATCTTGCTAGCACTGGCTATGCCACTGGGGGAGTTTGAAGGCCTCCTTCTCCTTGAAGGTGTGAAAGGAAAATAAAGTTATTAGAAAACTGCATTCAAGGACACCTGTCAGAGTCCTATAGCTGATTATAAAAAAAAAAAATCTTTTGAAAAGGATAAAAGTGAAACAACTGTGGATGACAAGTCTTAGAACAGTCATAAAGACACAATTGACAAGGAAATTTGGTTGCTTTTGTGGCATACAACAATTTTACATTATCATAATTACTACTGTTAACATATGCTAAGACATATCAGAATCACAGGAATTTCATACAATGCGGGAACATATACTAATAACACATTTATATAAATATATTTCTAATAACTTTGGAGACTGTGACACTAGAATAGAGGAAAAACTTCCAAGACTCCCATGGAGAGCTGAAATGTTCATGAATATCAAACAGAATAGGAGTTAACTCCATGGATTGAACTAATAGAAGACTGAAATAATCCTTTTATGACATTTTGTTTAAAACATTGCTGATCCTTTGTTTTTCAGAGCCAATAAACTTTTCTTTTGAGATTTTTACAGCTTTTAACAATTGAGTAAACTCCCGTAAACAAAATTTGGAACATATTTCTCTCTACCTGATTTCTCAAAAATTTGGAAACTACTTGTGAATATTTTTAACTTATGGCAATATTAGTCATTTGCACAAGTGCAATAAGAATCTGTTTTCATTTGTAACAGGACACAATTGGAGACACAGGTTATTTTACCAAGGTTTTGACTGGAATGGCATGCTTTCAGATACAGATGCCTTTAAGGATTCAAAGTTGACTTATAGAGCCAATGAAAACCCCTTGGGAAAGATGGCCCCATACCTTGTCTACACAGTCCCTGTACAGGTTCCTTACCTGTTGAAACGCCTTTGCAAAAGTTATATCAGTGAGAAAAGTATAACAGTAAGCTAAGCTAACACAATCCCCACCTTGCCTTTCCCTTAATTATTCCTGGGCTATTGGGCCAAGCTATCTTTGGAAGATATTTAGGCTATAGTTAAATGATAATAGGCCTTGCCCCAAACTCAACTGCTTTTGTAAAGCTAATGAGATGCCGTCAGGCTGGGAGAAGGAGAGGAGGCTAAATCCTGCTAAGGTGTAGACATAAACAATTGTCAGCCATTATTCTGGAGGTTATAAGATATGCTACTTCCCCAATTACTGCTGCAAATAACACCATTATTGTAGATTGGCCTTTTGAGATATGTTTCCAGACTTTTTTGCATGTCTCATACCCATGGCTCCACCTGGACCAACAACCCCACTCCTGTGGCTGCACCCAGAAGCGATTTGGCCTGCAGGAGGACAGCTTCAACCCCTTGTGATTTCATCTCCACCCCAACCAATCAGCAGCAAGTACCTGCTACCTGGCCACCCCCACCCCTTCCCCAAAACTGCCTTTGAAAAACCTCTAACCTTACCAGCTTTGAATGAGATGATTTGAGTAGAAATTTCATCTCCCATGTGGTGTGGCTGGCCTTGTGTCTGTTAAACTCTTTTTCTACTACAGTGTCGTGGTCTTTCTTTATGCAGTGGGCAGGAAGAACCCCTCAGGCAATTATGCTGTGGTAAGTAAAGAATGTCACTTTCTGATAGTCCCAGGAGCCCCAAGTTTTCTTGGGAATTCAAGTTTAGGAATTCACCCAATTAATACAGATATTTGTGGGCAGAGGTTAGGCTTAAGGCATTAAAGTTGAATCTGAGATTCCTTATGGAATAAAGTTCCAGCAATGCCAATTAAAAAAAAAAGAGGAGCCTATATGACAAATAGTTATTCTTGCTGACTTTATGAAAATACCCCAGCCAAGTATAATAAGATTAAAACTTATTTTGCAAATGAATTTGTCTTATGACTTGTCTTTAGTGAAAATAGGACTGGAGAGAGAAAAATTATGTTTCAAAATAAACTATAGTACACTTGTTAGAGTCTAGTCTTGCCTAATGTTTTTCAGTTTTTATTCCTTTCTACAGTTTAGACTGAATTCTAAAAATTTTCCTGGCTACAAGTCTCCAAAACAATGTTTTCAATATTTCTTCTTCTTTTTTTTCCTTTTCTCCCATTTTTCCTGATTTGAAATCACTGAAGATTAAGCCGTGCTTTCTTAAAGCTTTGTGAACAACTTAAACTTTAGAAGAAAATAATGGCAGCCTATTTACGTACCTAAACCACTTTCATACCTGCCTACTGATGTATGGACTTCAGAGTAACATGACCTGTATGAATTTTCCAGGATTGTTCTTCATTGTTTGTTTGTTTGTTGTTGTTTTTCTTCTTCCCTCCCCCTATTTTCTCTTTGTAGAATGTGTGACTTTACAATCTGCTAAAAATGAGCTTTCCTAATAATGTGGGACCTACCCGTCTAGGAATAAACCATCCTAGCCATGAGAGATCAGACAAAACCTCAGCCCAAAGACTCATTTTCCTCTAAAATGCTTTCTTTGAAAGCTTTTTAAAAAGAAAAGTGGGGAAATGCAAAAGGAAAATAAACCTCAGTTCCCCCAAATCACTAAGCCAAAGGGAAAAGTCAGACTGGGTACTGTGGGCATACTTGCCTCCCACTCTATTCCTAAATAAGATAGCTACAAAGATTAAAAAAAAAAAAAAAAAAGCTACATACCTCCGTCACAATTTGCCCACGGGAAAATTCCTTGTGGATAAAAAGCAGAACTCAAAGTCATCCCTCTGTTAACATGATACAAATGCATATCTGATTGCTTCCTTGCTCCATTATTTCACTAAGCTAGACTAAGGCATAAGTGACTGTTCCTGTAAATTGTGTATTCAGTGAAAGGCTGATCAGAAACTAAAAATAATGCAACTGTTTATGTCTTATCTACCTATGACCTGGAAGCCCTCTCCCTGCTTTGACTTGTCCCACTTTTCTGGACTGAACCAATGTACGTCTTACATATATTGATTGATGTCTCATGTCTCCCTAAAATGTATAAAACCAAGCTGTGTCCCGACCACCTTAGGCACATTACTTCAGGACCTCCTGAGGCTGTGTCATAGGCACATCTTAACCTTGGCAAAATAAACTTTCTAAATTGATTGAGACCTGTCTCAGATACTTTTTGGTTTACAAAAGCCTTGTGACAATACTCTTGAGAAAAGACAGCTTCTAGCAGCAGAGACAGATACCTCCAAAATGGCCACAGGATCTCCTGTCTCAAGAAGACCTTTAAGCTTACCAAATCCATGTGCTAACTCCATCAAAACTGACCAAGGTATAAAGGAGAAGATGGTGACCTTTGGGGAGCCTGAGGGGACTGTCTCAAAGGGCCCTTGTATAAGAGGGGACAGACTGGGGTTGGAGCTCCTGCCTGTGTCAAAAAGAAGGCCTGGAAGCAAGAGGATGAAGACATGTGTTCAACTTTGCCTTGGGATCTGCCTCCATAGGTAGGGAAAGAGTATAATGAATGTGGGAACACTGCAGCTTGATTGAGAAACTCCAATTGCTTCACATGTTTTTCTCATTGCCCTTGTTTCTAACAGTTTGCTGTGAAAAAACACTGTGTATAGAGTGAGTGTGTAAGTATGTGTGTATGTGTGTATGGGAAAGTGAGAGACTCATACCTACCAGCTGGCTTCATCTCTCTCTGACTTTCTATTTTGTTTGCTCATTTTTCTGATATCTCTCTGTATCTCTTCTCTGACTCTTTACTCTTTTGATCTCTTGCTATTCCCAGGCTTGGTTTCTCTTTCTTTTGTCTCCACCCCTGCCCTTTTTGGGACTTAGTTGCAATTATCAGTGTTGCCTGTAGCCAGGCCAGGGTGGATAGGCAGGGAGGACTCATTTCATCTCTTGCCTCCACCCTCCAATTATAGTTGGTTCCATGCATCTCATTCCTCCTTTCTTCAGGTGTGATTCTGAATCTGGCACAGTGGTCTCCAGACCTGGTGCCTTTGCAGTAGGTGGCCTTTCTGCTCTCTCTGTCACCCTCACTACATAACTGTGTCTCACTCTTTTATCTTCCCATCTTGGTCTCTGGGTCCTGGTTCTTGGCAGTCTTGTTTTTGTCGCTAGCCTCATCTTGGTCAAGGCACTGGGAAAGGCCAGTCCCATTCCTGCCTGTTCCCCTGGACTCTGGGGTACTCCCTGAGCAGTGGGCACAAGAGGCCTTGGAGGAGGAGGAGAGGTGCACAGGAGGGAAGGCTTGCAGTGGCCTCCTTAAGGTGTCTCCTCTCCTCAACCACCCCTGCCCTCTCACTCATGGGAGATACTCTTACATGTACTTCACAGAGCATATGGAGACTCAGACATGACCATGCTTATCTTCTGACCACAAAACCCACACACCTGACTTTCTCTGCCAAACAA
Organism: Homo sapiens; assembly: GCF_000001405.40. NCBI lineage: Eukaryota > Metazoa > Chordata > Mammalia > Primates > Hominidae > Homo > Homo sapiens. The sequence goes on along the minus strand of NC_000011.10, from coordinate 7,967,220 downwards.
CCTCTGTCACTTTCCTCAGGAATGAATGGATGCTGTTCCTTCCAGCCTCCTGTCAAAGGCCAATCTTTTGCCTTTGCTTCGAATCCTGTCCCAATCCCCATTCTCCATTCCCCCCTCTGGTGCTTGCCTTTCTCTTCTGCATTTCTAACCTGACCTCTCTATGGGAGGCTTTGTATCAGCATCCAGGTACATTCCTCCCTTTCCCATGTTAAAGCAAACAAAACCTTCTCTGGACTTCACATCTCCCATATTACCTCAGGACCTTTCTCATCACTTTTGTTACCAAGCTTCCAGAGAGATTTGTCTATACATGTTAACTCCATTTCTTTACCTCTTACTGTTTCTTTGCTAAGTTAATTTTTATCTTTTCAAAGTAATACATGGTTATGATTTCTAAAGTCAATAGGCATTAAAAAACTTATGCCCTGGAACAGTAGTCCTTTCCTCTCCTGATGCCCAGTCTCTTTTCGCTAAAACAACTATTAATACATTAGATTTTAACTATTTCTTCTTACATCTCTGCATTTTGAAGTAATATGTGTACTGTATATCACTATCTTTTGATTCAACATTTTAGGCATTGTCTATCAACTTCCTCTTCTAGTACATTCCACCACCATCCTTTCAATGTAATTATATTTTAAATTTTAGAGCAATGTTCAGTGGTTACACTATGATTTCTATGCAAACATTATTCACACTTGAGTATATTAGTTTACTATTATATTTCCAATTTTATTTTTTGTTTCTCCTCTTGCTAGTAATTTCTTTATTTTACTTTCATTTATCTGGTTTTCTTGGAAGTTACTGCTAGCTTTTTCCACCTTCTAATAGCCTCCCAATAGGCTGTTTTAGAAGGCCAATAGCATCAGCTAGTCTAGCAAGTCTTTTTTCTTTTTTCTTGGAGACATTCTTTTTGGAGAAACCTGTTCTCTTTCTGTCAGGGCTCTTGGGGATCCTCAGCTCTCTAGGCCAGAGGACTGGCTGCCTTCTGGGAATTTGTTTTTCTCCTTTTTCTTTTTTGTTTTTTTGAGACAAAGTCTTACTTTGTTGCCCAGGTTGGAGTGCAGTGGCACAATCTCAGCTCGCTGCAACCTCCGCCTCCTGGGTTCAAGCAATTTTCCTGCCTCAGCCTCCCTAGTAGCTGAGATTACAGGCATGCACCATGATTCCCGGCTAATTTGCGTATTTTTAGTAGAGACAGGGTTTCACCATGTTGATCAGGCTGGTCTCAAACTCCTGACATCAAATGATCCACGCACCTCAGCCTCCCAAAGTGCTGGGATTACAGGCGTGAACCACCATGCCTGGCCTGTTTTTCTCCTTGTTTGAATTCCTACTTCATGGAGCTCCTATCTTCTTCCTTTTTCATTCTCCAGTGATTTCAACAACTTAGAGAAATGGTGCACTGGCGGAGGATATGGTGGTGGCAGTGCTTCAATTCTTTCGTCTCTCTAGTCAAACTGCCCCAGCCTAGGCTGGGGTTAAGTGGTAGAGGAGGAGTGTGGGTTCCAGGGAGGGATGTGGGAAGTCTCCTGGGCTCTTTTTCTCTTGGTGACAGAATAGTTCATGCCTTCCACCCCTCCCTTGTTTCTCAACTTCAACATTTGAAAAAATGAGGTCAAGTTTCCCACTGGTGAGCAATTGCCCATCCCATTGACAGTCATCCCACTGACATTCAGTGGGTGGTTCTGCTTCACAGAGGCTTGGGGCAGATGGGGAGGGGCCCTTCTGTTCCAGGCCTATATACTAGGAACTGTTAGGTATCAAGCTGTAGCTGGTAGGTACCAGCACCACCAAACAGAAGTGAACTAGTGAGTATGGGCTAAGAGAGCCCAAACTTGGACCTGTAGAGCTGTCGGACCAGGAAAGGGGATCTGTTTCGTCTCAGTCCCCAGGCTTTGCTTACTGGGCTCCTGGATCAGGGAGCTGAGTTCTCGCTGCCTCACCTCCAGCTCCCCAAGTCTGAACTGTGGTAAGCAGCCTAGACTGGACATCTTCTTGGCAGGTTCTAGTGTTGTCTTTTCTTTCCTGAATTATTAAATAGCTCTGCCAACATCAGAAATTTGCAGGGAAGCCCTGAGTCTTCCCATGCAGCCTGAAGCTTTGTTGTAAATTGATCCTGCTTTCACAGGCCTGCTTTTCCAAACTGGCCTATGACTCACAACCAAAGTCCCCTGTATCCTAACATGTTCCAAACATTTTCTTTCTCTGTCAGTATGTAGTCAAAATGTTGGTATTTGAATGGCAACAACTCTCTGTGTTCCCAAATTCTCTTTTGAACACTCTCAATGATGAATGTGACATTGTACTACTGAGATGGGTTCCCTATGGGCCTTAGGTCACAGGTGTATTTCTGGATTCTGAAGGCTTTCTATTAATTGTTGCTTTTCTTTTCCAAAGACTGCCACCTGGCCTACATTTTGGTTCTACATTAGAAACACAATTCAAAACTCTGCTCTCCTTTCCCGTTACTTTAGTATTTATACATGTCTCCAGCTTCTGGCAACATTTAGCCTAACTTTCTGGTTCCTGACTCTGTCTTCTATTTCTTTATCTTTTGAGTTTTTTCTGTCTCTCTCTTCCACCCAGGGCATAGACCAGTTTAAATCCTGCCTCTTTGCCCGGTGGCCTAGCTCTGGAAAACTCTGAAAAACCATTTTTCTCTGACTGCCAAATTTCTCATGTGGAACAGTTCCTGAGACGATTTCTGAGATGATCAAAAAGGATATGTAAATCACCTGGCACAAAGTCAGCACTCACAGGTGGCGGTTCCTCTTCCTATCATTATCTGGATTTGTTTCCTTATTTGAATTAGGAGACTTCTAGCTTTGCAATCCCTGTGTGACTGAGGCCAGGAGGCTGACATGTGAGGCCAATGGGTTGAGTGTAGATTTTTTTTACCTTCTTGCCATACCACAGCAGTTCCAGCAAATGTGCTCCAGCTTTCTATAGGTTCACACAGCCAGGGACAGTCTCACTTTTAAAACTTAAAACTTGGCCGGGCACAGTAGCTCATGCCTGTAATCCCAGCACTTTGGGAAGCCAAGGCGGGCAGATCACCTGAGGTCAGGAGATCGAGTCTAGCCGGGCCCGTATGGTGAAACCCCATCTCTACTAAAAATACAAAAGTGAGCTGGGCATGGTGGTGGGCACCTGCAATTCCAGCTACTTGGGAGGCTGAGGCAGGAGAATTGCTTGAACGTGGGATGTGGAGGTTGAGGTGAGCCGAGATCATGCCACTGCTCCCCAGCCTGGGCAACAGAGGTAGACTCTGTCTCCAAAAAAAATAAAATAAAAAACTTAGACTTTTTTTTCTTAATCCATCCGTCTAAGGAGGCATACAGAGCCTAATAAAGAACGTGTTGAGAGGGAAAGAGGAAGGGAGTGGGGGGAGAGAGAGAGACAGAGATAGAGTTTGGGGGAGAGAGAGAGAGATTGAGAGATTAACACACCTACATACCTTCCTACCCATTTGCCAACACAGTCACGTGTCACCTGACTAAGAGGCAGAGGGGAATGACTAGGAAAATTCCCCTGCGTTTCATCTGCTTGTCTTTCTTGGAGCTTTGCACATGTATCTCGTCTCTCCCTGGCCTCCGCTCTATAACTTGGCCAAGCCCCCAGAAAGCAGGGTGGGCCTCTCAGCAGTGGACCTCTCCTTTTGCCTCTTTCTCCAGGTCACTGGTCTTCTGGTCTGGACTTGATCCTTCCCCCAGATCACCATGGCCATGGCCAAGGCCAGAAAGCCCCGGGAGGCATTGCTCTGGGCCTTGAGTGACCTTGAGGAGAACGATTTCAAGAAGTTAAAGTTCTACTTACGGGATATGACCCTGTCTGAGGGCCAGCCCCCACTGGCCAGAGGGGAGTTGGAGGGCCTGATTCCGGTGGACCTGGCAGAATTACTGATTTCAAAGTATGGAGAAAAGGAGGCTGTGAAAGTTGTCCTCAAGGGCTTGAAGGTCATGAACCTGTTGGAACTTGTGGACCAGCTCAGCCATATTTGTCTGCATGGTGAGTGTGGAGCGGGGGAAGGGGAGGGCAGGATGGCACTGGGACTCCCCTCCCACCATGGCATTTCCAGAGCTGCCTGTAGCCTGTACCTTATGCCTTCTGTCACCTTGTCCTCTAGTCCCTGGTGCCCCAGAGTCCTTGGTGGTCTCCACCTGAGGGTTCCAACAACTGTCAGGAGGGGGACTGAGCCAAAGCTGGGATTTATTTAAGAAAAGACTAGCCTTTCTTCCCCACATCTTACCTCCAGCTGCAGTGGCAGAGAAGGGGAGAGTCTGAAGAAAGGGTCTTAGAGACTGGGAGGGTGTTGGTGAAGGGATTTCCACTAACCAGAAGAAATAGCATCAGGATGTAGGGGTCAGACCTGTCCCTAGCTGCTTCCTGGCAAGCTGCTCAGGCGCTTCTAAGTCTTCTGTGGCCCTGATCTCTCAAGGAACCACACTACAGAATGGGTGGTGTGGGACCTCATGGCCTGCTGGTTCTTCCTGTGGGTGCCTGGGGGGAGGGAGGGATCTTTTGGTGCCTTTGCTCCCTCCCATAGGCTCCTTTCATGCTTGAAAGCTCCTCTGCTACGTACAAATGGGAGGGTTTCATGGACCCAGAGTCATGGCTCTTTCTGAGAAGCTGTTTTATCTTTAGCATTTGGCTTGTCCTTTCCCAAGAACAGGCTTATCGGCTGGGCGCAGTGGCTCACGCCTGTAATCCCAGCACTTTGGGAGGCTGAGACAGGCGGATCACGAGGTCAGGAGATCGAGACCATCCTGGCTAACACGGTGAAACCCCGTCTCTACTAAAAATACAAAAAAATTAGCCGGGCATGGTGGCGTGCGCCTGTGGTCCCAGCTACACGGGAGGCTGAGGCAGGAGAATGGCGTGAACCCGGGAGGCGGAGCTTGCAGTGAGTCGAGATCGCGCCACTGCACTCCAGCCTGGGCGACAGAGCGAAACTCCATCTCAAAAAAAAAAAAAAAAAAAAAAGAACAGGCTTATCTTAGTCCCTTTGGTATTGCTATAAAGCAATACCTGAGACTGGGTAATTTATAAAGAAAAGAGGTTTATTTGGCTCATGGTTTGGCAGGTGGTACAAGAGGCATATTGTCAACATTGACTTCTGGCGAGGCCTCAGGCAGCTTTCAGTTATGGAAGAAGGCAAGGTCAGAGCTGGTGTGTCACATGGCAAGAGAGGGAGGAAGAGAGAGGGGAGGAGGTGCCAGGCTCTTTAAACAACCAGCTCTTGTGTAGCTAATAGAGCAAGAACTCGTTCATTACCGTGGGGAGGGCCCCAAGACATTCATGAGGGATTTGCCCCCATGACAAAAACAACTCCCACTAGGCCCTGCCTCCAACATTGGGGATCACATTTCAACCTGAAATTTGGAGGGGATAAACACCCAAACTATATCAAGGCTCCTATCACTTCACCATCCTCAGGCATCCCTTTCCTTTCCCCTCTCTCTGTCCTCACCTCTTCACATGGAGACATTTCACATGAACACTCAGACATTCATGCATTCTCACACAGGCATTTTGCACTTACATGTATTCTTACAGACACACACTTGCTGATGCACACTGACATGACTTCCCTCCACAACAGTACATGAAGGTCCACGAGCACATGTGGATACCAGCATTCATGCACAACTATCCACACACACAGAGCACACCCTTGCACACTCATACAGATGTGCATATGCATACTGCGCCTGCACACACACACTCATGCACACATACAGTGGCCCCTCCCCATGAAGCCAGAACTATAATCTCAGCAAGATCCAAGTTGGAGACATACAAGAAGACTAATGAGCAGAGTCAGTTTGGAGGGGCCATTTTGCCTTCTAAAATTCCCATTTCACTACCTAACATCCCATTTGTTTGGCTCAGATTACAGAGAAGTATACCGAGAGCATGTGCGCTGCCTAGAGGAATGGCAGGAAGCAGGAGTCAATGGCAGATACAACCAGGTGCTCCTGGTGGCCAAGCCCAGCTCAGAGAGCCCAGAATCACTTGCCTGCCCCTTCCCGGAGCAGGAGCTGGAGTCTGTCACGGTGGAGGCTCTATTTGATTCAGGGGAAAAGCCCTCACTGGCCCCATCCTTAGTTGTGCTACAGGGGTCGGCTGGCACTGGAAAGACAACTCTCGCCAGAAAAATGGTGTTGGACTGGGCCACCGGTACTCTGTACCCAGGCCGGTTTGATTATGTCTTTTATGTAAGCTGCAAAGAAGTGGTCCTGCTGCTGGAGAGCAAACTGGAGCAGCTCCTTTTCTGGTGCTGCGGGGACAATCAAGCCCCTGTCACAGAGATTCTGAGGCAGCCAGAGCGGCTCCTGTTCATCCTGGATGGCTTTGATGAGCTGCAGAGGCCCTTTGAAGAAAAGTTGAAGAAGAGGGGTTTGAGTCCCAAGGAGAGCCTGCTGCACCTTCTAATTAGGAGACATACACTCCCCACGTGCTCCCTTCTCATCACCACCCGGCCCCTGGCTTTGAGGAATCTGGAGCCCTTGCTGAAACAAGCACGTCATGTCCATATCCTAGGCTTCTCTGAGGAGGAGAGGGCGAGGTACTTCAGCTCCTATTTCACGGATGAGAAGCAAGCTGACCGTGCCTTCGACATTGTACAGAAAAATGACATTCTCTACAAAGCGTGTCAGGTTCCAGGCATTTGCTGGGTGGTCTGCTCCTGGCTGCAGGGGCAGATGGAGAGAGGCAAAGTTGTCTTAGAGACACCTAGAAACAGCACTGACATCTTCATGGCTTACGTCTCCACCTTTCTGCCGCCCGATGATGATGGGGGCTGCTCCGAGCTTTCCCGGCACAGGGTCCTGAGGAGTCTGTGCTCCCTAGCAGCTGAAGGGATTCAGCACCAGAGGTTCCTATTTGAAGAAGCTGAGCTCAGGAAACATAATTTAGATGGCCCCAGGCTTGCCGCTTTCCTGAGTAGTAACGACTACCAATTGGGACTTGCCATCAAGAAGTTCTACAGCTTCCGCCACATCAGCTTCCAGGACTTTTTTCATGCCATGTCTTACCTGGTGAAAGAGGACCAAAGCCGGCTGGGGAAGGAGTCCCGCAGAGAAGTGCAAAGGCTGCTGGAGGTAAAGGAGCAGGAAGGGAATGATGAGATGACCCTCACTATGCAGTTTTTACTGGACATCTCGAAAAAAGACAGCTTCTCGAACTTGGAGCTCAAGTTCTGCTTCAGAATTTCTCCCTGTTTAGCGCAGGATCTGAAGCATTTTAAAGAACAGATGGAATCTATGAAGCACAACAGGACCTGGGATTTGGAATTCTCCCTGTATGAAGCTAAAATAAAGAATCTGGTAAAAGGTATTCAGATGAACAATGTATCATTCAAGATAAAACATTCAAATGAAAAGAAATCACAGAGCCAGAATTTATTTTCTGTCAAAAGCAGCTTGAGTCATGGACCTAAGGAGGAGCAAAAATGTCCTTCTGTCCATGGACAGAAGGAGGGCAAAGATAATATAGCAGGAACACAAAAGGAAGCTTCTACTGGAAAAGGCAGAGGGACAGAGGAAACACCAAAAAATACTTACATATAAACCTAATTAAATATGTACAAGATCTCTATGAGGAAAATGACAACACTCTGAGGAAAGAAATCAAAGAAGCTGTAAATGAATGGGAAGATTTTCCATGTTCATGAATAGAAAGACTCAATATTGTTAAGATGTTAGTTTTCCCCAGTTTGATCTGTAGATTCAATGCAATCCCAATCAAGATCCCAGCAAATAACTTTGTGGACATTGATAAGATGATTCTAATGTTTATGTGCAAAGGCAAAAGACTCAGAATAGCCAATAAAATATTGAAGAAGAACAAAGTTGGAGGAGTGCTGCTATCCAACTTCTTCCTACTATAAAGCTACAGTAATCAAGACAGTATGGTATTGTTAAAATAATAGAGAAATCAGTGGAGTAGAATAGAGAACCAGAAACAAACCTACACAAAAATGGTCAATTGATCTTAGACAAAGGAGCAAAAGCAATTTAATGGAGAAAGTTTACTCTTTTCAACAAATGGTGCTGAAATAACTGGACATCCACATGTAAAAAAATGAATCTAGATGTAAAATACAAAAGTACTAATATAAACTGCTAGAAGATAATATAGGAGAAAATCTAGGTGACCTTGGGTTTGGCGATGACTTTTTAGATATAACAGCAAAAGCATGAATCATTAAAAAAAGAATTAGTTGGCTTCATGAAAATTAAAAACTTATGCTCTGTGAAAGACACTGTTAAGAGAATGAAAAGATAAGCCAAAGACTGGGAGAAAATATTTGCAAACACATATCTGATAAAAGACTTGGGTAAAAAAAAATACAAATAGCTCTTAAAACTCAATAATAAGTAAAGAGTCTACTTAAAAAGTGAGTAGGAGGCCCAGGCTGGTGGATCACGAGGTCAAGAGACCGAGACCATCCTGGCCAATGTGGTGAAACCCCGTCTTTACTAAAAATACGAAAGTTAGCCGGGCGTGGTGGTGCACACCTGTAGTCCCAGCTACTCAGGAGGCTGAGGCAGGAGAATTGCTTGAATCTGGGAGGCGGAGGTTGCAGTGAGCTGAGATCGCACCACTGCACTCCAGCCTGGCAACAGAGTGAGACTCTGCCTCAAAAAAAAAAAGGTGAGTAAAAAGATTGGAACAGACAGCTTATTAAAGAAGATACACAGATGGCAAATAAATATTTGAAAAGACGCTCAACTTCATATGTCATTAGGGAATTGCAAACTAAAACCACAATAAGATACCATGACACCCCTGTTAGAATGGCTAACATCCCAAATCCTGGCAACACTAAATGCTTGTTAGGATGTGGAGTAGTGGGAGCCTTATTCATTGCTGGTCAGAATGCAAAATGGTACAGCCACTTTGAAAGACAGTTTGGCAGTTTCTTACAAAGCTAAACATAGTTTTACTATATGTAAGATCTAGCAATTATGCTCCTAGATATTAACCCAAGTGAGTTGGAAACTTATGTCCACATAAAAACCTGCACATGAATATTTATAGCAGCTTTATTCGTAATTGCCCAAATTTGGAAGCAACCAAGATGTCCTTCAATAGGTGATGGATAAGCAAACTGTGATACATCCACATAATGTAATAGTATTCAGTGATAAAAATAAATGAGCAATTAAGACATGAAAAGATATGGAGAAGCCTTAAATGCAACTACTAAGTGAAAGAAGTCAGTCTGAAAAGGCTACATACTGTGTAATTCCAAATATATGCTCTTATGAAAAATGAAAAACTATGGAGACAATTAAAAATCAGTGGTTGTCAGGGGTTCAAGGAGAGTCAGGGAGAGATAACCAGGTGGAGGCACAGGCACTTTAGGATAGTAAAACTATTCTGTGTGATATTATAATGATGGAGTCATGACATAAATTTTTCAAAACGCATAGAGCTGTACAATACAAAGAGTGAATCCTAATGTAAACTGTGCCTTGTAGTTAATAATAGTGTATCAAAATTGGTTCATCAATGATCACAAATGTGTCACACTAATGCAAGATGTTAATAAGAGAAACTTTGTGAGGGGGTGGTGGTGGTGGAGAGGGTATATAGGAACTTTCTGTATTTAAAAAAAGTTTTATTGAAGTATAATTAGTTTAATACAATAAACTGTGCATATTTAATATATAAAATTTGATGAATTTGTACATACACATACATCTGTGAAACCATCACTACAATCAAGGTAGAAGACATAACAATCCCCCCAAAAATGTTCCCGTGTCCTTTTATCTTTTTGTGTGTGTTAAAAACACAACACAAAATTTACCCTCTTATAAATTTTTAAGCACATAATACAGTATTGTTGACTATATGTGGGAATTCTGTACTTTCCACTCAATTTTTCTTTAAACCTAAAATTGCTCTTGAAAAACTAAGAAAATCTGAATTAAGTATGGACTTTAGTTAATAAAAATATGGTTAACTTTACTGATATATAGGATATTAAAAATATTCTGGGTTTTAGGTCATTTATCAGTTAATATGTGTTACACATATCTCTTCTTATTTTTTTGGCTTGTTTTTTCAGTCTCTTGATGCCTTTTGATAAATGAGTTCTTAATTTACTCATTTTTTCTTTTATGATTAATAACTTTATTTTCTGTTTAAGACATTTTCTATCCTGAGAATATAAAATAATCTCCTATATAAACTTCCAGAAAGTTTATTGCTTTACTTAACATATTTAGTCTGGTAAACCACTAGGAATTAATTTTGATGTATGATGTGAGATAGATAAAGTTTTATTTTTTCCCAGTAGTGATAATCAGGTGGTCTAATACTATTTATTCAAGAGATCAACCTTTCTCCACAATTCTGCAGTATCACCTTCATCATAAATCAAGTGTACATAAGTCTCTTCTGATCTCTCTATTCTTTTCCATTGATCTATTTGTAGATTCTCATGGCAAATACCATGCAGTTTTTATTATGGTAGCTTTGTAATAAGTCTTGCCACCTGGTAGTGGAAGAACAACAACTTTTCTTCTGGATTTTTGTGGCTATTTTATGTCCTTTGCATCTACACTTAAATATTAGAAGCAGTTTGTCAATTTATAAGAAAAACATTAGGATTTTTGGGTTTTGATTGAAATTGCATGCAATCTATAGATCAAATTTGGGAGGACTGACAATTTTATAATATTGATCCTTCTAATCCATGTACATTGGTTGTATATAGCTCTACTTTTTATATACATTTGATGTCTCACAGCAATATTTTGTAGTTCATATCTTTCGATGGTATTTAATACAATTCTAAGTGCGATACTTAAATTTTTATTTTCTAATTGTTTTTACAATTAGCTTTTTATCAAATTTTTTTAGTACATTGATCTTCTATATTGTCATTTCCCCAAATTTACTTATTTTTTAATAGCTTAAGAGCAGACTTTTTGGACCTTATATTGACACATTATGTTGTCTGCAAATAATGACAGTTTAATTTCTTCATTTCTAATCACTGTACCTTTAACTTATTTTTGGTGCAAATTGTGTTTATCTGTAGATTCTTGTCTTATTTCATTAGACTTTTCTTGAAAAAAATTTTTTTTTGAGACAGAGTTTCACTCTTGTCACCCAGGCTGGAGTGCAGTGGCATGATCTCGGCTCACTGCAACCTCTGCCTCACAGGTTTAAACAACTCTCCTGCCTCAGCCTCCCGAGTAGCTGGGATTACAGGCACCTGCCACCACGCCTGGCTAATTTTTGTATTTTTTAGGAGAGACGGGGTTTCACCATGTTGGTCAGGCTGGTCTTGAACTCCTGAATTCAGGTGATCCACCAGCCTTGGCCTCCCAAAGTGTTGGGATTACAGGTGTGAGCCACCACGCCCGGCCTTCTTGAATTTTAAAAAATAATTTTGCTGGGTGTGGTGGCACATACCTGTAATCCCAGCACTCTGGAGGCTAAAGTGGGAGGATTACCTGAGTTTAGGAGTTGGAGGACAGCCTGGGCAGCACAGCAAGAGCCTGTCTTTAAAAAATAAATGTGTATATACATATATAATTTTGTATTTCTTCTTCAAAGAGATCAGTTATATACATTGGATTTTCTTGGTTTGCTTTCCAAGTCTAAAACTTTTCTGTGGTCATTTAACCTTTTATTTTCTGTTTTATTTTTCTTTATTCTATTTTCTATTTGTCTCTATGTTTTGGCAAAGAGGAGTCATTACTAAAATGGTGTCCCTATTAGAACCATTAAAGAGGAGTATGCAGGAAACGTAGGTAGGACATCTGTGTCAACCTGTGCATTGGTCACCAGTCTCTGAGCTGTGTGTTTGTATTGCCCCTGTATTTGTGTACTTTAACAACTGTGTAAATAATAACTTCATAATGACTTCTAAAAAGAAGTATGTTCTCCTCTTTAATGGTTCTGATAGGGACACCATTGTAGTAAAAATTTCATTTATTATTCAATATCCTTTATGAACTCTGGTAGCTAGTATTTTATAACTTTCATTTTTTAACTATATATTTCCTTAATGCTTATATTTGTGCTTTGTACTCTTGTTTTAGAGGAGCAGTTTCTTCATAGGTATTTAAAATTATTGGCTTTTCTTTTTTGGCCACAATTTTTACTGGCTTCATAGTAACATTTTTATAGTCACTGTTCTTAATATGCTATTTCCTCCCTGAAACTTTTTTTTCTTACAGTCTCTGCTTCAATATCATGCTGTTTCTCTTTTGATTATTTCTCACATTTGAACAAGTTAGGTTCTTTCTGTACCTTTTTTTGCGAAAAGGTTTTTTGGAGGAAGGGCTAGGGTCATTCAAGCCAACAGGGATTCTCTTGGTTAACACTGAAGTTCTTTAGACGTTTGCTACTCAATATGTGGTTTGTGGCCCAGCCACACTGGCATCATCTGGAGGCTTGCTAAAAATGCAGAATCTCAAGGCCCACTCCAGATCTACTGAATTTGAATCTTCATTTTCAAAAGATCCTCTAGTGATTCATAGGCTCATTGAAGTGTGAGAAGAAAGAGGGGCTTTCTTTTTTGTCCTTAACAATTCTTTTTTTTTTTTTTTTTTTTTGAGACGGAATCTTGCTCTGTTGCCCAGGCTGGAGTGCAGTGGCGCGATCTCGGCTCACTGCAAGCTCCACCTCCCGGGTTCACGCCATTCTCCTGCCCCAGCCTCCCGAGTAGCTGGGACTACAGGCGCCCACCACAGTGCCCAGCTAATTTTTTGTATTTTTAGTAGAGACGGGGTTTCACCGTGTTAGCCAGGATGGTCTTGATCTCCCGACCTCATGATCTGCCTGCCTCAGCCTCCCAAAGTGCTGGGATTACAGGCGTGAGCCACCGCGCCCAGCCAACAATTCTTAATCTTAAGTGAGTGCTATGACTTTCAGTGTCAGGAGTAAGGCCTTTTCAGTGATTTTACTTCTCTCCTAGCAACAGATTTCTTTTGCTTATTATTTGGTGTTTCTTAGACTGATTGGGGGTGGGAAAAAGAGCTTTTTTGGTCGTTCTTATGCATATTAGTCTTAGGCAGGTGCTGTGACCCTGAGTCTCAGGAGTAGTGGTTGCCTTGACCCTGCCCTAAGAATAGGAGACATCTAATAGTATTGGTATGTGATCCTGGGCCCAGAACTTTTTCCTGCCCCATTCTAAGGGATAGAAGATATTTTTTCTTTTACCCTTCCTCAGACTGCAATGTATCTTTACTTGTGCCCTGGGGTGACAGTTAGATATATTAATACATATAAATTATGTTATATATATATTATTATATATAATAAAGTGCATATATTTTAATAATGTAAAAAAATTAAATTATGGTATAAACACAAAATTTACAATCTTAATCACTTAAGTGTACAGTTCAGTAGTGTTAAGTATATTTGTATTTTAATTATTTTTAATTTGAAATTATTGTAGAATTATAGAAAAGTTTCAAAAATACTACAGAGAGATCCTGGTACAATATCACATGCCTGTAGTCCCAGTTACCCAGGAGGCTGAAGTGGGAGTATGTCTTGAGCCCAGGTATTTGAGTCCAACCTGGACAACATAGTGAGATCCCATCTTTAAAAAACAAAAAACAAAAACAAAAAGCTATAAAGAAGTTCCTGTTCCTGTATATTCTTCACCCAGATTCTACTTATGTTAACATCATACATAAACATAGTACAGTTATTAAAACTAAGCAATTAGCACTGGTTTAATGCTATTAGCTTAACTACAGACATTATTTGGATTTCACCAGTTTTTACACTAATGTTCCTTTTATGTTCTAGAATCTAATCCAGGATCCCACTTTGCATTTAGCTGTCATGTCTTCTTAGTCTCCAATCTCTGACAGACATTCCTTTTATCTTTCCTTTTCTCCCTACATGACCTTCACTCCTTTGAAAAGTACTGGTCAGGTAAACTGCAGAATGCTCCTCAATTTGGATTTGTCTGATGTTTTGAAGTTACACATTTTTGAGAAAAATGCTACAGAGATGATGTGTCCTTCTTAGTGCATCATATTAGGAGGTACACGATGTTAATATGTGTTATCATTGGAAATGTTAACTTTGGTCACTTTGTTAAAGTGGGGTCTGCCAGGCTTCTCCACTGTGAAGCTACTATTTTCCCTTTGTAAGTAATACATATTTTGGGGGAGACACTTTGAGACTATGTAAATGTCCTGATTTTCCTTAAAATTTCTCCCATGAATTTTGGCACCTATTTGTGGGTCTTGATTACAGCTATTATTATTTGGCTAGAATGGTGGCTTTCCTATCTTCCTCATTCCTTCTACATTTAGAAGAAATTAATTATAACTTTCTTTTAAGGAATTCCCCCCATGTAAACTTTTTTCAAGTATGATATTCATTGGGAAAGTGTAGAAATCATGAGGGAGCAGTGCGATGACTTTCACAAAGTGTGTATTGCTGGTGTCACCATCGCTGAGATCAAGAAACAGAACACACTGGAATTCTGGAACCCTCCTCATGCCCTCTACCAGTCACTACCTTGTCTCATTCCAAAGGTCACCACTATCTGGATTCTAATCTCATAGATGACTTTTGTCTGTTTTTAAAACTTATATAAGTGGAAATATATGATACGTATTCTTTCGAGTTAGCTTTCTCTACTCTCCATTATGTTTTTGAGATTTACTTTTATTATTGCAGTGGTTCATTAATATTTCTTTGTATAATATTCTATCGTTTTGCTAAACTACAATTTGCCCATTTACTGTTGATGAACATTTGAATTATTTCCAGTTTTTGGCTATTAAGTATAATGCTCTGAACTTTCTTGTGCATGTCTGTTGGTAAATATATGTATGAATTTCTGTTGGATATATGCAGGAGTGAAACTGCTGAATCGTAGGCCATGTGTACTTTCATCTTTAGATGACGTTGCCAAATAGATATCCAAAGTGAATGTAATAATTTGCACTGCCATCAGAAATGTATGAGACAAGTGGCCAACAAACATGAAAAAATGCTCAATATCACTAATCATCAGAGAAATGGTAAATCAAAACCACAATGAGATATCATTTCATACCAGCCAGAATGGCTATTACTAAAGAGTTAAAACACAACAGATGCTGGCAAGGCTGTAGCGAAAACGGAACACTTATATACTGTTGGTGAGAATGTAAATTGGTTCAGCCCCAGTGGAAAGCAGTTTATAGATTTCTCAAAGAAATAAAAATGAACTACCATTCCACCCAGAAATCTCATTTCTGGGTATGTACCCGAAGGACAATAAATCGTTCTACCAAAAAGACACCTGCACTCATATGTTTATTGCAGCACTATTCCAATAGCAAAGACTTGGAAACAACCTAGGTACCCATCAGTGGTGCATTGATAAAGAAAATGTGGTACATATACACCATGGAATACTACACAGCCATAAAAAGAATAAAATCATGTCTTTGGCAGCAAAATGAATGCAGCTGGAGGCCATTATCCTAAGCAAATTAATGCAGAAACAGAAAACCAAATATTGCATGTTCTCACTTATAAGTGGGAGTTAAACCCTGGATGCACACGGACACAAAGATGGGAATAACACACACTGGGACTCCAAAAAGATGAAAGGAGAGATGGGGGCAATGGCTGAAAAACTTCCTGTAGGGTACTATGCTCACTATCTGGGTGACAGAATCAATAGAAGCTGAAACTTCAGCATCACGCAATATACTCTTATAACAAATTTGCATGCATTTCCCTTGAATCTACAATAAAAATTAAAATGAAAAAAGAAATGTATGAGAGTTCTATTTGTTCCACATCTTTGCTAAAAGATGGTAAGATAAGTGTCTAGGGAACACACTCTGCTTCCACTACCCCAGTTTGCATCACTCTAGTATATATTTGAGGTGGGAAGAAGAAGAATTTGAATAAGTTATAAGGTTGTATTTTTTCTTTTTTTTTTTTGTATTTGAGATGGAGTCTTGCACTGTCACCCAGGCTGCAGTGCAGTGGCGCAATCTCATCTCTCTGCAAGCTCCACCTCCCAGGTTCACACCATTCTCCTGCCTCAGCCTCCCGAGTAGCTGGGATTACAGGCACCCACCACCATGCCCAGCTAATTTTTTTTCTATTTTGAGTAGAGACAAGGTTTCACCGTGTTAGCCAGGATGGTCTTGATCTCCTGACCTCGTGATCCGCCCGCCTCCACCTCCCAAAGTGCTGGGATTACAGGTGTGAGCCACCTCGCCCAGCCAAGTTTGGATTTTTAAAGAGATTAAACTCTTAATAGTAGAATGAAACTAGTTTAACAACTAACTAGCTGAAAACATACATAAGTCTGCCCAAAATGTCATCAAGAGAAATGCTATGCAATGGAAAAAGGATTTTTTTCGTGATCTAATTGGTAATAGTTATTGGAAGAAACAAAAACACCTCATGCTCCAATGAGTTAGAATTTCTTGGTAAAAATTGCATGTAGTTGTTGAGTCTTCTAGCCTTTAAGTCTTGCATTTTTTTCTAATAATTTCTTTGTCTTTCTGTGTTGCATTTTGGGGATACAAACTTAATTTTTGCTATTGTGGCTGTAATGAAATTAATGGTCCCTATTGTGAAATCTCACCAATGCTAGAGCTTATATACATGAAATCTGCATTTATGAACATCATCCTAAATCTTATGATTTTTTTCTTGCTAAAATTCTTGTCATATATTTGTCTTTTATGGGTACAACCAATATCATTTATTACAAGTGAAATCTGGCTGCTCCTTAGGAAATAAGAAACTTAAATCTCTGGCCTGCTTTCTGCTCATCTCTCTGCTAATCTGTTGAACTACAGCTTGAGATCTAAAGGGTACTTAGGAAACTGGAGAAGAAAGTGGTTTTACACACACTGTGGTGTTATTTGGTTGTAGGCCATTGCACACAATTTGAATTTGTAAAGATAGAAGGACTGTGTATTTTGGCAATACCATAGATCAAAGATATTTCTCCAGGTTAGTTCATTTGGTCTAATTCATCCTTTTAAGTCACTGCATAATATTGGGTATCGCACTATTTATACAATAACACAGTATTTGTTGGCTATCAGTTTCAATTTTTTTGCCAAAACAAACTATGATGCAATAAACAGCTGTATGCATATATATCCCAAGGGGGAGAGCTGGATCAAGGAGTAAATGTACTTTTAATTTTAACAGATATAGTATTGCTACATTGCTTTCTGAAAAGTTTCTACTTTAGATAAGCCTGAAGATATACTCAATGCCACCATCTTGGGAAAGCACCCAGATACCACTAAATAGAGACAGGATTTTCATTTCTGTAGCTAAAAACTTATCTGTGAATGACTTGGGAAAGTTGGTTCAAACTTGGGAGGGTCCAACTGGGAACCATCAGATTCTAAACTCCAAATGGGAATACACTTAGCCATTTAAGGGAATAATTCAATTTGCTTCGTGTAACCTGAGAATATGTTAAAAAAAATTTTATGGGACATCTTTTTGTTGTCTATACACTGGATGCTCACTGGAGATCCGTTTTCACATGAAGCTAAGTCACATAGACTCAAATTAATTCAAATCAATTAATTATGCTTTTCGTTGTTCATTTATATCTCTGTTCAATTAATAAATCTACTATCTAATTACCTTCCAGCAACACTGATAGTCACAGGAGCTTCAAAACTGAAAAACCCCTGCCCTTGAGGGACTCACAGTCTGTTGTAATCACAGGGTCTAAATGGCCACTGAATCCAAACTTTTACATGTATCTACTTTTACATGTATCTAAGACCAGGCTGATAAAAATAAGTTTGAGCTGTCAACATATGTTTGACTATGGAATGATTTAACAGGTGTATTGATCCATTCAGTCTTTTAGCCAGTCCCAATGGAATGAATTTATGACTTTGCCAGATTGCATGGGCAGGTGGATAGTGTTCTTGACCAGATTGGCTCTAATCACACCTTTGCTCATTAGACCCACTTTTTGTTGAAACAGCTCGAAGTCAATCTTCCCTCATTTTGAAGATGACATTATCATTTCCATAGGAGTAGGGATAATTATGAGACATTTATTTCATTCCAAATCTATTCATTTTAACACCTAGCACAATAAAAAAGTAGTAATTTTGAAACAAAACTCTGACAGTTTTATCTGTGGAAAATATTTAAAAACCCATTATAATTGGGGAAAAAATCCTAATGAACCTACCAGGCTTGCATGCACACCTCTCCTAATCATCTCTGCCACTCTCTCCTTCACTCTTTGCTCTTTGGTTTTTGTAATGCATTAAGCCCTTTCTTCTTCATGTTATTTTATCTCCCTTGTTCTCTTTCTTTTGTTATTACCATAATGAACAGAAAAATGAAATAGAATAGCATCCTAGAAGTGGGTATGAGCCTAAAGAGTGTTAATGTAATTCCTCTGCTTTTGTAGACAAGGTAACTGAGGCACAGGAACTTCAGCTGTGCTTCAAGATACTATCTTTGGTGAGAGAGGTGCTTCTGGGGTTTCAGTGGTTATGTTTAAAGCAAAGGTGCAGAGTCCCACAACCCCCATGCAGGGTCTTCAGTGCCTGCTGGTGTTGTCAGGATCCAAACATTCATATTTTTAAACTATTGTTTAAATAGTTTAAATAGTAGATTAGGTTCTGCAGGAAATGCTGCGATAGAGATTAGTGTGCAATGGGATCAACATCTGTGGAAGGGAAGGAAAGAAGGGCAGGATTTAGCGAAGAAAGAAGTTGAGTTTTGAGGCAGACTTCCTGAAGGCTTCAATGGACTGAAGGCGGGGATGACCCTTCAGAGATGTCCTGACCGTCACAGTGGGGGCCAAGCCCTTATTCTCTGACATTGATCAGTTAGTAGGTACAGATGCCCCAGGTGAAGCAGTCCTTTTAGGGGCTGACAGCTCAGGCCTTTCTGGCACTCGCAAAATCTTCATTCCTGAAGATTCTTCATTCTTGAAGGTAGATCTGGACAGCTTATCCCATAGGTCACCAAACTGAGGCTTTCTTAGAAACTCTATGTCCCCAGGGATGTTAGAGAGATGACCTCTCCTTTACAAATTGATTTTCCTGCTGTTTGAAGGCAGTCCCCTCTCTTAAGACTCTGCCATTAAGCCTCCTTAAGATGAGGACACAGACTGTGCTCAGAATCTCAGTCTTACTGCCCTGGCCCTATTCCCATCTTCCCACATCTTCTGCCTCCTCACTATTCTCAATTTTCAAAGCTTTAGCCTTCTGTTTTCTTTTTCAGGACTACTTTCTCCCCCAAAGTCTCCTCTGTCCTTCAAATAAATTGTTTCTGAATTTATCAGCTCTAGCAGCTGTCAGTGATTCCCAGACTGGTCTGAATACAAAGGTGAACCAAGCTTAGAACCATCAAAATGTACCCCTTTACTCTGCCTTCTCTCCTGTCACCACAGATGAGATCTTTGCACTTCTGTTTAAGACAGAAGCCCAGATCTTATCCCTTTATACCTACTCAATCTATTCCCTTCCTTTCTTTTTGTTATCTTCCAGCTTTATTGTGGTATAATTGATGAATAAAAATTGTGAGAGTAGTATATCCTGCTGCCTACTGGACTTTTCTACTTGGTTGACCCCAAACTCACGTGTTTCAGATTGAACTCATCATCCAATCCTCTATTTTGTCTTTTAAGTTTTGCTCAGTTGCTTATGCCAAAACTTAGTTGTCACTCTTGCCTTGTTCTCATCTCCCAGATTTCCATCAATCACCAATCCAATTGCCTATACCACTTAATTTTTCCGAAGCTTACCCACTGTTCACCTGGTTAACTTTAGCAGCCTCCTCAAATCCATTCTCCCTGCTGCTTCCACAGTCAAGTTCCTGAAAGGCAAATCTGAGGAAAGAATGAAAGAAACTCTGCCCTAGGCATGAAGTTTTGCAAGACCAGGCTGATACTTAGAGATTACTGGGGATTGGTTCTCTGGGGAGAGGCCCCTTAGGGTCCCTATGGTTTTAGGGATGCTACCTTAGAGACTGTCAATTGTGATGTTCCTGGAGGATTTTATAACAGAAATTTACATTTTTCTTGGCAGTGATAGATATATTTATATTTCTATGCAAAAGAAAAGAGGTCCTCTTTCAGAGAATGTAAAGTATAAGCTTCTTTCTTTACCCTGGGGGACAGCAAATATTTAAAGGACATGTATAACTGTTGAGACTTTCATGTCTAAAATGTTAACTGTTTATGTATCATACCACTCCTGTCTGACCCTTACCATCCTGCTCTCCAAAGTATACATCATATTACAGTGTCCAAAGGGAATCCTGAGAGGCAAGAGCACTGGGTATGCCTCTTCCTGGTAGAGTGCTTCTTCATCAATTGCTATTTTTAAAAAAATTATATATATTTGGATTTTGATGACAGCAAGATAGCCCTCTAAAAGTCCATAGTGCTCGTCCTACCCATCCCCCACAAAGATAGCCAAAACAACAAATAAACCACTATAAACCACTACATTTTGATAAAAATAACTAAAGGAGAGCACCAAAGTTTATCAAGGGAGCCACAGAAACCCTGGGTGGGCAGAGAAACTCAGGACAGCCACACAGAGAATGGAAGGAAGCACCTGGGCCCCATCACCCCATTTGCCAGCTGGGATCAGCTTGGAACCAGTAAGGACTTCTCCTTGCAGGGAAAAGGCAAGCAAGGTCACCTCAGCAGGCCCCATCAACACCTCGGACACCTATAGTCCTCAGTGTTATGGACTCTTGTAGTCCTCACAGGCACTAAGCCCAGCTAAGAGAGCTGCCTGGAGTCCATAGCTATACCTGTGCTCCCCTCTGTCACCAGTGGAGTTGACACTGTGCCCTGTGTCCCAGCCCCTGTCTCAGCCCCTGACTGTGGCCCATGCAGCTATGCATTACAATGCTGTCTTGAACCTGGGAATACTGCTGGAGTGTGTTTTGCTTTGGGGGTGAGTGACCACAGCACCCATTCACCCCTGAGGCTCCAAACTACCCCTACCCAGTGGCCCAACATCTGTAACCAGTGAGCAGCTGTACCTACCCTTCCCATTTGCTGCTGTACCTCACCCCTTCAGGCTGGAGCTGAAGCTGCATACTCCCTCCCACAGAAACAGTGCTTTGGCAGACCTGCCCATCTACCCTTTCCAGTTGTTGCTGCACCTTCCCCCTAGGAGCCTGAGTTAAAGCTGCTCATCCACTCCTGAGGAAATGTTGCCTCTACAGAGCTGCTCCAAAAACCTCTCCAGCTGCTGTCACGCTCTGCTCCACAGGACTTGAGCTGAAGCTATGTACTACCTCCCAGGGAAACAGTGCTTTGGTGAAGTCGTTCCATATACCCTTCCCAGTTGCTGCTGTGTTCTGCCCCTCTGTGTGTGAGCTGAACCAGTATCCTGCTTCCTGGAAAAACAGTACCTTGGCTGCTCAGAGCAGTCATGCCTCCCTGGAGCCTAAGCAGAAGCATGCCCTGCATCCTGGGGAAATGGTGCCTGGGCCACCCAGAGTGGTCATGCCCCCAGTCCTTAGCTGAAGTGACACATTGCCCCTGGGGAATTGGTGCCTAGGCTGAGTAGCTGTACATATCAAGGCTTAGCTATATTAGTACCCTGCATCCCAGGGAAACAGAGCAGTGCCTGAGCTTAGACACCATGCTCTGGAGGCCAAACAACTCAAGTACCCTACTCTCCTGGAGCTGGACTAGCCCCCTAGGGCATGAGCTGCTGAGACACCCCTCATTCCCAGGAAGTAGAGTCATCACTGTGCTGCTCCCTGTCCCCCAGGGCCCAAACAACAGCTGTGATCCACCATTCTGGAGTCTGCACTGTCACTACACCTGCCTCACAGAGTCTGGGATACTCCCACCTTCCCAAGGTCTAGAGTTACCACAGCATGATTTCTCATCCCCTGGGACCTGAGTTGCCACTGAACTTTATTGGTTCTGGTTCCCAAATTGCAGCTGTACCATGCTGCCTGGGCCCAAACCTCTGAAGCACCCCTTCTTCCCCAGAGCTAAGCCAGTGTTATGTCCTAATCTCCAGGGTCAGAGTCATAGATACAACCTGACTTTCTAGGCCTCAGCTGCTAGGGGATGCCTCAGAGTCACAGATACTGTTGGCAGTCTATATCCAACCCCACTACAGAGGGTGAACCTGCACATTAAGACCCAAGCTGGTCACACAATAGGTTCCTGAGACCCTGAGCTTAGTACTCCAGCTCCACAGATGCTCTGAGCACATGCACCTGGAACCTAGCACTGCTGCAGCTGCGTGTAGGCCATGTCAGATCTGACACCAAGAGGAGACACCTCAGCTACCTCTCCCCATTATGGGAAAAATGAGAAAAGGAGGACCTCCAAAGCCCTTGTTACTGAGCACCTTAACAACCCATGCCACCATTGCCACTGCCACAAGCTTCTACAGGCCACAACACTGAGGCACCCACAGTTATTGCTGATGTTGATTGCAGTTGAAGAAATTGCACAGAGACTATACTACTACATCTACTCAGAACCAGAGTCACTACACCTTTCTCAATAGCCACACAAAGACACAACTGCAGGTGAAATTCCTTTTCTATGAAAGCCCCTCTATAAAGTTTGGAAGATGCAATTTTTCCACCAGATGCAGAGACATAAATGCAGAGACACAAAAGACATGAAAAATAAAGAAATACGACACCACCAAAGGAACACAATAACTCTTTAATAACAGATCTCACAGGAAAAAAGATCTATGAGTTGCCAGAAAAGGAATTCAAAATAACGATCCTAAGGAAACTCAGTAAAATACAAGAGAATACGTATAGAAGATTCAACAAAATCAAGAAAACAATTCATGATATGAATGAGAAATTTAACACAGTGACAGATATCATAAAAAGAAACCAAACAGAAATCCTGCAGCTGAAGAATTCAATGAATGAAATAAAAAATACAACAGAGAGCTTCAATAGCCAGACCAGATCAAGCAGAAGAATGAATATCTGAACTTGAAGATCAGTTGTTTGAAATTAGCCAGTGAGTGAAAATAAAAATAAAATAAGTAAAATAGAATGAAAAAGGCCTATAGGACTTATGGGACACCATTAAGCAAACAGATATTTGTATCATGAGAGTTCTGGAAGAGATGGGAAAAGGCATAGAAAACCTATCAAACAAAATAATAGTTAAAAACTTTCAGAGTCTTGGGAGAGATATGAAGACCCAGATCCAGTAAGCTCAAAGTCCCCAAACATATTTAACCCCAAAAGATCCTTCCTGAGGCACATTATAGTCAAACTGTTAAAAGTCAAAGATAAAAAGAGAATTCTAAAAACATCAAGAGAAAAGCATCAAGTCACATATAAGGGAGTCCTCTTTAGACTTACAGCAGGTTTCTCTGCAGAAATTCTATAAGCAAAGAGACAGTCATATTTTCAAAGTGCTGAAAGAAAATAATTGGTGGCCAAGAATACTATACCAAGAAAAGCTATCCTTCAGAATGGAAGGAGAAATAAAGTTTTTCCCGACAAGCAAAAACTGAGGGAATTCATCACCACTAGACTGACCTTTCAAGAAATTCTCAAGGGAGCCCTACATACAATGATAGGTCCAACAATACCACCATCGTAACACCCTCCCCCACCCCCCAAAAATTGTTGCTGTTCCCATTGCCTGCTGATGGCACTTACTCTGTTGCTTTGCATCTTAGGTAACAGACTCACAGGAAAGAAGATAATTTCTGTATATCACACTTCCCATTTCCCACTTCAAGGGTTTCAATGGATTTTTCTTTTTTTTTGCATGACTCAGGGGACTGGGACATCTGTATAGGCTCATAACAATGCCTTTACAGTCAGGTTTTCAGCTTGTTCAACGAAGGGATTGTCAATTCTGAGAAGACTTCTTCATTAATAGAGTGTGTGACTATTTGCTCCTTGACTTATTTTACGAGGGTAAGTATATCCCTTTTCCCCTCACTCTTGGACTCAGGAACCAGTTCCAAAGGTGTGCAAAGCCCTTGAAGTGATTTATTTATGGACTTCCCTGTCCATGTTTCTATTTATTCATCCTCTCTTCCACAAACATTTGAAATCCTGTCTTCTTTATGTAACACATTCATATCCAGGACTATATATTACTATTTATCCTCTACAGTATACATGATTTTTCTCCATTCATTACATCCTAGTTCTACTTCTGTCCAGTCCATCTTGCAAAAATAAATAATGCAACATTATTGTTTCTCAGCTTTCATCTCACTTCCTTGTATTCATATAATAATTTAAAGGATACCATGCTTTATGTATAGAGCATTTGTGTGTTGAATCACCATCATTCTTTGACCTCCTTCTCCTATAAACAGTACCTTGGGGATTTTTAAAAAATTAAACATTTTCAGGTATGCATAGTTAGAATTGATGCTGTACCTGGTTATAGGATAGAATGCCATGAAATTTGCATATTAGGTAGCATTTCTCATCTCATTCACAGTCACAGTGTCTGGTTTATAGGTGGATAGTCATGTAATCCCACCATAGTAAATGATACAGGAGGGGTTCTTGGATTAGTTTTTACAAATAAAAACCCTTTATCCTCAGGATAACTGGTACATTGCCCACTGGATACAGAGAGGATCTATCCCTAAGTGTTGTTAGCAGCCTTATTGACACTAAAGGGAAAATATTCATTGAGAATAGAACCTACTCTAGGAAAGCAGAGATGAGAAATAGAGAAAAAAAGAAATCCAGGTCCTGGAAACATTATCTGAGTTCTGGATAAAGCCAAGCCTACAGATTTATTCATCCCTATACTTTGCTGGAACTGAGCTAATAGTCTTATTGATTGCTCAAATCAGTGTGAACTTAACTCTGAGTCCTCTGATTGTTACATATACTTTGTGAAGTTAATAACATTATCTTGATTTTATCAAAAAAGTAATAGAGCCAGAGAAGAGACATGATGCTCAAAGTCATATTAGTTCAGATGTTTTGACTTCAAGTTAAAAAGTTTCGACTATAAAATTATCTAAAAGACTTTCCCCCAAAATTTAGTATTTCCATATTACTACTAGAAAATATAAGTTTTGGTATCTCCAGGCTTTCCACAAAGTAACTTCAATTTACTTGCCATAACACATTTCCTACCATTGCACAAACTGTCTATCTTGTCCAATCAGATCCTCTGTCCAAATCACTCTGCCTTTACTCACGCTCACATTCTTTTCTCCCTTCTGCATTTGTGCCTATTTATTAACATTCATTCAGTCTCTGCTTTCATTTCTTAATGGGAAAGGTCTTGGTGGAATTGGGTCTCTCATGTGAAGAGGTGTTAATTCCCTATGGAAACCTGGAAGAGTCGTATTCCAAGTTTGTGCAGCGGAGATTCCTTGCCCCCATACAGGAAAGTCTGTATAAATTGTGTGTCAGTTCTCCAGAGAAGATTTCTCTCAGGGCATAAAATTTAATGCAGTATAATTTAAAATCAATGCATTGAATCACTAAGTTGTATTTAGGAAGTGCTTTTTAATTGAAGAGGTAAAACATAAATGGGATGAAAATCAGGGACAGTGAATAGATAAGGATCTGAAGATTCTGCTTTGGTACTTGTTGGTGGGTTTGCCTTCTGTAGTTATCCTCACTGATAATTGGAGATACTTATCAAGTGATAACTCAATGCTCAGGTAAGAAAGTCAATTGCTGTGCCCTTCATATTCACATAAAAGTTCGACAGTAATTAGATCTATAGACGGTTTGCTTGCACAAACCATCAATTCTTAGAGGTATGTAGTTGAGGGAGCGGGGTGAAAGCGGTCAGAAATAAGTCCAATTGGTTAGAAAGATGAAACCCTGATGAGGGAGTTATTTGCCCAAGATTATACAGAAAGTTAATGCCAGAGCCAGTAGAACATATCAGTGAATTAGCTAAATCAGCATTATGTTGTTTTATGTTAAAGGGAAAAGATGGAGCATTTAAGTTCAGCTTAAAAAAATTACTCATGAAGGCAGTAATTTAGATTTGTTTTGTAACTTTGCTTTATCAGCTCCTTAAAAGTTGCCCATTTTTAGTAGGATACTCTAAATTTTCTCATTTTACAAACGTATTTGGTTTTATAGGCCTGGAGCTGAAAATGTAGTTTTGTCTATTAAAATGATACTTAGGCATTTTTTTTTCCTGCCAAGTCTATTTTAGGAGATTTTTTACATCCAAAAAATTTTGTTATAGTTAAAACATATATTTGGTTTTTAATATCACTATGGTCAGACTCAATAAATCAATTGCCTTTTCCTCTCTGCTAATGTCCTAATGATATGAAATCAAGATGTCTTCAGCTTGCTGTGTCCTCTCCTCCTGGCTTCCTCTTGTCCCACAGTAAAATTCTGCTGGTTTTTGAAGCATCACACAAAGTCCAGTTTGGAGGTCCATGCTAGTACTAAGGTGTCATTGAATACCTTCTATCTGAGCAAGGCAGCCTTCCTCCTTATGCTTTTTCTCCTCTGCTTAATGGACCTTCCACCCTTGTCATCTTGTGATTATGGTTTCCCACCCTCACTGTCCATTCAGAAGTAATGTTTCCCTCATTTACATTCCTAAAGCAATTGTTATCACTCTAGTTCCCCTTAAATGCCAGCCTGAGAAGTGGGCATTGTATTTTACTGATAAGGGGAGACTCTGAAGTTTCTCGGAGGGAGGGTGATATTATTTTGTCAGAAATTTGAGGTACAGATTGGAGGAACGGGTATAAAACATGGAATAGCCAGTTAGGTTTCCGTTTAAAGGTAGAGGAGGTGAAGGGAGAGGAAAAGAGGCAGTGAGGTGGAGCGTGTCAGCGGGGATGGACTCGTGAGGCCAGGAGGACTCCAGATTTTAAAGACTTGTGGGCCCTGACAGTGAAGGGAATACTGGGAGACAAGGATTGTTGCTCTGGTTGAGAGCAGAGAGAATGAAGTCGCTTTGCCCTGAGAGTGGCTCTGGAGGGGCAGTTGGATTGGGAAGAAAATGGTCATCTCCGCATGGGACTGGCAGGCCCAAAGTGACTCAGGCAGCATGTGTGCTGCCTATGTGCCCACCCACCACTACTCCATGTTCCCTTCAGCCCAGCTCCCATCTGATTGGAGTTGAGGCCTTGCAGCCTGCAGTTTTCTATCAACAAATTAGAGAAACACCTATGTCAGAGCCAGAAGGGATCATTCTGCTGCTTCTAACCCATACAGATGGGGAACCCAAGTGCAGCAGAGGCAGAGACCCATCTTGGAGACAGTGGCAGAGTTAGGACTGCAGCCAAGTTCCAGACTAGCTCGCAATCCAGGCGTAACCAAAACTCAGGTTCAGTTGCTCTTTGCTTGAAGAATCCAACTAAGGGAAGAGGTATAGGCTCCTGCCTTTAAGGACACTGCTTCACTTTTTGGAAAGAAAGCAGAGGCTTTTAAAGGGGAACTTGGCATTAAGAGAGGAGAGAGAGAGCAACCTACAAAACAAAGATGTTGCCAGATAACATTTACTGTTATTTTGTACTTTAAAAACAAGATTTCTGAACCAAAATACTTCACTTCTTTATTTGTATTTTAAAGATTCACTATTACAAGTCATTGGCCATTCTTCAAAAGTGCCAACCTGAAGTTCTGTCAAAATGAGCTTGTCATTACATCTGCTGTCAAGAATTCCAGACTTGAACTCACAGCTATGGGATTACGACTTCATACTCGATATACCAGGTCCATAAAAACAATATAAGTTTCAACTACTGAAATGAAAAGACAAAATCAAAGCTGTGTGGTTGAATTCATCCTCCTGGGCTTTTCTAACTTTCCTGAGCTCCAGGTGCAGCTCTTTGGGGTTTTCCTAGTTATTTATGTGGTGACCCTGATGGGAAATGCCATCATTACAGTCATCATCTCCTTAAACCAGAGCCTCCACGTTCCCATGTACCTGTTCCTCCTGAACCTATCTGTGGTGGAGGTGAGTTTCAGTGCAGTCATTACGCCTGAAATGCTGGTGGTGCTCTCTACTGAGAAAACTATGATTTCTTTTGTGGGCTGTTTTGCACAGATGTATTTCATCCTTCTTTTTGGTGGGACTGAATGTTTTCTCCTGGGAGCGATGGCTTATGACCGATTTGCTGCAATTTGCCATCCTCTGAACTACCCAGTGATTATGAACAGAGGGGTTTTTATGAAATTAGTAATATTCTCATGGATCTCAGGGATCATGGTGGCTACTGTGCAGACCACTTGGGTATTTAGTTTTCCATTTTGTGGCCCCAATGAAATTAATCATCTCTTCTGTGAGACTCCCCCGGTACTAGAGCTTGTGTGTGCAGACACCTTCTTATTTGAAATCTATGCCTTCACAGGCACCATTTTGATTGTTATGGTTCCTTTCTTGTTGATCCTCTTGTCTTACATTCGAGTTCTGTTTGCCATCCTGAAGATGCCATCAACTACTGGGAGACAAAAGGCCTTTTCCACCTGTGCCTCTCACC